>NC_000001.11:178336102-178639132 GCF_000001405.40 Homo sapiens | reverse complement strand
AAGATGAAAATGTTCTAAGACTGGTTTAAAGAGATGGCTGTGCCATTTGGTAAAGTAAAAATAAATGAACTGTACAATTGAAATGGAAAGCATACTTTGATAATGCTGTTTTAAAAAAGAAAGTGATGCACATCTTTCTGGAATCAGCAAGCTCTCTAAGGGCCCTTAGAAACCCTGCACATGATAAGGGATTTTTCAGATCTCATCCAATCACTCTCTGGGTGTCAGCTATCTTCACAGTCTTTCTCTCTTTAGAAGGTGTTCTTCCCTTCTAGTTTCTGGCTTGGGGCTAGAAAAGGTTTATAGTCCTGGCTGGTACTTGAGAGAAAGGACCAGCACTTTTGTTTCCTATTCTACCTTCTGCATCTTGGAATGGGAAGGGCCAATTATGCAGGCTCCTGGTGGAAAATCTTCCTGGTAGCAAGACAAGCTTATTTTTAAGTCCATCGTGGGGTAAACCTGGCCTGAGGAATGGGAAAGGGCTGAGTGGAGGCTTGAGGAGTGAGTGCTCTGGAGACCTAAAGGAAGGAAGGGGCTGGTTTGGGGCCTACAAGATTCCCTTTGGGAGGAGCCGAGGGGGTGCTGTGGGCACCCAGACCTAGGGAGAAATCTCACACTGTGATGAGAATCTGCCCATCTTACCCAGGGACTTTTGCTACTGCCAATGGTCCTGTCTCATCCAGGACATGCTCAAGACAACAAGGCCAGAGGAAGCCAGGTTGATGAGGAGGGGGCAAGCACAGCAGTGTAGACCAGGAGAGGAGCCCAGAAAGCAGAGATCCAGTCACGATGCCCAGCAGTGTCCAGAAGAGGATAGCTGGACTAGGAATGTATATTGTGCGAACATGGGCCTGTTTATATATTCATATATATCACTTAGAAGCTCTGTGTTCTTGAGCAAATCACTTACCTTCTCTGTATCAGTTATCTATGACTGTGTCTATTTCATAGTATACATATGCTACATTATTACTATCCTAAAACTTAGTGACTTACAACAATAGTTCTATAGTTGCTGACTATAGTTCTTCTACTGTCCTTTTCTAAGTGGCTGCACACTCAGGAAAAGGGGAGGGGGCTGAGATGTTGAGCCAGCTGGGCTTCTCTCACCATGTGCTTCTTTTCAGTCATCAGTTTGGTCTGGTTTTTTTTTTTTTTTTTGTGTGTGTGACAGAGTCTCTCTCTTTTGCCCAGGCTGGAGTGCAGTAGTGAGACCTCGGCTCACTGCAACCTCCACCTCCTGGGTTCAAGCAATTCTCCTGCCTCAGCCTCCTGAGTAGCTGGGATTATAGGTGCCCACCACCAGGCCTGGCTAATTTTTTGTAATTTAAGTAGAGATGGGGGTTTCACCATGTTGGCCAGGCTGGTCTTGAACTCCTGTCCTTAAGTGATCTGCCCACCTCGGCCTCCCAAAGTGCTGGGATTACAGGCGTGAGCCACCGTGCCTGGCCCTGGTCCAGGATTCTTAAATGGTGTCTAGCTTCCAAAAGGAAGAATTTATCAAGCCACCGCTTAAGTCATGTTTGCTGATGTGCCATTGGCCAAAGCAAATCACCTGGGTAACCCAGGAATCAATGTAGGAGGGGGCTGCAGGAGGATGTGAATTCTGCGAGCCCTGATTCATTTGGGGACTATCAGCATAATAGTCTATCACACTTCTCAAGGCTCAGCTTCTTCATCTGTAAAATGGGGATATAACAGTAGTTTATTAGGCTTCTTATGGAGAATAAATGAGGTAATGTAAGTAAACCATCTATCATAATGTCTGAACTTTAGTATTGATGACTGCCTTTTCATTATCATTAACACTGGTATTATGTGACTACTGTATTTTCTCCTCAGTGTTTATCAGAGGCAGATGTGAGAGTGAAAACCAGAGGGCCTGATCTAATCTAGGAAGTCTGGAAAGACTTTTAGAGCAAATGGTATTTGAACTGAGATCTGATCGATACATTAAAAGTTTCAGCACTTTGGGAGGCCGAGGTGGGAGGATCACGAGGTCAGGAGATCGAGACCATCCTGGCTAACACGGTGAAACCCAGTCTCCACTAAAAATACAAAAAATTAGCCAGGCGTGGTGGCAGGCGCCTGTGGTCCCAGCTACTTGGGAGGCTGAGGCAGGAGAATGGCGTGAACTCGGGAGGCGGAGCTTACAGTGAGCCGAGATCGTGCCACTGCACTCCAGCCTGGGCTACAGAGTGAGACTACGTCTCAAAAAAAAAAAAAAGATAAAGAAAAAGAAAAAAATGTTTCCTAGGCTAGAGGGATCAGCGGGGAAGAGCATTCCAGGTAAGGGAAAAGTGTGTGCAAGGGCCCTGTGGTTGGGGGGAGTATGTGGCAACTGCCAGTCATGAAAACAGATGATTATATTAAATACAATGCTAGCACTGCAAACCTAGAGCTATTCCCAGGGTATTATGAGCAGTCCCACATTTAACATTTGCAGGGCCCAGGGCAAGAGTATAAAGAGAAGCCCATGGACTATATGTCTAAGTATTTAAAAGTTATAAACCAAGCTAACAAACTATCAATGAAATATGTCCTCTCCTCCTACCTTGTCAGATAATCAGATATACCCCTAGCTCAGCTCCTTGGGGCTTCCCCATCTCCAGCTCCATCCTGTTCCACAGAGTCAGGTGCATGTGGACTCCTGGGACCGCAGATCCAAGCTCTCTGGCAGCAAATGGTTTTTACCTGGTCCCTCTTCAGTCCCCCCGGGGTGTGTTCACCAGCTGCATGGTCCACTTTTAGGATGGACCTATGGAAGAGGGCTCTGGGCTGTTTAAGGAGAGTATTCTGGGGTGTTGGGTACCTAGAATATGGTCCAAAAGGGAAGGCATGGGCTCTGGGAGGGCACTATTTGTCCTGTAAGGAGGGAACAGTCAAAAAGAGGGTCAGAGGGAGGCCCCCTAAAAACACAGGACCCAAAGCAGAACAATACTGTTTATTGGTTATGCGAACCCAGGGAAAATAACTGACCAGTGAAGGGAAACCAGGGTGAAGAAACGATTCCTGGAGGTAGAAATGTTTGAACCCAATATATTCCTGCAGAGGAAGCATCTGTCACAAAATGGAAGTACATGACATAATAAATCTAATGTTCCTTGAAATCAAATATGAAATGTTACAACCAGGTTGCAGATGTTTTAGCTTTGGTTAAGAAGGTATTTCTCTTTTAACCACTTCATTTGGCAAGATTACCATGTTCTGATAGACTGCAGTTTCTGTTGAGACGTCGCTCTACCAGGCTCAAATATGGCTTAGTAGAGAGCAGTTAGAGGTTCATGTACTCATTTCCAAGTTACCAGGTGGATAAGAAAGAATTTTTATTTTTTTTTTTGAGACAAGGTCTCACTCTGTCACCCAGGCCAGAATGCAGAGGCATGATCACAGCTCACTGCAGCCTCCATCTCCTGGGCTCAAGTGAGCCTCCCACCTCAGCCTCCCAAGTAGTTGGGACTACAGGTGAGTGTCACCATGTCCAGCTAATTTTTAAATTTTTTGTAGAGATGGGGTCTCCCTATGTTGCACAGGCTGGTCTCCAACTCCTGGGCTCAAGCAATCCTCCCGCCTCAGCCTCCCCAGTCTGCACCACCATGCCTGGATAAATTTTTTTTTTTTTTAGTAGAGAAAAGATCTCACTTCATTGCTCAGGCTGTGAAAGATATTCTTAACTCAAGGGCCACACTATGAAAACTTTTTTTTGAGGTAGAGTCTTGCTCTGTTGCCCAGGTTTGAGTGCAGTGGTGCAATCTCTGCTCACTGCAACTTCTGCCTCCCGGGCTCCAGTGATTCTCCTGCCTCAGCCTCCTGAGTAGCTGGGATTACAGGCATGAGCCACCATGCCCAGCTAATTTTTGTATTTTTAGTAGAGACAGGATTTCACCATGTTGGCCAGGCTGGTCTTGAACTCCTAACCTCAAATGATCCACTTGCCTTGGCCTCCCAAAGTGCTGGGATTACAGGTGTCAGCCACCGCGCCCAGCTGAAAACTTTAATGGCTCATACAACTAGGTCTAATGCAGTCCTTGGTGTGGAATACCCACTGGCTAAGGGTGGCTTGGGAGAGAAGACGGTTAAGAAAATACAGATTGGAATGCAGAAATGGCAGCATTGGTACCTTTGTTTTCCTTCAAATTCTGACTGCTGTCAGTGAGGCAGTCATTCATTGTCCCTCCTTTCCTCCCCTATGTCAAGATAGCAGTCCTTTATATTTAAGGACTACAACACTTGACAGATGGAAGGATTTGTTCTCGTGTGTATTTATTTATTTTACTGTGAAAATGCTAATTGTGCATTTGTTTGTGAAGTCCAAGGGAAGAGAGGGAAATGTAAGCTATGGTGGGAAGATTAAACATGCTAAAGAGAGCCAGGAAACCCTGTATTTTTAAATATATCTATCTTGGTCATTTGGCCCAGGGGGAAATAGCAATGTCAGGAATGAACTACTAATTACCAGCAACATCCCAGAAGAGAGACTGGGAGAGTCCATGATGGGAGGGGCGTGGGGCAAAGGCATGTAACCCTTGAGCTGAGAAGTCTCCTCAGCAGCTTAGCCCAAGAGCCCTCGCAAGAAAAGGGCAGCTTCCCAGGGAATTTCCTCCTAATTCCTCTTGCCCCATCCAAGTCCCATCAAGAAGGGGACAATATAAAGATAGATGAGGCCAAACATCTGGAATAGAGAAAGGAAAGAGGAAAAAAAATAAACCCCAGAGCTTGGCAGTTTGGAAGACTGGGGGACTGTGGGTGGGGAGGGGAAGTAGAGGGGAAAGCCATACATAGATATTCAATTTTGGGAGAATTTCTTGGTATCATTACTGCATTATCAATAGTGAATTTTTACTGAGTGCTTACTATGTTTCCAGCAGTGTGAAAGCTTACAAGTCTTGCCTCTATGGGGAACATACAAAACACCCTATGAAGAAAGTCCTATTATTAGCCCATTTTACTGGTGAAAACAAAGAGGCTTAAAGATGGTAGGTTCAGGGTAATAGGGAAGATAATGGGTTCATTCTAGGACACGGTGACTTTCAAGGGACATCAGTTCTAAGAGGGAATCCTGGCTGGGTGCAACGACTCATGCCTGTAATCTCAACACTTTGGGAGGCTGAGGTGGGAGGAATGCTTGAGGCCAGGAGTTCAAGACCATCCTGGGCAACATAGCCAGACGCCCATTTCTACGAAAATTTTCTAAAAAAATCACCAGGGTATGGTGGCTTGTGCCTATAGTCCCTGCTTCTCAGGAGGCTGAGGTGGGAGGATCTCTTGAGCCTAGGAGTTTGAGGCTGCAGTGAGCTATGACTGCGCCACTGCACTCCAACCTGGGCGACAGAGTGTGACCCTGCCTCTCAATAAATAAATAAATAAGTAAACAAACAAACAAACATAAAAGTAGATCTCCAGGATGGTAACAAATTAGAAATTGAAGTTGGAGGATGATGGCGGAGGGGTTACAGTCAGGGAAAGGAAGGACATAATGCCTACAGATTTATACTAAATAGCCTTTTGCATTTCTCGAGTTTTGAATCATATGGGTGTATTGTTTAATAAATAAAAATGTAAAAAAAAAAATCAGAAATTAAAGTTAAGGAATGGTCAGGACTAAAAAAGTAGATTTGGGAGTCAGGTGGTGTTGAAGATAAGGGAGTAGGTGTGAGTGGGAACCTCTAGGAAGCAGGACACAGGGGCAATCCAGTCACCAAGATGGGAGAGATTTTGTTTGTTTTTGTTTTTAATCAGCCAATCAGAAGCAAGCTTAATACTCTGTTGGGCCACAGCTTAGACTCTTAACAGACAAGAGTGACTGAGTTTGTAGAATGACTTAGAAGGCACTAGGAGAGATTCTCGCCACCTGAGTAATCCAGGAAACATTTATCCTGCAGAGAAGTCTGAGGTAAACCTTTCTATAGCTAGTAATAGAAACATGCCAGAGTGATTCACAGCCTTATTCCTCCTAGAAGCAACTGGCTCAAGCATTTTAGTAAGAAGCCGAGGCAGACAAGCCACTGCGTGGAACGTAATTATGCATCACTTGGTTTCTTCAATGTTTCCTGAGCTAAGTAGGGTTATTAAATGTTCTACGTTTAATCTGTACCTATTGCAAGCAGAGGTTGAGTCTGAATGCCCAGGAGAACTGTTTCTCCAAAGTTCCAGCACTCCCAACTTCCTGGCCAGCCCTTCGTCAGCACCAAATAAATGATGAATGACTTGGGGGAGGGATATCCTTTTTGGGAATGGGTTGTCCTCAGCAGGAGAGACAAATGAGAACCGCAGAACATTAAGGCTAAAGAGGACCTTAGTAATCAACTAGGGCAGTGGTTCTCAAATATGAGCATGCATCAGGATCTTTTGAAGGGCCTGCTAAAACATGGGCTCTATTCCCAGTATCTGATTCAGGTCTGGGGTGGGGCATGTACATTTGCATTTCTAACAACTTCCCAGATGACGCTGTTTTAGAAGTACCACGCTTTGAAGACCACTGAGCCAGTGCAAATGAAAAAACTGAGGCCCAGAGAGTTTAAATAACTTGTCCTAGATGCCCCAGCTAATAAAGTTGGAACTAGAATTTCAATTTCCCTCATCCGTAAATACTTCAGTGTGTATTTCCTAAAAGCAAGAACACTCTCTTTCATAACCATAGTACAGGTATAATATCAGGAAATTAACATTAAAACAATACTGTTAACTAATCTACAGACCTTATTCAAATTTTGTCAATTATCCCACTAATGTCCTTTATCTGTCCCAAGATCCAATTCAGATTCAAACAGATGTAGTTGTCATGTCTCTTCAGTTTCCTTTCATCTGGAATAACTCCTTTGTCTTTCTTTGTCTTTTAGGACCTTGACACTTTTAAAGAGTATAGGTCAGTTATTTTGAAGAACGGCCCTAGATTTGGGTTTGTTGGAGTTTTCTTGTGGTTAAATTCAAGTTCTGCGACTTTAGCACAGACACAGCACAGTACAGCCATGGTGCAGTGTCCTTCTCAGGGCATGATATCAGGAGGCACATGAGGTTGCTAGAATCCTACTGTAAGTAAGTTTTCCGTTTGCCCCTATTCATTCATTCATTCATTCATTCATTTGTATTAGTATGGGCTCCTGGGTTCTATTTTATTTTATTTTATTTTATTCTATTTTATTTTTTGGACACAGTCTCGCTCTGTTTCCTAGGCTGGAGTGCAGTTGTGTGATCTTGGTTCACTGCAACCTCTGCCTCCTGGGTTCAAGTAATTCTCATGCCTCAGCCTCCTAAGTAGCTGGGACTACAGGCGCATGCCACCCATGCTCACTTAAGTTTTTGTATTTTAGTAGAGACAGGGCTTCACCATGTTGCTCAGGCTGGTCTCCAACTCCTGAGCTCAGGCAATCGGCCCGTCTTAGCCTACCAAAGTGCTAGGATTACAAGTGTAAGCCTCTGTGCCCAGCCCTGGATTCTTTTTTTAAAAAATTCTAGAATCCATATCTCTTGCTACCCAAGTCAGTTCTCTTTTCACTATATGACCCTGGGGCTAATACCATTATTTCAGAGATGATTTATTAATTTATCACATTAATTCAAAATTGACATATTTCAAAATGTGTTGTACATTATATCATGTGTATATTTATAGTTTTCATTTGTTGATTAAAATAATTAGTTTTAAAAATGGATTAAAATACTATAACAGAACTATCTAATAGAAATACCATGCAAGTTGTAAATTAGAGCCACATATATAGTCTTTTTTTTTTTTTTTTTTTTTTTTGAGACAGAGTTTTGCTCTTGTTGCCCAGGCTGGAGTGCAGAGGAATGATCTTGGCTCACTGCAACCTCCACCTCCCGGGTTCAAGCGATTCTCCTGTCTCAGTCTCCAGAGCAGCTGGGACTATAGGCGTGTATCACCAGGCCCAGCTAATTTTTGTATTTTTGGTAGAGATGGGGTTTCACCATATGGGCCAGGCTGGTCTCAAACTCTTGGGCTCAAGTGATCTTCCCGCCTTGGCCTCCCAAAGTGCTGGGATTACAGGTGTGAACCACCGTGCCTGTCCCACATGTGTAGTCTTACAATTTCTTCAGCCCATAAACTTTATGATGGTTCTCCTCTTGCCAGTGCAGTTTCCAAGCTAGAGCCAAGGAATCCCAGAAGTCTTAAGGGGTACCAGAGCAATTGCTCTGGGTCATATTTTCTGGGGTTATAATAACAATCTCTGAAAATCTGCCTTAAAGCCATCGTGTTCATCATCTTAATTCTCTTTAGGCCTGTGTGTGCTGAGTCTAACCATGCTCACGCTGTGGTGCTTAAGCTAAGGGAGGACCCCACCTCAAGGTCAGATAATGGGAGAAGGGGCCAGCAGAGTTGGCCATGACCAAACCTTGATTTCTATGAAGGAAAAAAAAAACTGCCTTAGCTGACAAACTCTCTCTGTGATTGTCCTTTCCCTCCATTGTCCCTGGGATACAGGAAGAGGGACACTTGACTTGCATTGGTGTTTGGTTGTATGAGTCCAAAGGAGAATACCAGCTCACAAGTAAATATTTGCCATTTTGACTACTAATTACATTATATGATGAAAAAAGCCCAAACATTTACCATATTCTTGATTTCATCATCATGCCATTGTGCAAGAAAAATAAATCAGCTATTTAGCAGGAGCAAGATGTGACTTTTAAAAAAAAGAAAACCCAAACACAGTTTGCTTTTTAGAAACATACATTGGTGACTCAGAATCATAAAGAAATGAAAATGTCATTGGGTTTCCATACACCTCTCTATCCTCTAAGATGCATTCTGAGGGAACTTCCTCTCAGGATTTAGCCACTTATGACCAATATTAGAATTAACTGGGAATAAGACACCAAATCAAACAGTTTGAAATACCTAATGAAGTGTTTCTGACATTAGCATGATGCTGTCCCCCAATGGGGTATTTGGCAGAATATTTTATTTCTTTTCTGGTTGTCACAATCAGTAAGGTGGAATGCTAAGGGCATTTAATGGACAGGGGCCACTACGTGAAATGTCCTGCCAGGGATGGGAGAGTTCTGCAGAGCATGACTTGCTGTGCCTAAAAAGCCAACAACATCCTGTACAGACACAACCAAAGGGTTCCCCAGGAATTTAGAATTGGACTAAGATTCCAATCCAGTATAGGTGCTCTCTTGAACTGGAGAGTTGTATCTCCAGGAGATGTTAGGAACTATTGGCCGTGGCCATTATTTAGTTTGGGGGTTGGAAAGAGAACCAATCTGCAGTGAGAGATGACTGATAAGATAAGTAAAAAGAGATAGGGAAAAGTGACCATATGAGACTCTTGCCCACATTCTCATTCAAGTCCCTGGCTCTTCTTGTGCCTGAGGCCCATCTGCAATCCTGCTGTTGGTTTCTGTGACACCTTGTTGCTTGCAAACAAGAGTTCTAACTTTGGAGAGACAAATTTCTGCACTGCCATCTTCTGCCACATGGACTGAGCAACAGAAAGAGCCAGTCTGCAGAGGGAAAAAGAAAAGCTGAGAGAAGAGAGGCAGCACTGGGTGCTGCCCACAGGCCTTAAGGTCTGGTCAGTTTCTGAGGCCCAGTCCCTCCGGACCAATCAAACACGGCCTGAGAGGTCAGTCCTAAGAAGCAGGTCTTCCCAGAAACTGCACTGTGACTTGATGGGGAGGCGGGGGGCAGTTTCAGAAGAGGAGGAGATGCTGGGCAGCAAATTTCAGAAGAATTCACTGCATCTCCAGTTAGGAATTTGGCCCACACTGAGATGGGAGTTTGGCCCAGACTAATCCCTGGAAGGGATTACTGTGAGATCACTCACTGAGGTCAGGGGATGAAGCCGTTTTAGCATAGGCCTGACTGCCAGGGGGTTGCATCTGTGAATTAGAGGTCAGTTAAGGAAATATCTGTGAGCTGAAAGTAAGAAAGTCACTTTCTTTAAAAGAAAAACAAAAAACCAAACCCTTCACATTCAAGAAAAAATGTGACTTGACATATTAGCTTTGCTTTCTTCATTAGCTTTTATCCACTTGTGCAGTGTACTCAAGTTTGTGTTGAATATAGCAGGTTTCATTTCCATTACTATTGTAACTTGATGAGATAAAGCCGAAAGTGGTTTAGTGGTGTGTTTCTGTGGGCTAGTGCTTAATTGCATGGCTATAGCTTCTTTAACTGCAAAGGAAGATTAGAGAGGGAAAATATAATTCCAAGAAATTTTGGTTTTGCTAGTCAGCATATCATTTAACAATGACAAGGGCATGGCTTCAGAATAGGTTTCCATTTTCACCTGCCATTTACAGGCAGTGAGCCTGGACAGGTGAAGGAAGTGTGGTGGATGACATCATATTCTGGTCATAGACACTGGCATGGCTTGGGCTGTAGTAGCTGAGTTTTTCCTTGCAAGGCCTCTGTCCCACTCTTGCTTTACTTGGATTTCAAAGAGGATGCTGGGTTTTCCACAGTTGATGACTAGCACCTTCATCACTGATGGTGCCCTTGGTACTTCTCCACCCGTCATTCCCTTAACAGAGTTCTTTCATCTCTACATCTTCAGAATTTTCTGACTTAAAACATGAATTATTTAAAAAAAATCTCAATTTCAGGAATGAAAGTATTTCTTAAAGCAAAAATTAGGCCTGGTGCGGTGGCTCATGCCTGTAATCCCAGCTCTTTGGGAGGCCAAGGTGGGCAGATTGCCTGAGGTCAGGAGTTAGAGACCAGGCTGACCAATATGGTGAAACCTCGTCTCTACTAAAAATACAAAAATTGGCCAGGTGTGGTGGCAGGCGCCTGTAGTCCCAGCTACTCGGGAGGCTGAGTCAGGAGACTTGCTTGAACTGGGGAGGCAGAGGTTGCAGTGAGCCAAGATCGTGCCACTGCACTCCAGCCTGGGCGACAGAGTGAGACTCTGTCTCCAGAAAAAAAAAAAAAATTAAAACTTGTGAAATACTCATCTGATTAACCCCCTACAGCTTGCTAAAGGCAGCTGTTCCCCATGTTAAAATGTCTCCAACAACAGAATGTCATCAATTCAGTCATCCTTGTTCTTTCTTTTTTCTTTCCAGTTGTCCTTGTCCTTTTTTTTTTTTTTTTTTTTTAGATAGAGTCTGGCACTGTTGTCCAGGCTGGAGTGCAGTGGTGCGATCTCGGCTCATTGCAACCTCTATTTCCCAGTTTCAAGTGATTCTCATGCTTCAGCCTCCCAAGTAACTGGCATTACAGGCATGCGCCACCATGCCCAGGTAATTTTTTTTTTTTGTATTTTTAGTAGAGACGGGGTTTTGCCATATTGTCCAGGCTACTCTTGAACTCCTGCCCTCAAGTGATCCGCTTACCTCAGCCTCCCAAAGTGCTGGGATTACAGGTGTGAGCCACCATGCCCAGCCATCCTTGTTATTCAACCCTACCACACTTTAAAATCTCTGACAGGGAGTAAGTAGTTACCTGACACATGGTAGGCAATCAGTAACTATTAGTTTAATTGAATTGAAGCAAAGCCTGAGTTCTAATCCTATCTGTGTCATTAGCTATGAGAGTGAGCTGGGCCTTCTCTTTTGCATTTGTTATAGGAGAAGACTGAAGGACTATCTTATCTCTAGGGTCTCTTGTAACTCTAAAATCTATGAGGAGTAAGATGTTTTGTAGCGCAGTTAGTTTTCAGAGCCATTTCTCAAGGTCTATGTCTAACTTTTAAGAATTAATTGCACTACCGATCCCATGCCTGCCCCTGGTTCACTCATTACATGCAACAGCAGTCTTCTCTCTGACCCTTGTATAGACCAAGTTCTCCTGCTAAGGCAGGAGCTAAGGCTCTCGCTGTTTCCCCTGTCTGGGCTGCTATCCTCTTTGCACTTTGCAAAGTTGGTTGCTTTTCATCACTGGAGCCATAGCTGAAATGTCAGCTTTTTAGAAGCCTTATCTAGAGTGAGCATCTCCCCCAGCCTGACGCTCCCCATGACCTCATCCTATTTATTTCTCTATGGTGCTTATTACAATATACAACTATCTTCTATGTTTGCTGGCTCATTACTACCCTCCACCTCCAGACTACAAGTTCCACAAAAGCAGGGAATTGTCTATATTCTTTTTCACTACATCTTCAGAATCAGACTTTGGGAACCCACAGAATGTCTTTTCTGAAATAGAAAAGTCTGCTTCTTCCTCTGAGAATACCCAGCCCCTTGCTGGACATTGGTTTGGTGAGCAGACATTGCCTGGATTTCAGCCCCTCCTTGCCCCTTGACCAGGTACCCTTGTTCAGTGAACAACCTATACAACTGTGTACCCTTTCCCTGCCCAACACCACACAAGGTGCCTGGCAGAATATAGAAACATAATATTAGTTGGATGAATAAATCAGCTTTATTGAGGTGTAATTTATAATACCTACAATGAAATGCACCATTTTAGCTGTTCGGTTCAATAAATTTTGACAAATGCATGCACCCAGGTAACCACTGCTATAATCAAGATATAGAAATTCTGTTAACACCAAAACCTCCCCTGTGCCCTTTTGCAGTTGTCTTTCCTCCCACACTCCCCGCCCCTGGCTTCAAGCAATCATGGAATCATTTAATTCTAGTTATATCTCACCTCTTCCCAAAAGAACTTTAAAATGGCCTTAAAAGGGAATACATATATCAAAATCAATACAAGAGAGGGAAAATGAGGAGAAAGAAAGATGAAGAGGAGAAAGGCAGACATCCCAACCCATAGGGTCGATAGAGCTTCTGTGACTGAGCTTGAGGGCTGGGGCTTGGCTGTAGCCTCCTTAAAACCAACATAAAGAGGGAAAAGTGGTGCTTAAATGACCGACTGAGAGGAAGAAGCATTTCATTTCTCAGGGGAGATAAAGTTTCCCTAGTACAAAGATCTGAGCTATTCCTCACATAGATGATCAGATAGAAGTTTCTGGAAGATGCTCTGCACTGTGTCCTGGATGACCATTTCATAGCAAATGCAGCAGGAATATTCATTTGTCTGTTTTTTCTGCACAATCGTCTATAAACATTTCTATAGCAAATATTAAAGTTTCTGCCCTAAAAAAGATGATCTCAACTGGGCTTTTCAAAGAAGTGGGAGAGTAAACAGTTCAAAATTATCTTCTCTAACAAGGGTCTGGAACTTGGGAATTACTCCCTTATGGGCAGAGGCATTTGCTTTGAAACCCAGGTGAGCATGTGGGAGGGTTAATGTTCAGTTATGAAACTTAAAAGGGCCTGGACAGGATCCCTGTCTAGATCAAAGGCCTCCCCATCCTGCCTGGAGGTTGGCTGTCAGGGTGGGGGAGCTGTCTGAGGAAAAGCCAGGATTATCTTTAGGATTCAGTTTTGGAGCTGGGCCAACAAGCCAGGGCTCCGTTGAGATGCCAAATTTCCATATAGTAGAACATTAAAAGTAACACTTTTAAAATGAAAGTGGGTAAGTGTTGACAGCTTTCTACTTCAGCCATAGAAATTTCTTTGTAATGTCCTTGGAGGACTTAGTTCTCTCTCTCTTTCTTTTTTTTTTTCTTTTTCTTTCTTTTTTTTTCGAGACCGAGTCTAGCTCTTTCGCCCAGGCTGGAGTGCAATGGCATGATCTTGGCTCACTGCAACCTTTGCCTCCTGGGTTCAAGCGATTTTCCTGCCTCAGCCTCCCAAGTAGCTGGGATTACAGGTGCCCGCCATCACGCCCACCTATTTTTTGTATTTTTAGTAGAGATGGGGTTTCACTGTGTTGGTCAGGTTGGTCTCGAACTCCTGACCTCGTGATCTGCCTGCCTAGGCCTCCCAAAGTGCTGCCTGGGATTACAAGCGTGAACCACCATGCCTGGCCGGAAGATTTAGTTCTAAGCTCTGTCTCCTTGCCCGTTGATGGGTTAGAGAGGTCCTGGAACTAATGGCCCCTACCCTATTGGATTCTGAGTCCACGGAGAAATAAGACAACGTGGTAAGGCAGATGGGAACAAAGTACATCTGATGTTGGGAAATGTGGCTTGTGTCTGTGGGCAAGTGAGTTTCCTGGGTCTGAGCCCCAGAATTAACCTTTCCTACCTTGTCATCGGCAATGCCTCGGCAGCACAGGCTTCTGTAAGAAGTAGGACAAGAATGAACTGAGAACATGTGGTCCCTGGTGGAAACATGCTCCCAAGGGGGTGGGGAGAGAACGAGAGAGACAGAAAGAAGTGAGGGCTGGGCAACCCTGTCATTTCACCTTCCAAACCCCCTAAACCTACCGCTCAGGCAAAGCACTTCCCTTCCCCTGGACTACCAGAACAATTCATTCCCTGTGTGTCTTGTAGGATGAAATAGACACAAAAAACCATTGGAGGGATTAAAGTTATGTCATGAACATGTTTGATAATGTTGGTGGCTGCCTGCCCTAAACAGTAATTTTTGTGTAACGTCTTTGGTTGTTGAGGTTAAACTTTTCTTTTTGAAAATGGATAAATGCCAACACTATTTTCTTTTCTTTTCTTTTCTTTTTTTTTTTGGAGATGGAGTCTCACTGTGTCGCCCAGGCTGGAGTGCAGTGGCGTGATCTCGGCTCACTGCAACCTCCGCCCCTCCAGGTTTAAGCAATTCTCTGCCTCAGCCTCCAGAGTAGCTAGGATTACAGGCGCGTGCCACCACGCCCGGCTAATTTTTTGTATTTTTAGTAGAGACGGGGTTTCACCATCTTGGCCAGGCTGGTCTTGAACTCCTGACCTCGTGATCCACCTGCCTAGGCCTCCCAAAGTGCTGGGATTACATGTGTGAGCCACCATGCCCAGCCAGCACTATTTTCTTTTGCTGCTTTTTGATAATGAAACTATACCTGCTGTTAATTATGGAACGGGGTGTGTCTATGCAATCTAAAAGTGGTATACGCCATTAGGATCTACATCAAAAGAAACAAGGGGCTGGGCATGGTGGCTCACAGCTGTAATCCCAGCACTTTGGGAGGCCAAGGCAGGAGGATCATTTGAGGCCAGGAGTTTGAGACCAGCCTGGGCAACAAAGTGAGACCCCATCTTTACAAAAAATACAAAAGAATTAGTCAGGAGTGATGGGATGTGCCTGTAGTCCCAGCTACTCAGAAGGCTGAGCTGGGAGGATTGCTTGAGCTGTGGGAGGTTGAAGCTGCAGTGAGCTGTGATTGTGACACTGCACTCCAGCCTAAGCATCAGAGGAAGACCCTGTCTCAAAAAAAAAAAAAAAAAAAAAAGAGTGGATGGCCCAAATGCACCCTTATTTTACATTGCCTAACACTCATCTGGTCCTTCAAAGTCATTTTTCCACACCTTGATTCAGCGGTTGGTATTATAAACAAGATTTTGCAATAGTCTTAAAAACAGTGATCTCAATATGCTCCCGTTGCTTGGTTTGCAGCTGGTCAATGGTATGCTGGTAAATGCATAAAAAATAGCTAGCTCTCTGAAATAAAGTCCTGATTTACAGCTTTTTCTTTCCTTTTTTTTTTAAGACAGCGTCTCACTCTGTCGCCCAGGCTGGAGTGCAGTGGCACGATCTTAGCTCACTGCAACCTCTGCCTCCCAGGTTCAAGCGATTCTCCTGCCTCAGCCTCCCGAGTAGCTGGGACTACAGGTGCCCACCACCACGCCAGCTAATTTTTGTATTTTTAGTAGACACAGGTTTTCTCCATGTTGGCCAGGCTAGTCTTGAACTCCTGATCTCAAGTGATCCACCTGCCTTGGCCTCCCAAAGTGCTGGATTACAGACGTGAGCCACCTCGCCCGGCTGATTTACAGCCTTTTCAACTTCCAGTTTCTGTGGGGCAAACACTCTCTCCATGGCTGATTTCATGCTACCAATGTGATGTTACTAAATGCAGAGTTAGGGAGAAAAACACAAGAGCACACTATTTTATGATGTTTCCGCCATATCGATACAATAGGCCTAAATAATCTCAAGATAATAGGTATTAGATATCAGTAAAATATTAGTAAATAAAATATTGGTAAAATAGAAAGTTACACATTTTATGCATTATTACATTTGTTTTTAATATAATTTAGCTGTAAGCTTATTTAATTTCATTGTGAATAATGATTATTTTTTTAACAACCAGTTTGCAAAATTCCTGAAAACTTAAGGATCAGTTCTCATGAGCTAGTTAAGTGGTTCCAGCACATCACTGGTTCTGGTCAACATAATGAAGGGTCAAAGAAAGATCAATTTCTCCATGAGGGTAAAAAGCACCAATTGGTGGTCAATACTGCAAAGTCAACCTTGGACAGAGCCCCAAACCTGCCATTTTTTAGGAACAGAGCTTAATGTTTTTGATGGTCTACCCAGCAAACTTAAGAGGTCTACAATTTTGAGAAAGAGGATTTTCCCTTTGAAAAAATGAGATAAATTATACTTTGAGTCAATCTAGAGCAAGCTTGTCCGACCCGTGGTGCCTGCAATGGCTTTGGATGCAACCCAACATGAGTTCCTAAACTTTCTTAAAACATGAGATTTTTTGCGATTAATTTTTATTTATTTATTTATTTTACCTCATCAGCTATCGTTAGTGTTAGTGTATTTTATGTGGGGCCCCTGACAATTCTCCTTCCAGTGTGGCCCAGGGAAGCCAAAAGATTGAACTACCCTGAGAGGGAGGAACAATTAGACAAGGATTAGAGCCCACTGGTTAGAACACACTGACAATTTAAGCCAGGCGCTGTGGCTCACGCCTGTAACCACAGCACTTTGGGAGGCTAAGGTGGGTGGATCACTTGAGGCCGGGAATTCAACACCAGCCTGGCCAACATGGTGAAACCCTGTCTCTACTAAAAATACAAAAACTAGCTGGGCGTGGTGGCGTGCGCCTGTAATCCCAGCTACTAGGGAGGCTGAGGCAGGAGAATCGCTTGAACCTGGCAAGCGGAGACTGCAGTGAGCTGAGATTGTGGCACTGCACTCCAGCCTGGGCAACAGAATGAGTGAGACTCCATCTCCAAAACAAAACAAAAACAGAAAGAACATACTGACCATTTTGATGACACACATTTTAACATTTTGATATCAAATTTAGGTCTGGAGCTTTCTGCGTTTGCGCAGCATTTCATCAGGAGTGTTGTGGCTGCAGGGGCCGTCAAAGACCCACTGTGATGTTTAGGGGTGAGGCAATGAGGGCCCATGCAGGGAGGCGAGCGGGAGACTGGGAAGGAAAGGCCAACGAAGTGACGCAACAGACCCTCTCCTAGGCAGAGAGTCAGTCACCTCCACACACACGAAAATCTGGAGATCGGTTCATGAATTCGAAAGGAGACTTTTCCCCCCAAAGATATTCAGCAAATGGAGATGATGGTACCAGAACAACAAATATGCATTTCTTTCTTCTTTTAAAAAAGAAACACAATGATGTTGCCTCTGACATGTCTGTGTGTAGAGTGAGAAGAGGAGAGTATCTGAAGTCACACACCTCTGAGCAGTTTTTCTCCCTTGGACAAATCACTTAACTTCTCCCAGTCCGACTCCTCCTCTGGTATGAGTGACTATCCGATGTGTGTGAAAGGCCAGTGCATGTGTCCAATGTGTGTGAGTGTTCAATGTGTGAAAGTACCTCACAAACACTAATGCACTAGCCACCCTTTAAAACTAGTGTGCTGCCCTTGCAAGTAGATTTCCTTGTCTTTTTAAACATCCTTGTTGCCAGCGTCTACTGGACTGTGAAATGGGAAACTGCCTCTTGCCCCCACTCTGTTCGTTCGCTACCACCCCTGCGAAGAATGACCATTTCTCTGAGAGGCCGTTTCCTCATCTCCACAAGGGAAGCCTGGACAGTTGGTCACCATTAACATTAGAAACCTCCTTCACGCCTCTCTTTTTGCTCTCTTACTAACAGCTTTATCTGTGCTTTGACCTAAAAGCTAACTCTGAATTTTTTATGCACCTGTGAGGTCTCATGTCTTATCAGAGGGTGTCTTCACAGAAGTGACATTTCCATCTGTTTTCACACCTTGGCAGGTGGGTGGGTGAACAAAGGGGATAGTTCTATTTTCCCCTTCAGGTTTCTAAACCAAATCAATGAAAACAAACAAACAAAAAAAGATCACAAATCAGAGTGAGTTGTAAATCGCTGAATGTCCTGAAAAGTGACCTGTGGTTCTTCATCACTTGGTCTGTTTGCTAAGTTCAAGGTCTGATGGGGTCTGGATGTTTGTTCCCTCCAGATCTCATGTTGAAATGTGACCTCCAGTGTTGGAGGTGGGGCCCAGTGGGAGATGTTGGATCATGGGGGTGGATCCCTAGTGAATGGCTTGGTGCCCTCCCCATGGTAATGAGTGAGTTCCCACTCTGTTAGCTCACATGAGAGCCAGTTGTTTAGAGGAGCCTGGTGCCTCATCCTCTCTCTCTCTCTTGCCATGTGATACACTGTCCCTCCCTTTACCTTCTGCCATGATTGTAAGCTTCCTGAGGCCTCCCCAGAAGCCAAGCAGATGCTGCTGCCATGCTTTTACAGCCTGCAGAACTGTGAGCCAAATAAACCTCTTTTCTTTATAAATTACCCAGCCTCAGGTATTCCTTTATAGCAATGCAAACGGACCAATACAAGGTCATTTAGGGTTTAGCAGAACATCACACTGTTTTTTCAGTCCTAGGACAGCAGGTGAGTGCAAAGCATATGTTCTATGGGCTCCAACATGAATTCAATATGTATGTTCTGATTCATTCACACTCTACTCACTAAATAACCATTTGATATCTGAGAAGTCTTCAGAGTTTTAATGAAAAAATCTCTTCAAAGTATTATTTTCTTTGAATCCAGCATTCATATTTTCCATTGTTAAGAATAAGAATTAATAATAGTCCATAGAGTTTGCGTAGGTTTGAAACATTGCCAGAATCCTTTGTTTCTCAACTTCAGGGTTCCTTCAAAACATCTAATCACATAATCGTAATTTTAAAAAATACTTATATGTGGTGTGTGTGTCAACCATGGGCATGTGCCAGGAATTGTGCTAGGCACTTTGCGTTGTCACTAACATTTATAACAATGGTTGAAGGTAAGTATTACTTTCATTAACAGGCAAGGAAGCCGAGGCTCAGAAGATTTTAGGACTTGCCCAAGGCTAGAGCTGACAAGTCAAAAAGCAATTCTATTGAACTCTCTCTATTTGAATCCCCTTAGTTAATTTTCTTTAATTTAGAAAATGTTTATCAAGTGCCTCTATGTGCCAGGTGCTGTCCTAAGCCTGAGGAGAAAATCTTGAGGGGCTCCCAGTGAAAAGTCTCTCATTTTTATCCTTCAACATGTGATTGCAGATGGCAGGTAAAAAGGAGTTTCTGAGGTTGTACCAATTAGGGTATATTTGATTGCAAGTAACAGGAAACCCAACTCAAATTGCCTCTAGTTATCCTCTAATATCCATTTTCTTCTTCTACTAGGAGCACAGTCTCCAAGGTTTAGCCAGTCACGTGGCCTCCCAGAATAAAGACAAGTCTCTCAGCCTCACCTGAAGCTGGGTGTGGCTGTGTAATTAACTCCTAGCATACAAGCAGAAGTGCTATACGCCTCTTCTGGGAAGGATCATTTCCTTTTCTCCTTGCTGACGGGATTTGGGTGTGATGGCTGGAGTTGGAGAAGCCATCTTGGATGGGGGAAATACATTATGTGTTAATTTAGCTGACAGAGCTACCAGACAAAAGGTATGCTCTCCCTGGAAATTTTTTTTTTTTTTTTTTTTTTTGGCCTGGGAAATAAATAAAACTTAAACTTGTTGAAGCCACTCTTGTTTGGGGTTTCTGGTTACTTGCAACTGAACCTGATCCTAACTCATACACTGTTCACATAGCTGGAAGTGCAGAGGTGGGGTGGGCTCAGTGTTAGTTTGACTTGGCAGCTTGGTCTTTGTTCTGCTTTTGGTGCCAGTCTCATTTTAATACTGCCTTTCTCTCATGGGGCAAGATGGCTGCTAACAAAAAGATAGTTAGTACATGCTTCCTTATCAATTTTCAGAGAAAGGGAGAGAGAGAATCATGTCTACAGCCCTCTCATAAAAATGATAAAGCTCCTTCCCCAGAAGGCCTCTGATATCTTGCTTTTCATCGCCCTGAATTAGGTCAAATGTAGCCAGGGGATTGCCATGACTGATTGGTTTAGTTCTGACAGAACCAATCACTGTGGCAAGGGAATCAGACTTACATTAATTGACTTGGACTAATCAGGGTCTACCCCTGGAGGTGGGATAGTCTCTCTTTCCTCTTTCGTCTCTTTTCTCCCTTCCTCCCTTCTTCCCTCCCTCTCTCTCTCTCCCTTCCTTCCTTTCTTTTTCTTTCTTTCTTTTCTTTTCCTTTTCTTTCCTTTCCCTTTCCTTCTTTCTTTCCCTTCCTTCCTTCCTTCCTTCCTTCCTTCTCTCTCTCTTTCTTGACAGAGTCTCGCTCTGTCATCCAGGCTGGAGTGCAGTGGTGCAATCTTGGCTCACTGCAACCTCCTCCTCCCGGGTTCAAGCAATTCTCCCATCTTAGCATCCTGAGTAGGTGGGATTACAGGCATGCACCACTACGCCCAGCTCATTTTTGTATTTTTAGTAGAAATGGTTTTGCCATGTTGGCCAGGCTGGTCTCGAACGCCTGGCCTCAAGTGATCCGCCCACCTCAGCCTCCCAAACTGTTGGGATTATAGGCATAAGCCACGGCGCCCAGCTAGATAGTTTTTCTTTTTAAATTCAGGATAACAGACGAATTTAGGGTCAGTATAGTTAATCCTTGGCACCGATGAATTTAACCTTCCCAGTTTGTACAGCTTTGAAAGACTCCAGTGGTCTACAACTGTGCAAGGGGTGGTACAACACCTTCCTTCTGTGGGTGCTGAGAAGATTCAATGACATACATTGTCCTCTATTTCAGGAACTAGAGACTGGTGGGCTAGGAAGAGTCATTTTACTGGTGAGTCCCCAGACTGGCGCCATGCAGTCCCCAGATAAATGAACCCCTTGGAAATGAGCAGAATTGTCAGTACTACCTTCTCCCAGGCTGGCGTGTCTTAGGGAGGGCTGCTACCTGAGAATTTCTCCTCCAGCCCCCACCCACCTCTGCTCCAAGGCTGCTTGAGGTGTCTATAATTTCTGGAAGCTTTATTCTTCAGGATCAAGACATCTTCTTGCCAGAAAGTCCCCAGTAAGCTAGGAGGAGCAACACATTAAACCCAGCAGAAATTTGTTGATTAGGAAAATTAGAAAATTAAAAACCCCTCTTACTCATCCCCGCCATTTCCTCTACCATTACAGACAATGGGCCAGTGTGCAGTTGGGGTGTCGTCATAGAAAAGAACAAGTTCCCTGTTCAGGCTGATCAGAAAGGGCAGGATGGGCTATCATAGTGGGAGTCCTAAGTCCCTGCTGAGGATAGAAGGCGGGGATAATAGGAATGATCAGAAAGTGGAGATCATGGAGACATCAAAGTCAAATTCAGTGATTTAATAATTTAGCCAGCCGGGCACCGTGGCTCAGGCCTATAATCCCAGCACTTTCGGTGGCCAAGGCGGGTGGATCACTTGCGGTCAGGAGTTTGAGACCAGCCTGACCAACATGGTGAAACCCCGGTCTCTACTAAAAATAAAAAAATTAGCTCGGCACAGTGGTGCATGCCTGTAATCCCAGCTACTCGGGAGGCTGAGGCAGGAGAATCGCTTGAACTGGGGAGGCAGAGGTTGCAGTGAGCTGAGATCATGCCATTGCACTCCAGCCTGGGCAACAAGAGAGAAACTCTGTCTCAGAAAAAAAATAAAATAAAAATAAATAAAAATAAAAAATAAAAAGAAAATAATTTAGCCCTGGGCTAGCCTCATGCAATCTATGCTGAGTGACAAAATTGCTATCATTTGATTCCATGGCTATTGATTGACAACAGCTCTATTACTTCCCTTCTTGGATACACCAGTGGTTTCCAGAATCTTTGAAGCTTTGTTTCTTACTCATCCATCTGGCCTGTGGTATGCCCACATGGCTTAGTACACAGCCTTGTTAAAATGACAAGACTCCATCAATCTCCCCAAAATGGAAAAACAAAACAAAACAAAACAAACAAACAAACAAAAAACAGAAGAAGAACATTAATGCAGTACAGAAATCATGTCAGAGAAGGAGTGAAGCCAGAAACACTGTCCCAAAATAGGATTAGAGGGAGCTAAGTTGCAGTGGAAAGCAAAAGGTCTTTCTTACTTTCAACCAATTCTAGAAGCAACTTTTACAATGAACATCTTTTTCTGTAGTAAATTTATGTGGGCACTATCTTTCAGTACATCATCCATTCATTAGCTTATTTAAGCTTATCACTTAAATCAATGAAATATGTTGGATATTTAATCTCAAACTGTCAGGATCCAATTTATTCTTCTGAAGGGCCATTTCTGAAGTTCTTTTGAAGTGTCTTACTTCACCTTTACCCCAGTATTTCTCCAAGTGTCATCCCTGGACTATTCATATACAAATCACACAGCAGGGGAAAGAATAATGGTGGTGGTGGTGGTGGTGAGTATTAAAAATGCAACTGAGGCGGGCGGATCACTTCCGGTCAGGAGTTTGAGACCAGCCTGGCCAACATGGCAAAACCCTGTATCTACTAAAAACACAAAAATTAGCCAGGCATGGTGGTGCGTGCCTGTAATCCCAGCTAATCAGGAGGCTGAGGCACGAGAATTGCTTGAACCTGGGAGGCAGAGGTTGCAGTGGGCTATCGTGCCCACTGCATGCCAGCCTAGGTGACAGAGTGAGATTCTGTCCCAAACAAAACAAAAACCAGATGTCTGGGCTCTACCTGGGACCTATTAAATTAGACTCTGTGGAACTAGAGCCTGGAAATGAGCACTGAAAACCAGCAAGTCGTGTGATTTTAATGTACTTCACGGTTTAAGCACATTGACTCCTGTACAGTGCCAATAATAGTAACACCTTAGAGCTTATAGGGCTCTATGCTTTACAAAGACTTTTATGTAATATCTCATTTGAGCCTCACCATAACCCTCAAGGAAGAATGTCAGAACAGGTAGTATCATCTCCATTTATGAAGGAGAGACCACAGCTCTATGCTATCAAGTAACTTTTGTGAGGTCACACACAATAAATGGGGTAGCCTGGACTGCATCTCAGGTCTTGTAGCATCAACTTTGGTGCTCTTGCCATTACCCTGGATGATACTGACATTCCAATTTACTAAATAAGAAATCCAAATTCAGGTCGTGCACGGTGGCTCATGCCTGTAATCCTAGCACTTTGGGAGGCCGAGGCAGGTGGATCACTTGAGGCCTGGAGTTGGACACCAGCCTGGCCAACACGGTGAAACCCTGTCTCTACTAAAAATACAAAAATTAGCCGGGTGTGGTGGTGTGCACCTCTGGTCCCAGCTACTCAGGAGGCTGAGGCAGGAGAATCCCTTGAACCCAGGAGGCGGAGGTTGCAGTGAGCCGAGATCACACCACTGCACTCCAGCCTGGGCAACAGAGCAAGACTTCGTCTCAAAAAAAAAAAAAAAAGAAAGAAAAGAAAATCCAAATTCAGGCCACTGTCTTAAGGGAAAGACAACAGACATAGAGCACCCACAGGAAGGAGAACCTTTTGTGGCAAGGGAAAACAAAATGGTGAAAACTTGGAAGATATCAATAACAAGCATACTTACTGCCATTAGTGGCCTAATGATAATGCTGAATTTGTTCAAACTACAAGTATAATCAATTACATATTTATTATATATTTAGGTTTAGAATGGTTGACTCAATTGGCTTGAGCAGGAATGATCAAGTTTTTACCATAGTGAACCATGTGATCAGAAATTCAATTAAGTGAATGCCACCTTAGTTTACTTTTAAGAATGACAGTGTTGGCCGGGTACAGTGGCTCACGCCTATAATCCCAGCACTTTGGGAGGCCAAGGCGGGCAGATCAGCTGAGGTCAGGAGTTCAAAAGCAGCCTGGCCAACTTGGTGAAACCCTGTCTCTACTAAAAATACAAAAAAAAAAAAAATTAGCTGGGCATGGTGGCAGGCACCTGTAATCCCAGCTACTTGGGAGGCTGAGGCAGGAGAATGGCTTGAACCCGGGAGTGCAGTGAGCCGAGGGTGCGCCACTTGCACTCCAGCCTGGGTGACAGAGCGACACTCGTCTCAAAAAAAAAAAAAAAAAAAAAAAAAAAAAAGTAAAAGAAAAAACCCCCAAACAAACAAACAAAAAAAGAATGACAGTGTTGAATGAGAATCCATGTGACTCAAACCTGAGTCAAGGATGTAGGAGGAATTGATACCTACTTTCCTTTTGTCAGAAATCCATAATGTCCCAGTTTCATTCTGAATTTTAGTGGAAGTAAATCTGAGGAACTCAAAATTATCTCATGAATTATGATTCAGTTCAGTTAGAATTATTAGCTAATCCAAGCCCACTAAAGAGACACACACTGGTGATTAGTTTCACAAACATAGTGTTAGGCAGGTGAATAGTCCCTGAGGAACCCCTAGTTATAAGATACACCTGTTTTTCTTCTCCAAATCTCAGTGGCCACACTGTGGTGGCAGATGGGTCCCATTTAGCCTTGGACCCTTCGCCAGCCATTGGATTTATATCATAATGCTGTGGAGACCCAGGTGATGTGTCGGGCCCCGTCTGGAACTGCTAGTTAGGCCTTGCCTCATAGCTAGAGATTGCAAGGACAGCCATCTTGTGGCCTAAGAGAGCATGAATGGCCGGTTCAGAAGTATCAGAGAGGCCAGACCCCTCTCTGGCATGGCTTCAGGAAGCCATCTCTGGTAAGACACTGCATAAACTGAATAAGTCCTTTGTTAACTCAGACTCCGCATAAATTTTTACGTCACACTTGATGAAAAACGCAGATTAAACTACTGGGCTTATACCACTGTAATGAAGACATTTGGCTAACGGGCTCTTCAGGATTTATTATATTCAGTCCTGAGTTAGAATGAATCCAAGCTGTTTGGGCACAACCTGGCTACAATATGTGATTACATTTCTGTAAGTGCTGGTCAGCCTGTGTGTTTTTCCATGACCCCATTTGTCTAATTTCCTCTGTTTTTATTTTTGTTATTTTGATATCCAGATATTTATCTTTCCTCTACCACTGAGACAAAGAATAGCTTGGTTTTCAAAATAGTTTGCGGTTAATACTTTTTTGGTCATCTGGATTTATTGAAATGTATGATGTGCATAATCGGTATAGTGTTTCACGGCACTTGAGGGGCAAGAAATATTACTTTGTTTTTCTGGATCATCAAATTCATCTCCAGTATTCTCTGAGCCCAGGAGCAATCATCTGGGGAGGGGTCCTCCCTCTCCATCACCCCTCTCTTGAGTTGTCCCAGGCTTCCAGGGCTTACTCAGTCTAGGAGGATGGGGAGAAAAGCCTCTGTCATTAATCCATTTGGTCACTGGAGAAGATGCTCTCACGCAAGCCTGCATGGACCTCTGATGGCTGGGAGCCCTGCAGCTATACTTCCTCCTCACTAGAGCAGACAGCTGTTCCTGAGCCGAGGAGTTGGAGGTCCAGCTTCAACAACATCCACACAGCCATCCGCCAGTCAAGGTCCTATCAGCTCCTGGGCACTGTCTCTCCCCAACTCTAAATGCCTCATGGCCCTGATCCCACCTCCACCCTCAGCCTTCTCCTGCCTGGAACCAGTGCTCCCAAGATTTGGAGCACTGTCCCTTGGGAGCCAAATGTGTCCCTTGGGAGCCAGGGACATAAAAACACTGAAGCTTGCTGCCTTCTCTGAGGTTAGGGGAGAATTCCCTTCAGTTCAATCCACAGCAACAACAACAATAAAACCTCCACAAAACCAAAAACCACAAATAAAAGGGCACAACACTAGAAAATTTCTCAACAATCCACTCTAAGTAGGATATATATATATGGCTATAATTCTTCTTGAGTTTTCTCTACAATTTTATTTAAATAATGTTTCTTTTTTCCATTTTTTGTTGTTGTTTTGTTTTGTTTGTTTTTTGAGACGAAGTCTTGCTCTTGTCGCCCAGGCTGGAGAGCAATGGCGCAATCTCGGCTCACTGCAACCACCACCTCCCAGGTTTAAGCTATTCTCCTGCCCCAGCCTCCTGAGTAGCTAGGAATACAGGTGCCCGCCACCACACCTGGCTAATTTTTGTAATTTTTTTTGTAATTTTGTACTTTTAGTAGGGGTTTCACCATGTTGGCCAGACTGATCTCAAACTCCTGACCTCAGGTGATCCACCCACCTCGACCTTCCAAAGTGCTGGGATTATAGGCATGAGCCACCGTGCCTGGCCTCTTTTTTCCATTGTTATACTGCTTATATTCCTCCCTCCCCTCTCCCTATATATTTTCAACTGAAGCAGTTGAATCTATTTCTGGAATACCCATTTTATTCAATTAGTGATTTTTTTTCTTCTCCCTGTTTTGAAGTTGATACCATATTTTCATGAAGATTTAGTTGTTACAGGTTTCAAAATCTAATAGGGTCTACCAAAAATGAAAAAAAAAAGATTTTGTTATGGTTTACAGCTCTTTTGGACTAATTTCACATTATTTGTCAAGTTGTATAAATGATCTTTGGGAATTTTAATTGCATTAAATTCACATACTCGTTTAAGACATATTATCTTTACTGTATTCTCTTCTCAACCAGAAGCAGAGTAAATGACTTTGCCATTTTTTAACGTCTCCCTTTGTGTTTCCTATTATGGTGTTTTACATTTCTTAGAATAAGATAGTTTTTTCATTCCAAGTTGAGTCAATACTGAAGAATGTATGTTGTTTTATTACTGTTATAGAATGGAATCTTTTTTTGTGTATATCACCAGTACAAAGAATAACACCAAATTTTGTGGAGTTAGCCTGTAATCCAGAGCTCCTTATCACCTCTTGCCTCTTGGGCTTCATAAATATATAATAATATCATCTCTCAATGATACTTTCTTCCTTTTCTGTGTAGCTCCCTCCATTTGCCCTTCTCTGACATTACTGTCAGCATTGCAGTACTGTGCTGAGTGTAATGATGGCAGAGGCAGACTGGCTTTGTTTCTAATTTGAAGGGATTCTCTATTTTATATAATATTGGCTTTTAGCTTTAGTTTCTTTATGAAAGAAACTTTAACAGAGAAACTCTCCTTATTCAAATATTTAGTTTTCAAAAAGAATAGTTGTTGAATTGGTTTGAGTAATTTTTTGGTAGCTGTTGTGATAATGAAGTTATTTTATAAATTTATCATATTAGCACAGTAATTTAAAACCTATCACTTGAATAGATATGTGGACAATACAGTAATATCTGGACTTGACTCACAACTCAAAGCAAAAAAAAACAAAAAAACAACAAAAAAATGAAGAACCCAGTAAGTAAAAAAACCAACTAACCCAGTAGCTCAGAAAAGCCCATGCTTCTTTATGAAAGAAGCGCAGTTTATTTAGGAGTGTTTCTTTCCTTTAGGAGGCCCACCACTGGCAGTCTTTGAAATGTGCTCAGTGGTTTACCCAGACCACTCTTTTTTTTTTTTTTTATTTGAGACAGAGTTTCACTCTGCCACCCAGGCTGGCGTGCAGTGGCGGGATTTTGGCTCACTGCAACCTCCAACTTCGGCCTCCCAGGTTCAAGCGATTCTCCTGCCTCAGCCTCCCGAGTAGCTGGGATTACAGGCATGCACCACCACACCCGGCTAATTTTTGTGTTTTTAGTGGGGACAGGGGTTCACCATGTTGGCCAGGCTGGTCTCGAACTCCTGACCTCAAGTGATCCTCCCACCTCAGCCTCCCTAAGTGCTAGGATTACAGGCATAAGCTGCTGCACCTGGCCCAGACTACTTCTTACCCCTGTTTCCTGGACAACGTGAAGCCGCCTTTGCAAAATTATGACTGAGACACTGGAAGGGATCTAACTTAACCGACTCCATCTTGCTTCTAACCTCCAAGCTGTCTTTGTTCATTCCTGGGCATAGGCTGAACTAACTTTGGGAGAAACTTTGCGGTTTATAGTTTAAACAAAGACAGTAACAGCCCTTTCCCAAAGCAGACCTCCTTCTTGTCTGAGGACTAGATTAACATTAGCCACAGGATTAGAAATTATGGTTTAGGAGTCATGCAGCTGGAGGCTACAAGATTCTGACCCTCCCTAAACTGCTCCTAAGATCAGTGCTTGAGATATTTTGCAGACTTAGCTTTGATGGATCAGCTGGCACCACCCAAATCGATAAACTGGCTCATCTAATCTTGTGGCCCCCACCCAGGAACTGACTCAGTGCAAGAAGACAGCTTCCACTCCCTATGATTTCATCCTGACCAATCAGCACTCCTGGCTCACTGGCTCCCCGACCTACCAAGTTATCCTTAAAAACTTTGCTCCCTGAATGCTCGGGCGACTGATTTGAGTAATAATAAAACTCTGGTCTCTTGCACAACCAGCTCTGCGTGAGTTACTCTTTCTCTATTGCAATTCTCATCTTGATGAATGAGCTCTGTCTAAGCAGAGGGCAAGGTGAACCCCTTGGGCAGTTACAAGTATATGTGCATCGGAACAAATACCAGAGGAAAAACATCAAATTGTTTTTGAGTAATTCCTGTTTTAGCTGGGTAATTCTCATTTTTACCATTATACTCTTCTTTTCTTTTTTTTTTTTTAGACAGGGTCTCACTCTGTTGCCAAGGCTGAGTGCAATGGTGCGATCATGGCTCACTGCAGCCTCTACCTCCCAGCTCAAGCAATCCTCCCACCTCAGCCACCTGAGTATCTGGGACCACAGGTGTGCACCACCATGCCCAGGTACTTTTTATATTTTTTTGTAGAGACGGGTCTCACTATATTGCCCAGGCTGGTCTCAAACTCTTAGACTCAAGTGATCCTCCTGCCTCAGCCTCCCAAAGTGCTGAGATTATAGGCATGAGCCACCATGCCTTGGCCATTATACACTTCTATGTCTTCTAAACATTCTACCAAAGAATTGTATTAATTTTCAGTGAGAGCAATAAATGTTTTTTAATTATAAAAATTACACATTCTCGTGGTCAAATAGCCAAATAGTATTCTTCCAGAATTTTTCTATGCACATAGAAGTATAATTTCACTTTTAAAAAGACACACAAATAAAGGCAGGCTACACACATTGTTCTCCATCTTGTTTTTTCACTTGCAATGTCTTGGTCATATTTTCATATTAGAACCTCTGTATTTACCTCATTCTTTATAGCAGTTGCAGGGGATTCCATTGAATGGTTGTATCATGACTGACTTAGCCAATCCATTTTTCAGATGTATTTAAGATGCTTTGAGGTGTTTTGCTATTATAAATACACTATATATCCTTTTTTTTTTTTTTTTTTGAGACAGATTCTCGCTCTGTTGCCCAGGCTGGAGTGCAGTGACATGATCTTGGCTCACTGCAAGCTCCGCCTCCTGGGTTCACGCCATTCTCCTGCCTCAACCTCCCGAGTAGCTAGGACTACAGTCACCCACCACCATGCCCAGCTAATTTTTTGTATTTTTTTTAGTAGAGACGGGGTTTCACCGTGTTGACCAGGATGGTCTCGATCTCCTGACCTCGTGATCCACCTGCCTCAGCCTCCCAAAGTGCTGGGATTACAAGCGTGAGCCACTGCGCCCAGCCTACACTACATATCCTTATACATTGCACATACATTTTATTATATATGAACGATACCTAGCAATGAAATTACTAGGCGAAAGGGCATGTATATTTACAACTTTGATAGTTATTGCCAAATTGCCCTCACCTTCACTAACTATGGGTTAAATTTTTTTTTATTATACTTTAAGTTTTAGTGGGTTAAATTTTTTTTAACCTTTGCCAGTTGAATATATGTAAAAACAAGAGATTCTTTTACAAAATACTTATAAAGAAAAATGTTCCATCATTGAGCAATATGAAGTATATATTTCAACAGTCCAAAATACATTAGATAATTATACAATTCTTTTAGCCAAGATTGTGACTCAGGGTTGTAATATTTTCTCTCAGTATCCATTTATGAAAAACTACTGTTTATTGTTAATTGTTACTGTGTATCTAGTAATGAAAGCCCAGCCCTATTTATAGTAGAACGTGAGAGTTATCTTATGACTAAAATTGCTATGATTCATGGTACGAGACAGTCACTAAAATTTTCATCCCTGTGATTGAATAACCCAAAAGAATGCACCATGGTTGCAAAGTATAGTTGAAAAGAAGGAAGATTTTCAGAGGGGGCCATTCTCAGGGATGGGGCTGAAGCCTGACCACTGTCCACAGGACAGACGAGCACAGAATACACTTTTTAAGATTAGCACCACAATGCTTATGCAGTCTGGTAGTCAATCTTTTCTCCATCACTCAGTATCATATCATGAGCATTTTTCTATGTCATTAGTCAATAATAAAAATATTTTTTCCAGCATTATTCAGTCTTTCTCTATATTATAACCCAAGGCAGTTTTAGCTTGAGCTTTCCATTGCTGGGTAGCCCAGTGCCCTGGAATGAGAATAGACTTCAGAATTAGACTTCAGAATCTACATTCAAGTCATGCTTCTGCCAGTTAGTTATGTGATCTTAGGCAAGTTGCATAACCGGACTGAACCACATTTTCCTCTTCAGTAATCTGGGTAAAATAAAAGCCAGCTCTCCCCCACACTACGATACTGTGAGGATTAGAGGAAGTAACACAGGCAAAGTGCTTTTTTTTTTTTTTTTTTTTTTGAGACAGAGTCTTGATCTGTCACCCAGGCTGGAATGCAGTGGCATGATCTTTGCTCTCTATAGCCTCCGCCTCCTAGGTTCAAGCAATTCTCGCGCCTCAGCCTCCTGAGAAGCTGGGACTACAGGTGTCTGCCACCACACCCAGCTAATTTTTTGTATTTTTATAGAGATAGGATTTCACCATGTTGGCCAAGCTGGTCTCAGACTCCTGACCTCGGGTAATCTACCCATCTCGGCCTCCCAAGGTGCTGAGATTACAGGCTTGAACCACAGTGCCCGGCCGCAAAGTGCTTTTTGCATTGTTAAGTAGTAAGAAGTGACTCATTGCTTTAACTCAGACCCAAAGGGCCTCTCCCTGGGTCTCCTGACTCCCCCTTCTCCTTACTTGAGTGATTGAGGTCCTCTGAGAGGAACCCCCTCTTGAGCAGTGAAGACCAGACTTTTATTCTGTCACTTAAAGACTCTCACAGTCTGAACCAAACTTAGGCCCATCTGCTGATCCCGGTATCTTGCCACCATTTCAGTCCATTTCTTGTACTTTCACATAAAAGCCTAATTTTTAGGTATCTTGCTGATATTGCCATTTGCCCTTTATTTTCTCTTATGCCTGGCCCAGTGCCAACTTTCTTGTGAGGACTTCCCTGACATCGAAGACTACTATGGTTTACTCCTCTGGGCTCACACAGCACTTGGTCTCTATTGCTGACCTATACATGGTTATCACATAGTTCAAGAATTCCTTGACTCTTGGGGCATAGTTGTCACCTTTTAGGTAGTCTGCTAATCCTATGACTCCTCTCTATTTTTTCAAGACTTGCCTCTTACGCAGCAACCCTATTTGGCCACAGCTGATGGACAAGGGTGAACCCCTGGGCCAATAAGATTCTCTCTTCAGGGACTTTAGAATTGACAGCCAGGATGTTGGTCAGTATTGCTGGAAGTGAGAACACGGCCTTCAGGAGTTGACTCAGCCTTTGTGAAGTGCCCATTTTTGGCCCACCCAGGTACACAGAGGTAGAGAATGTTGTCTGCCAAGGAGATCCAAAAGCAATGAACAGACACCAGAAGCCACGTAACCCAGTGAGAGAAAATGACTGAAAGAAAGCACCTTGGTATCTGAAAGCTTTCTAATTCAGGGTTCCAGTGCTTGAGAGGCCCAGCTATAGTTTCAGCAGCTTTGGGCTCTGTGAACTATCCCTGTATAAATAAATGTCTCCCTTGTGTTTAAGAAAGATGGGTATCATAAAATCATGTGAATGTTCGGTAATAGAGACACATCCAAAGTTTCACGGGGCACCTGGAGGTGAGGGAAAGTAGTCAGGAATGGCTTTCTGTAGAAGGTGATGTTGGTTGGACCAGTAGGGAGGGCACTTCAGACAGCGAGAACAGCATAAGCAATGCTGGGAGCTGCAAGCAGTTCAGTGTTGCTGGCACATAAAGGCATGGACTGGCCAGGAGTGAGGCTGGCCGGAGAGGGTGGCCAGGGGCCCAGTCAGGAGCATCTTGGGTGCCATGGGAAGGAGCCTGGACTTTATCCTGCAGGTCAGGGGTTCTCAACCATGTTTGCACATTAGGATTTCCTGGGAAATTTTAAAAAGAAATATGGTTTCTTTCTCCCATCCAGTCCACTTAAATCAGAATCTCTGGGAATGGAAGCAGGAACTGATTTTTTTTTTTTTTAAGGGCCCAGGTGATTCTAATGAGCAGATAGGCTGGAGAACCTGACAGGATGCCTTGAAGGGGTTTAAGTGAGATATAGACATGGTTTTAGAAAGATCACCATAGATGCTAGACTTTGAGGATGAGACAGAAGGCGGGGTGACTGTGGGCAAACTGCTGCAGTGTGCAGGGAGACGCTGAAGAGAACCTGAAATGGGATGAGGGTGCCAGAATAGAGGGGAAGTTTGCAAACATTATTTAGGAGACAAAATAGTTTTCAGTTTAAGATTTAGTGACTGGAGAGAGATGGAAGGTAGTCAGGGTTGTCCTGAGGGTCCTAGCTTGGGTGACTAAAATTGCCCCAGGCGGCACTCACCAGGGTTAAGCTGTGGATGTGTGGAATATGAGGTGGTGCCTGGTAAAGATCAGGCAGCTGAATAAGGCACCTAAGGCTTCAGGGCTAGACCAGGTGGAAACAAATTTCAGTTTCACAGCTCATTTTGAGTGTTGTCATTTATTTTTTATCATTTATTGAGGAGAACCTCCAAAAAAAAGTCACTTTTGTAGGTTACAAGGTGTTATGGGTGTTGAAAGCAGAGTGAGCCCCACCCCAGACCACCTCCTGAGACAGGGTGTGATGTGTGTCTCCAAGTGCCTTGAAGTCAAGTGACTTCTCAGAGAGGTCTAAAATTAGCAGAGCAGCTGTGCCTAGTGGGTGGCAACACCTCAGCTCACTAGGCCGAGAATGGGGCCTTCCTGCTGTGGGCTCTGTTGTGTGAGTAGGTCAGGAGTTAAAAGCAAGAATCTGTTTCTTTGGAGAATTTCCCCAGGAGCTGCATGTAGTCCCAGTGTGCTCAAAGAGAAGAGAAAATGTCTTCTGTTGCCAGGTGGAAGGGAAAGAACAGGGAGGGGTATGTTGGAAAGAAGCTTCATAGAAGGGCTGATTTTCAAGAACGTTCTCTATGGAAATGACGCCCTTAATGACAGGTGAGGAGTGGAGGAGCTCACACTGGGGAGTCAGTTCTGACAACTGGAAACCTGCTGTGGGCTGTGTTTTGCACAGAATAATGCTGTGTAGATGCTTTTTTTTTTTTTTTTTTTTTTTTTTGAGACAGAGTCTTGCTCTGTCGCCAGGCTGGAGTACAATGGCGCGATCTCGACTCACTGCAAGCTCCGCTCCCGGGTTCACACCATTCTCCTGCCTCAGCCTCCCGAGTAGCTGGGACTACAGGTGCCCACCACACCCAGCTAATTTTTTTTTTTTTTTTTTGTATTTTTAGTAGAGATAGGGTTTCACCGTGTTAGCCAGGATGGTCTCAATCTCCTGACCTCATGATCTGCCCGCCTCAGCCTCCCAAAGTGCTGGGATTACAGGCGTGAGCCACTGCGCCCGGCCTGTAGATGCTTTCTTGTTGTGGGTTTTCACTCTCGGGGGTGGTTCAACCTGGCCTCCAGATCAGGCCTCTGCTGCCAACCCTGCCAACCCAAGGGATTTGTGGTGGGGGCCAGGCAGGTAGGTAGAAGTGGAGGGAGAGGAATCTCTTCACATTTTTTTTTAACATAGTATAGATGTATATAACATATTAAGCATACATTTTAATAGTTTTATATAAAAACTAACCCTCAAGACATATAAAAGCCTGGAGAGGAGATTGGAGGGGAAGGGTAGTAAATGACACAATGTTTCGTTGTGTTTCCATTAGGTTGGATTCTCTCTTCCTTGAGCTTTTGTCTACAGATTATTCTACACACACAGGAAGGATGACTGAGAAAATGAAAAATGGCAAGATACAGGACTCACTACCTAACTGAAAAGTTAAGCATGAACAAGCTGTAGGGGTATTATATATCCAGGAGTATTAATTTATATGGCATTTATCTGGGGATTTTTTTCCTACAAAATACCACCATAATCCCAGATGATACCAGAAAATATTTAATAGCAAGATTAAAAAATTAATCTTAACATGTCCTTTACGTTAATGTCCTCCATTCACACAAGGAATCCCCATTCTCCACCCAGAGATCCCAGCTATCTCCATAACCACGGGAAGTTGGTGAGATTGCCTGGAGCAGCCGCTGTGAAAGGCAGGGAGGAGTACAAAAGGAGGAAGCAGATGGGATGCTCCTAGGGCACCTACGGACTGAAAAGGAAGACTTCTGGGCTGGGTCTCAGGGATCATGTTGAGTTCAAGGAAAGAAACTCCCCAAGAAGCTGTGTCCGTTTGGCCTGTATGCGAGCAGATGTGCATTATCTTGGCCAAGCTGCTTCTCTGAGCTCCGAAAGACTTGCTTTGCTTGAAATAGTCTCTTTTGGCCGGGCACGGTGGCTCACGCCTATAATCCCAGCACTTTAGGAGGCCAAGGCGGGTGGATCACAAGGTTAAGAGATCGAGACCATCCTGGCCAACATGGTGAAACCCCGTCTCTACTAAAAATACTAAAAAATTAGCTGGGCATAGTGGCGCGCGCCTGTAGCCCCAGCTACTTGGGAGGCTGAGGCAGGAGAATCACTTGAACCCGGGAGGCAGAGGTTGCAGTGAGCTGAGATCGCGCCACTGCACTCCAGCCTGGTGACAGAGTGAGACTCCGTCTGGAAAAAAAAAAAAAAAAAGAAAGAGTCTCTTTTGTAATCTTGGTTGTGTTTTCTAGTGAGTTCTTGGATGCATTTAGGAGGTGCTACCATAACTAGGAGACCAAGAGGGCAGCAATTCACTCATGAGGGAGGGCAGAGAGAGTCCCAGGGAGGAGGGAAAACTGTGGGTGGAGCTGAGTGCTAGAGGCAAGAACTCAAAGAGAAAGCGGGGACAGATGAGATTGATGGTGCCATACAACCCTCCTTTCAAAGCTGAGTATTTAACATTGTTGAAAAATCAGCATTCATCCCTTTTATTTTATAACTGGTAAAGACCTTTATAATCCTTCAGTGGCCGAGAGGACCTACTGGGCCAGTCTGCTCTGTGACTCTCCCTCATATCTAATGAAATGGGCAAGGCACTCCCAGAGGCAGGCCCTGGGCCCTTGGGTCAGGGATCTACCCCTGCTTTTGAACTTCTTTTGGCCTCCTTCAGTGCTCTGCCCCTTATAGCCGGGCTTCAGGGTATAGTCCATGTCCATGTGGTTGCTTATACCTCAAAGCTACTTCTGGATAGCCTGAGCCAATCTCGTGCTACTCAAGAAGTAAAGGAGAAGAATTTCCAACTATATACCTGGCTTTGTGAATAGTCTATGGGAGCTACTTATTGGGAGCCTCCACAGAAAAACCTGTTTCCCACTGTTACATATGCTCACTTTTCATCCATTCAGATGCAGAGGCTAAAATGTAAAACCTAATATAAATTCAAAAAGGAGGTACATAAGCATTTCTGTATCTATCACTTGCAATGCTCTTTTTACCTGGACAAATCAAGAGCGAACCTGTTCTTATTTGAGGTCACAGGAACGGCACGTCTTTTGTGACATTTCAGGCTCAGCTTACGGAGAGTTTCTTAGTGGTGAACCAGGATGTTTTGGTGATAACTTGCAAAAGGGATGAGTGAAGTAACTACAATGAAGACTGATGATCTAGATTCAGGATTCCATTCCCTTCTTGTTCCTATATGGTTGAACATTGGGAGACACTCCCAGGATCTCCATTTGTTTCTCCATAACTTTAAAAGCAACCAAAATTTTTAACTAGCTCTATGCACCATGCTAAATGCTTTATATAGATATATGTGTGGAATTTAGTCCTCAAAACAATTTTGTGAGATAGGTGTGGGTAACCCCATTTTACAGATGAGGACTCTTTGAGTCCCTGAGAGGTTAAGTAACTTGCCCGAAGTCTGAGTGCTGGTGAGTGGTGGATCTAAGATTCTAAACCAGCTCATCTGATGCCAGGTCCACATACTTTATGCATTTTACCTTCTGGGAAAGAACTAATGCCTCTTTTCGTAAGGTTTGAGAGAACAAATAAGAAAGTACATATAAAAAGCTTTGAGAGTTGGGAATCAAGGTATCTGTAAGCCTTAGATTCTTAAGTATGGTGAAAAGAAAATTGAAAGGGATCAGTTAAAATCTCACAAGATCAAAATGTATTGCTCAGGGATTCTCAAAATTAGGAATTGTAAGTAGAAACATGGATCTCAGCCTTTTTATCTATAGGTAAGAGGCTGAAAAGGCTCAGTTTTGCTGCAGATTCCAAATTGATGAATATGTGTGATGGCTTTCCAAGTGAGAAGAGCTCTCTGAGTCTTGAAAAAATGGTTTATGACCACAACTTATAGGAGGACTATTAGTGAAGGAAATATGGACTTCCAACTGTTTAAAACAGATTTTAAGAAAGAAACCATGACTGTTTTACAAAAGTCTTGTGTAATGGACAGAGATAGCCATGTTAGTTTCCATTTTCTGCAGAAAGGGGGCATCTCATTTAATTCAAATCAACCCAACAGTCCTCGGGGTTTGGAGACCTCTGTCATTCTCCAGATTTAGCCAGGCCAAAGTATAACATATACATGCCTTAGATGTCTTACAAAAGTCACGTCACTCCAGAGAAAATGTGAATACCTCACAGAAGCTCTGGGGACAGTCCACTGACTTCAATTATTTTGGAAAGAAAGTGAAAGCTCAGGAGTGGCCTTTGAGTTGTGACACCCCCCCTTGCATTGCAGGGACTGGCCTCAAATCAATCTAGGCTCTCTGGATAGGCTGGCTTCAGAGCATTTGGTTCTGAAGTGATCTAAACAAAGACATATTTTTTATGGCTATTCTAAAAAGATAGCTGTTGCTGGGCATGGTGGCTCATGCCTGTAATCCCAGCATTTTGGGAGGCTGAGGCGGGCAGATCACCTGAGGTCAGGAGTTCAAGACCAGCCTGGCCAACATGGTGAAACCCAGTCTCTACTAAAAATACAAAAATTAACCGGGTGTGGTGGTGGGTGCCTGTAATCCCAGCTACGCAGGAGGCTGAGGCAAGAGAATTGCTTGGACCCGGAAGGCAGAGGTTGCAGTGAGCTGAGATCGTGCCCCTGCACTTGAGCCTGGGCGACAAAGCAAGACTCCGTCTCAAAATAAATAGGTAGATAAACAGATAGCTAGCTAGCTATCTGGTCTACCCTGTCCTCTGATGTTAGATGCCACAGAAATAGAGAAAATGCAATGTCTTCTTTTCACAGTCTAACTCTGTTGGATAACATGATTTTCCTATTTGACTGTGTTTTTCATGTTGTTAACTCCATATGTAGAATATGTCAGAGCCATGAAGGTGTTTGGCTGAGAATCTTGGAGGCTGGGGTTGTAAACTGAATGTGTAGCCTCCTTCGATGGGAGGAGTATTCACAGAATCTGAGTGCTGAGTGTGGGAGATAATTTGAAGTAGGCAGCGTCTAAAATAGTTCCTGACAACCCAGTGCAATGACTCACACTTTGGGAGGCTGAGGCAGGAGTTTGACACCAGCCTCAGCAACATCATCAGACCCCGTCTAGACAAAATAAAATAAAATAAATTAGCCTTTAGTGGCACATGCCTGTATCCTAGCTAGACAGAGGCAGGAGGATTGCTTGAGCCAGGAGTTCGAGGCTGCAGGGAGCTATGATTGCATCCCTGGACTCTGGCCTGGGCAACAGAGTGAGACCCTGTCTCTTAAAAAAAAATTAAATAAAAATTGAAATGAAATAAAATCATAAAATAGCTCCTGATGATTTCCCCCTTCTAGTATTCATGCTCTTGTGCAGTTGCCTACAGCCTCCCTGGGGTATGGCCTGGGCTTAGTGAGTCAATTCTAATGAACAGAATATGGCAAATGTGATGGGATGTCACTTTTTAATACATTTATTTATTTTGAGACAGAGTCTTGCTCTGTCGGTCAGGCTGGAGTGCAATAGTGCAATCACAGCTCACTGCAGCCTTGAACTCCTGGTCTCAAGCTGTCTTTCTGCCTCAGCCTCCTGAGTAGCTAGGACTACAGGCATGTGCCACAACGTGCTAATTTTTTATTCTAGGAGAGATGGGGTCTCACTATGTTGCCCAGGCTGGTCTCAAACTCCTCGGCTCAAGTGATCTTCATATCTTCTCCTTCCAAAGTGCTGGGATTATAGGCATGAGCCACTGTGCCTGGCCAGAATGCTACTTTCCTGATAAAATTACATGTAGACTCTGACTTCTGCCTTGCTTGCCCTCTCCTATTCTATATCTTTGATCTTCTGTAGTTTGAATATGATATGCCCAGGTATAGTTTTGGGATTTTTTGTTTGTTTTTGCATTTGTCCTTCTTGGTGTCCTCTAAGCTTCCTGGATCTGTCGCTTGGTGTCCGACATTATTTCGTGGAAATTGTTGGTCATTGTTTCAAATAATTCTTCTGTACTTTTCTCTCTTTCTTCTCTTTCTGATATTCTCATTGTGCATGTGTTATATCTTCTGTAGTTTTCCACCAGTTCTTGGATGTTCTGTTTTTGTTTTGTTTTGTTTCCAGTCTGTGTTCTCTTTGCTTTTCAGTTTTGGAGGTTTCTATTGATGTATCCTCAAGCTCAGAAATTCCTCACCCACGTCCAGTCTCCTGTGAAGACCTTCAAAGGCATTCTGCATCTCCCTTAGAAATTTTGATCTCTAGCATTTCTTTTAGATTCTGTCTTAGGATTTTCGTCTCTCTGCTTCCATTGCTCATCTGTTCTTACATGCTGTCTGCTTTCTCCATTAGAACCTGTAATAGACTAATCATAGATATTTTAAATTCCCATTCTTATAATTCCAACATCCCTGCCATATTTGGTTCTGATGCTTGCTTTGTCTCTCTAAACTGTATTTTTTGACTTTTAGTATGCCTTGTAATTTTTTCTTGTTAGCTGGTCATAGTGTACTGGGTAAAAGGAACTGCTGTAAACAGACCTCTAGTAATGGGGGGGTGAAGTGGGGAAGGCATTCTGTGGTCCTGTGGTTAGTCTCAGCCTCTTAGTGAGCCTGTGCCTCTGAACTTCACAAGTGCTTCTCAGTCCCTTGTCTCCTCCCCACCTTATGTGGGACAGGATGGCTAGAGTTGCTGGAGTAGGGTATTTCCCTCCCCCAGGTCGGGTAGGCTGTGATAAAATCTCAGGGGCTTAGGCTCTGGTTGAATAGTTTCTCCTAAGGGAAGGCCTTGTTAAGAACAGGGTGCTCTGTGCATTTCAAAATCGTTCCTTTCTCCCTCCCTTTGCCAGAAGCATGAGGGCATTTTTCTCTGACATTTAATGTGAGAACCTGGTCGAGATTTTGAAGGTAAGTTTCACAAAAGTGTGGATGGAGCCCCCCTTATGTCTGGGTCCCCCTGGAGTCTTTTTACTCTCAGACTTGTCCACACACAGCCAACAGTAATTTATCATTTACAGTTTGGATTTTTCTATCTTGGCACTAGTTCCCACAGAGATTTCTGCTCATGAATTTCTGCTCTGGTAGGTAAGTTGTGATTCTCTGTATCCATCTGTCTTGTCTCTCCAATTCTGGGGGCAGTGGTTGTCCCTGGGTCCTCACTTCTCTTAGAGTTCTAAGAAGAGTTGATTATTCAGTTTGTTCAGCTTTTTGCTTGTTGTTAGGGGGCAGTGGCATCTTCCAAGCTTTGAAGTACCAGAAAGCAGAAGTGTCTCTTGCTAGCTCGATTGAAGCCTGTCGCCATGTTATGAGCTGCCCTATGGAGAGACCCAGATATCGAGAAACTGAGGGAGGCCTCCAGCTAACAGCCAGCAAGGAACTGAGGTCCTTATTCCAAATGAGACTCTTACTCTGGGACTCCAAGAGGGATTGAATTCTGCCTAACAATCACTTGGGCGAGCTAAAAAGTTGATCATACCTGGTGGAGCCCTGAGTGATCACTGCCCCAGCTGACGCCTCCACTGCAGCCTCAGGGAGACTCTGACGCTGGGGGCTTGGCCACACAGTGCCTGGGTTCCTGACTACAGACTTCATGAGATCATCAGAGTTCTTTGTTTCAAGCTGCTAGGCTTTGAGTTAATTTGTTGTGTCTTTTAAGATAATGAATACTTCATCCAGTCCAATTTCTGTATTCTCAAAGAGCTGATGGAGACCTGGAGAACGTCAGTCCTTTTCCTACGCTCTCACACACTCGGACCAGATTTGAAGCCAGGCCCCTGAATTTCCTGGCCTGGGCCCTCCCATCTCTTTGAATGCTCTTCTGCAATTTGGCATTACGGAGATTTGCCTGGCATGGTTTTGTTTCAACTCCCTTTAAGCGAGCTCATACTTTTTCCGAATAGAATATCAATATCTCCATTTCTACCTGGCCAGGAAGAGGACAGGGCAGTGTGCAAGCCTGATCTCCAAGCCAATCTGCTCCTCCCCTGGCTCCCAGGCTCCTTCTCCCGATCGATCCCCATTCCAGGTACTGGGCTTGGTCTTCTGCTCTGAAAGGCCCTGAAATTGCCAAATCTCCATAGACAGTAGATTCGAGTGTTTTCTAGCCTTTCTCGGTCCTCCTACCATTTAGAGCTTTCTTCTCTTGTTAATCCTTAGTGGAAATGAACAGCAGCCTCTCCCCATCCCCATTCTTCTCAAGTCACGTATGTTATGTGCCTTCCTTTAGCCCTGAGTCCTCTGAGGAGAGGGTATGGAGGAGGCTCTGGGATGGAGAGAACAGCCCCAGAGGTACAGCTTTCAGTGTCCGGGCTGAGGATAAGAGGAGGATGGGGTAGGGTGAGCCTAAGTGAAGCTGGGTGCAGAGGGTGTGGCTGGGCCTGGGAAAGACCTGGCCTGAGGGAAGCCAGTGGCCCAGGCAGAGGTGGAGAAAAATAGGGAGTATGTGTGGGGTAAGAGGCAGGGCTGGAGTTGCGCAATGTGCATAGGAGCAATGGTTTGAGGGTCAAAACCAGGCTGCTGGGCAGGAGTTGTTTGGAGCTTGGAAGCAGGGCAGCTACCAATTTTAAAAAGGGCAAGGCGGCCAAGGCGGGCAGATCACGAGGTCAGGAGATCGAGACCATCCTGGATAACACGGTGAAACCCCGTTTCTACTAAAAATACAAAAAAAAAAAAAAAAAATTAGCCGGGCGTGGTGGCGGGCGCCTGTAGTCCCAGCTACTCAGGAGGCTGAGGCAGGAGAATGGCGTGAATCCAGGAGGCTGAGCTTGCAGTGAGCAGAGATTGCACCACTGCACTCCAGCCTGGGCGACAGAGGGACACTCTGTTTCAAAAAAAAAAAAAGTGTCTTCTGTATGCTAATGAAATGACTGGTGGCTGGCAGATCCTTGGTAGCTTCAGGATGGGGGCCGGTCACTAGAAAGACCAAGACAGGATTAGAGGGTTGGGACTTTCAACACCCCCCTCCTCTAACTTCCAGGCAGGAAAGAGGGCCTGAAGGTTAATTTGATCACCAGTGGCCAATGATGTAATCAATCATGTCTATGCAATGAATCCTCCATAAACACCCAAAAGGAAGGGGTTCAGAGAGCTTCCGATTGCTGGACACGTGGATGTTCCTGGAGTGTGCATGGAAGCTCTGTGTCCCTTCCCCACACTTTGTTCTACGCAACTCTGTCTGGCTTTTCATTTCTATCCTTTATCATATGCTTTATTAATAAACCAGTAAATGTAAGTAGAGTGTTTCTCCGAGTTCTGTGAGCCGCTCTTGCAAATTAATTGAGCCTGAGGAGAAGGTTGTGGGAACCCTGGTTTATGGCTGGTTGGTCAGAAGCACAGGTCACTACCTGGGTCTTGTGATTGGCATCTGAAGTGGGCACAGTCTTATGGGACTGAGCCCCCAACCTGTGCGATCTGATGCTGTCTGCAGGTACATGGTGTCAGAATTGAATTAGAGGACACCCAGCTGGTTAGTGTCTACTGGAGAATTGCTCTGTATGTGGGACACTCTCTCTCCAATCTGGCGTCAGAAGTGTTGTGTTGAGTGGTGAGAATGGAGAAGGAAAAAGCACTTTGGGTTTTTTTCCTCTCATCAGGCAGCCTACTGGGTCCTACCCTTGGATAAAAGTATTTGACCCAGCTCAGTACTTACAAAAATAAAAATAAAGCCACTTAAAAATCAGGATACTTAGTTCAGATTTCTGGTTTCTCTGGCTGCACTGGGCCTCATTTCCTTATGATATAATATCAAGTGCTAGACTGAGGTGGGTGGCCTCCTTCAGGGGAAGCAAGCACTCCCTCTAGTCCAGGAGTCCATGGCCCTTAGGCGCATGGCAGATGCATAGCACTTGAACCCTACCTGTTTTTTCCATTTACTTTCTCTTCCTTGCCCGTGTAGACAGCTGAGATTTTAGCCCATGGAACTGAAGAACAAACCTGGCCCAGAAGAGGTTACAGACATCACACTACAAAGACCAAAATTCCTATACTTAAAATACATTTTTAAACACCTGGGAAAGGATTTTCATAATCTCCCTAATTACATGTCTGCTCCATTTTATTCTTTCTTCTCATTGCACTTTCAAGAGCTCTTGTAGTAGAAATGCCTGAAAGAGACAACTGCACTTATATAATTGGCATAATAATATTGGTCAAGATACATTAGCTTTGCATAAACATGAAATGATCAGAGGGAACCATTTCTCATTAACCGAAAGAAGTCATACAAGGTAGGTTGTGTCAAGAGATGCTAGTTTGGTCAAAAGTAATCTGCTCTGGTTAAGATAGAAATAAAATAGCTGAATTATAACAAGAGAGCTGCTGCTAAACTCACTGTTGATTTCATGAGACAAAGGAGTGGAGGCTACTGATGATGATTCCTGAGAGTCACATCCAAGAAGAGGCAGAGTAACTTCCATCTACCAAGTTATTAGCTATTCAAATCAATATTCCTAAATTCAATAGATACAGTGGATGATTTGCTTCTGCCCTGCATTGATTTTCAATATGCCCCTTACGTGATTGCACTTAACTAGCCTGATACAAAGCAAATCCCCACATATAGTTCTCAATATATTCTAATTGAATTTGAAAATGTGCTTCTCAAAAAGATGACTCGGGGAACAGTGAATTCTAGTTTCTAGTTTGGCTTAACTGCTATTTTGCTCTATAAAATTGAATGAGTGATTTCCTTTCTGGGCCCTCATTTTTCAAGTCTCTCACTCTGCAGGAATCATGAAAACAAGTGCTTGAGCTCTAGGACTTCACAGAGGCCTTTTTCATTAAGGCAGAGACATAGGGAAGAGAGGCTCTGAGGGTAGGCGGCCTGGAAATCCCTTTGAGTATTGAGCTATTGCAGTCACATCTGCCTTCAGCGTACTCTCCTGGATGTCACAAGGGGTTTTGGTTTTTGGAGAGTCACATGAGGAAAGGGAGTTAGCTTTAAAAAGCTGGTAAGCTGGGCACGGTGGCTCACGCCTATAATCTCAATACTTCGGGAGGCTGAGGCAGGTGGATCACTTGAGGTCAGGAGTTCGAGACCAGCCTAGCCAACATGGCAAAACCCCACCTCTACTAGAAATACAAAAATTAGCCAGGTGCTGTGGCACATGCCTGCAGTCCCAGCTACTCGGGAGGCTGAGGCATGAGAATCACTTAAACCTGGGCGACCGAGGTTGCACTGAGCTGAGATCACGCCACTGCACTCCAGCCTGAGCAACAGAATGGGACTCCATCTCAAAAAAATATTAATTAATTTTAAAAAATAAATAAAAAGCAGATAAATTCCAAAAATCTTAGGTAATGAAGCAGAAGAAAAGAACATGGATCAGTACAGTGTTTCTAATGAGAATGAGGAAGTAGGTTTAAAAAGGATTTAACTATAAAACTACAACTTAATTATTCAAACATATATTCTATGGCAGTCTCTATGGATGGGCAACTGGTTCTACGGCATGATTGGGGAGTACCAGCAAATTGACTCTCTTAGGAAAGGAATCAAATCCATCTCCACTTGCTATTACAGTATAGTGTCCTGCGTTAATTTAATCAACAGACATAATGAACCTGCTACAATGCAGGGACCCAGCCTAATAAATGCTAATAACTGACCAATGCCCTACTCTCAATATGAAGTTTCTTCTCTTTAATGTCTCTCCTATCTGCCTACCACTGGGACTGAAGTCTTATTAAAAATGAATTTCAAGTTGTATATGTGTGGGAGATGGACAAGCAAAGTGAAAACAGAACATCTTTGTGTATGTGAGGACCTCCAAGACAACGATGCAACTTGCAGGCTCATGCTCACATCACCCTCATTTTGCTGGTGTGCAATACATTGTCTCTCTAACCTCACCCAAATAGCTGTTTTTAAATTTGGTTTTGTTTTAGATATCAGGCACAATATGCATCACGGGATGTGGGAGATATTAAAATCCTAGCATTTGCCCCTGCAAATTCCTCTTATTTTCTCCCATTCCCAGTGTGAACCTTTACTTCCAACTCAGCCAAAGGTGAAAATCTTAGTTCTTTATTGTTTTCTTTTAAATAATTCGTACTTGGTGAGATATGCAGTTTTTGGAAAAAAACAAGAAAGGAACTCAAATAAGGAGAAGACTTATTTTTATAGATTTGCCAGTGTGGGACAATCGTGCTGGAGCTTGGGCAGGACTGAGCTGCTGAGGGAATATCGACTACAGGGACCAGGGGAACCCGCTGGACGCCACCCAATGTCCAAGGCAGGAAGGAAGAGTCATTATGCTGCCTTGCCCCTGGGAAATGAGTGCAAAAGCCAGTTTAGCTACAGAAAGGAGGGTTGTTTCTTCCTCCTCTTCCTTCTCTTCTTCTTAAAACAACCTTTTCCTAACCAAGGACTCAGAGAGGGTGGAACATGTTTTCTCTCTTCTGGTTAGAAAAACAAATACCAGTGCTGCGCCTCCAGCTTCTCTTTTCTGGTTCATCACAGAGGCCTGTATCTGCCTTGCTCAAGGAGGAGAGAAACTGCCATGCCAAAGGCCCTTCATCACCTGGTTCATTCCCAGTCTAATTCTGTTTCTAGGATAGCTAGCCCCCATCCTCAGGCCTTGGCAGGGAAATACCCCGCTTCAAAGCATGGAACTTTGAATGTTGCTGAGCCCCCAGGACTTGCACTTTATCACTCTGGGGGTATTTTCTTTGAATACAATCCAGTCTCAGATTCCCACATCCCAAGAAGCTGCTCTCTGTCTGATGGAACAGTCTGTAGCTGTTCACTGTGAGCCCATCTTATTTTGTTCTTTTCATTATGGAATGTTTTCATCAGGGGCCTGTGAGTTGAAAAGGCTTCATGCTGAGTAAAAGGGTGGCTTTGTCTTTCCCCCTTTCCTGACCTCTGTCAGGAGTTCTTTCTGGGCTCCACAGAAGACATAATGGGAGAAATGCTGAGAGCTGTACTGATGGAATATTGGGATTTGCAAAGAAATTCCTGTCCAGGCTGCCTGGTTATACTAAAATGTCATCTCTATTTTGGATGTGACTAGCTTGTTTAGTTAATGCTAGAGGGGAAAACAGAATTTGTTCTCAAGAGAGAGAAGCAGAAGGAGGAAACAGGCATACAGACAACTGACAATGTTCCAGCCACTTTGTCACAAATAACTAAATCCACCGTTATTAGGATCCAAAGATTATCAGTCAATTTGAGTCCTATCAGCATGATGTTCGGCTCCAGCAAGGTGGCCAAAAGCCTCCTCAATATAGAGATCGAATGCTAAATTCATTCTGTAACTCAGATTCTTAGGAAGGGAAGTATGTTTCTTAACATTTGTTATTAATTATGTCTCAGGCACTGGGCTTGCTGCTTTATGTTATTTAATTGAATCCTCACAACAACTTGGAAAATAGGTATTATGCCTTGCATAATATCTATGCATGGATGGATTTATTTATTTTTATTTCATTCACATGACTCTTTTTTTTTTATTATACTTTAAGTTCTAGGGTACATGTGCATAACATGCAGGTTTGATACATAAGTATACATGTGCCATGTTGGTTTGCTGTACCCATCAACTCATCATTTACATTAAGTATTTCTCCTAATGCTATCCCTCCCCCTCCCCCCACCCCATGACAGGCCCCAGTGTGTGATGTTCCCTGCCCTGTGTCCAAGTGATTTCATTGTTCAATTCCCACCTATGAGTGAGAACATGCGGTGTTTGGTTTTCTGTCCTTGTGATAGTTTGCTGAGAATGATAGTTTCCAGCTTCATCCATGTCCCTGCAAAGGACATGAACTCATCCTTATGACTGTATAGTATTCCATGTTGTATATGTGCCACATTTTCTTAATCCAGTCTATCATTGATGGACATTTGGGTTGGTTCCAAGTCTTTGCTATTGTAAGTAGTGCCACAATAAACATACGTGTGCATGTGTCTTTAATGTAGCATGATTTATAATCCTTTGGGTATATATCCAGTAATGGGATTGCTGGACCAAATGGTATTTCTAGTTCTAGATCTTTGAGGGATCGCCACACTGTCTTCCACAATGGTTGAACTAATTTACACTCCCACCAACAGTGTAAAAGTGTTCCTATTTCTCCACATCCTTTCCAGCATCTGTTGTTTCCTGACCTTTTAATGATTGCCATTTTAACTGGAGTGAGATGGTATCTCATTGTGGTTTTGATTTGCATTTCTCTAATGATCAGTGATGTTGAGCTTTTTTTTCATATGTTTGTTGGCTGCATAAATGTCTTCTTTTGAGAAGTGTCTGTTCATATCCTTTGCCCACTTTTTGATGGGGTTGTTTTTTTCTTGTAAATTTGTTTGAGTTCTTTGTAGATTCTGGATATTAGCCCTTTGTCAGATAGGTAGATTGCAAAAATTTTCTCCCATTCTATAGGTTGCCTGTTCACTGTGATGGTAGTTTCTTTTGCTGTGCAGAAGTTCTTTGGTTTAATTAGATCCCATTTGTCTATTTTGGCTTTTGTTGCCATTGCTTTTGGTGTTTTAGTCATCACATGACTCGTTCTTACTAAGTCAGGCTGCTGCTTAAATGTGTCCTTTAACAAGCCTTTCCTGAGCCCCTGACCCATAACCACAGTGCCTGTCATTCTCTGTCTTATTCAGATAGCCCCTTTGATACTGTTACTGTCTGGATGAATTCCTTATTCCTATTTGTTAATTCTCTCTTCAACTATGTTTAGTCTAGAATCTATCCCACTGAGTGGCCCCCTGCCCCTTGTCAATGGCTGCATTTTTCTTCTCCACGGTTTTTAATTTTTAAAACTACCTGTGCTTATTTTATCTGTCCCTATTTGGTGGCATATATCTCTTTTAAGGATGTAATTTATTTACCCATCTCTTCAAGGATTTTAAATGTACATATTTTCAAGTCTTTTTTAACATTTAAAATTTTGTGTCTTTCTAGAAAAAACTCATATTGCAATTATTGATTTTATTAGCTATCTTCCTTGGTGTAAGATTTCCTCATGTGTTTTAAGATCGAGCTTCTAAGGTCATCATGGGCAGAAGGTTTACCTCTGCCTCTCTATTTTTTTTTTCTCTCTGTCTGTGCATCCTCTTTATGGGACTTGTGCTTGAGTTCACTCTAGGCACTAAGCTACACTCCAGGCAGTGGTTATCAACAGATTTCCTGGCCTCCTCTCCCTAGCCAGGAAAACCCTGCCATGGCCTCTGGGTGCAGGTCCTGAGCATGGCTCTGGTTCCCCTGCTTCATGTGGAGCCCTTTTACCCTGTGCAGCCTGTCTACCTGCAGAAGTCAAATTCACATCTGCTATTACCTACTCTGAGATCCAGAGCTCAGCAGGCCCTCTACTCGTTGTTTTGCATTTTGACTCTGTTCCATGGACACGTGTATCTCATTTTTGGGGCATGGCTATGACTTTTAAATTCTCTTTTATATGTTATATGTTATCACGCTGTGTGTTGGTGCAGAGAGAGCTTCAAAGCAGTCATTAAAATGCCATCAAATTAGACGAACAAAGGCTAGAAACTAGGAAAAATATTTATAGTGGGCTGGAACTGAGGAGTGAAAAATGGACGATTATGTATAGGTTGAAAGAATAATTAACCTGAAGAATTATTGAGTTCAAATATCATGGGTGAGTTTATGTGCAGGAACCTCAGTTATTAAAATGGAAAGAAAAACCATAAAACTAGGGTTGGGTTGAAAGTCCATAATTTCTCAGTTCTTCCTTTCTTTCCCAAATTCCCTCTCTCTTACCCCCTTTCATGTTGGTAACTACCCCTAGGGTGACTAACCATTCTAGTTTACCTAGGACTGTCCTAGTTTTAGAACTGTAAGTCCTGCTCTCTAGGAAAGCTCTCAGTCTTAGGCAAGCCCAAACCCAGGTAGTTCAAGTAGCCTCTCTGTTAGTAGAAGGATAGATTGTACCTTGGTCGAGGATGAGTAGAGAGGTAAAAAATGAATTATGTGTGGGAAAATCTATGGAACAAGATAAAGGGAACATCATCCCAAAAACTCAGAGGAAGAACATATCTCTGAAAATGTTTTACTGTAGGAACAGAAGATTTGGAGAAATGTGTGACATCCTTAATAGACAAAAAAAAAAAAAAAAAAAAATTAACAGAAACCCAAAGAAACAACTAATCATCCCTGTTTGACATGATCTCATATGTAGAAAAACATAGTCTACTCAAAAAACTCTTACAACTGATCAATTCAGCAGAGTTGCAGGATACAAAATCAACATACAAAAAGCAGTAGCATTTTTTAAACATGAACAACAAACTAGGTGAAAAAGAAATCAAGAAGGCAATCCCATTTATAATAGCTAAGAAAAAGAATACCTAGGAATAAATTTAACCAAGGAGGCAAAAGACCTCTACAAAGGAAAACTACAAAACACTGATGAAAGAAATTGAAGAGGATACAAACAAATGGAAGGACATCTTGTGCTCATGAACCAAGTGAATTAATATTGTTAAAATGACAATACTACTCAAAGCAATCTACAGATTCAATGTAATTCTTATCAAAATACCATGTCATTTTTCACAGAATTAGAAAAAACACTCCTAAAATTTGTATGAAATCAAAAAAGAACTCTATAGCCAAAGCAATCCCTGAGTAAAAAGAACAAAGCTGGAAGCACCACACTACCTGACTTCAAAATATTACAAGGCTCTGGTAACCAAAGGAGCATGGTATTGGTATAAAAACAGACACATTGACTAATGAAACAGAATAAGGAACCCAGAAATTAATACATGTATTTACAGCCAACTGATTTTTGACAAAGGTGCCAAGAACACTCACTGGGGAAAGGATATTCTCTTCAATAAATAGTTCTGGAAAGACTGGATGTTCGTATGCGGAAGAATGAAACTAGACCTCCCACCTCTCACATTATACGAAAATCAACTCAAAATGGATAAAAGATTGAAGTGTTAGACCCAAAACAATAAAACTACTAGAAGAAAACGTACGGGAAACACTTTACGGCATTGGTCTGGGAAAAGATTTATGAATAAGACCTCAAAAGCACAGGCAACAAAAGCAAAAATTTTTAAATGGGATTATCTTCTACACAGCAAAGGAAACAATCAACAGAATGAAAAGACAACCTACATAATGGGAGAAAATATTTACAAACTACTCGTTCCACAGGGGATTAATATCCAGAATATACAAGGAACTCAAACATCTCAGCAGAAAAAAAAATCTGATCAAAAATAGGCAAATGATCTGAACAGACATTTCTCAAAAGAAGACATACAAATGGCCAACAAATATATGAAAAAATGCTCAACATTACTAATCATCAGGGAAATGCAAATCAAAACCACAATGAGGTATCATCTCACTCCAGTTAGACTGGCTATTATCAAAAAGACAAAAATGACAATGGCTGGTGAGGATGAGGAGAAAAGGGAACGCTTATATACTGCTGGGTTTTTTGTTTGTTTGTTTTTTGAGGATCCCCCATACCGTTCTCCATAGTGGCTGTATAAATTTACATTCCCACCAACAGTGTATAAGAGGAATGTAAATTAATACAGCCACTATGGAGAACGGTATGGGGGTTCCTCGAAAAACAAAAAAACAAACAAAAAACAACTACAAAGAGAACTACTGGTAGTCAGTCTAAAAATCCCACTACTGAGCATTTATCCAAAAGCAAGGAAATCCGTATTTTGAAGAAGTAGCTGCATCCTTATGTTTATTGCACTTTTCACAATAGCCATGATATGGAATCAACTTAGGTGTCCAGCAACAGATGAATGGATAAAGAAAATGTGGTATATATCTACAAAAGGGAATACTATTCAGCCATAAAAAGAATGATATCTTGTCATTTGCAGCAACATAGAACTGGAAGACATGTTAAATGAAATAGGCCAGGAATAGAAAATTAAACACTACATGTTCTCACTCATATGTAGAAGCTAAAAAAAAAAGGTGATTTCATAGACGAAAAAAGTAGAACAGAGAATCCTAGAGGCTGGTAAGGGTAGGAGGAAGGGAGAGACAGGGAGAGATTTGTTAAAGAATACAGAATCACAGATAGAGAGGAGGAATAAGTTCCAGTGTTCTATACCACTGTAGAATATTTAACAATAATGTATAGTTTCAAATAGCTAGAAAGAGGATATTGAATGTTCCCAACACCAAGAAATAATAAATGTTTGAGATGATGAATATGCTAATTATCCTGACTTGATCACTATACATTATATGTATGAAAACACTATGTACTCCATGAATATGTAGTTATTATGTGTCATATTTTAAAAATTAAATTTTTAAAAAAGAATGAACCATAGGACTTTTGAGTGCCTTTAACTTCTGAGTGTGTATCAGGCAGCAGGACTGCACTCGATGCTGGAGTTCGGCGATGGCTAAAGCACAGCTCCTGACCACCAGGGGCTCCCAGTGCAGTGATCCCATTCCAACATCAAGACTTATTCCAAATTGAATTCTAACCATGAGCTATGATGTCATGAGGTCCTACTGTATTTAAACGTGGTTTTTAGACAAAGTCATTCTATTTTGGAAAAAAATTAAATTACAATCTCCTAAGTAAACAAAGCAGAGAGTGCACAGAGAAATAGAAGCCAATGAATGCTTTCTTGAGCTCTGGGGTGTTTGATGCAAGATAACCCTTCATCATTTAGAAGACATTTCTTCTTGCTTATAGGGAAGTGATGGAAGGTGCCCAGGAAGAGAGGTAAAGGAATGACAATGAAGGCTACTCTATCCAGCATTCATCTCTTGGGTTGAGCTGTGAGCTCCATGAGAACTCAGATGAAATGACTTTGCACCGTCACAGGAACTTGTCAGGGAAGCTCACCATTGTCTCTGATGTTAACAACTGTTGATCCAAGCCTGCCCAGTTTCCTACCTCCAGTCTTCCCTGGCCCTCCTCTGAAGATGGAAACTAAGCCAACAGGCTCAGAACTTCCTATCCTCTCTTCCTATCTCCAAGGAAATAGCAGCTCACAGCAGAAGAGTGCAGGGGGAGAGGGAACAGTTATTTCTCAAGCCATTAATACAGTTCTTCTTACACGACTCTGCCTCCTGGCCCACAGTGATGGACCCATGGTTGGGAATGGACCACACAGTGGGCCAGCTGTAAAGCCTGGGTAAGGGATGGACATCTGACCCAAGTAGGGACAGTGCAGTACGTGCTTGGAATTGATGACCTAGGGACCAAAGAGTAGTGCTCATTGTCTCTTTGTGGCGGGGTTAGCAGCTCTGAAGTCATCGGGATGGCGTTTCCCACCAGATAGAGGAAGCTGGCCTGTAGCTGAAGGACTGACACCCACACCCAGAGCTGCAGAGAGAGGGGGGCGTAACAGCAGCATGCCAGATCCATTTCCAGCTCTTCTGAGGTGCAGCCACACCTTGACCTTCCTGCAGTCCTCTTAGCCTTCCAAATACATTTTCCTTTGAGTGTAAATGAGTTTAAGGTAGGTATTGACATTTATAACCAAAAAATATATACACACTAATTGTTATACCCCTTTATGTGTTTTGGTTTGTTTTGAGACGGAGTCTTGTTCTGTTGCCCAGGCTGGAGGGCAGTGGCGCAAACTCAGCTCACTGCAACCTCTGCCTCCTGGGTTCAAGTGATTCTCCTGCCTTAGCCTCCCAAGTAGCTGGGATTACAGGTGCCCGCCACCACATCTGGCTAATTTTTATCTTTTTGGTAGAGATGGGGTTTCACCATGTTGGCCAGGCTGGTCTCAAACTCCTGACCTCAAGTGATCTGCTCACCTTGGCCTCCCAAAGTGCTAGGATTACAGGCATGAGCCACCATACCCAGACCCCCAAAAGTTATTTTTTTCTGATTATAAAAATGATGCTTATTTTAAAAACTTTTCAAACAATATTGAAAGTATCATATATAAAGTAAAAATTACTACCCTCCCACCCACCAGACATAGCCATTGCCAGCTAATATTTTTCCAGGCATTTTTTTCTTTTGAAAGATAGATAAATAATTTTAAAAGAGTACATGCTATAACACACCATTTCATTTAAAAATATGTTTTACCTGGGCACAGTGACTTATCCTTGTAATCCCAGGACTTTGGGAGGCCAAGGTAGATGGATCACTTGAGGTCAGGAGTTCAAGACCAGCCTGGCCAACATGGTAAAACCCTGTCTCTACTAAAAATACAAAAAATTAGCTGGGCATGGTGGTGCACACCTGTAGTCCCAGCTACTCAGGAGGCTGAGGCAGAAGAATCGCTTGAAGCCAGGAGGCAGAGGTTGCAGTAAGCTGAGGTCACGTTTCATTCTTTCACTCCAGCAATGAATATTCACTGAGAATATATTATGTGCCAGCTACTCTACTAGGTTTTGGGGAAACGTGGATAAGTTTTGGTTTCTATCCTAAGGATGAAGGAGAAACTAGTGTCTATTGAACTCTCACTCTGTGCCAAGCACTGTAAAGGATTCTTTATCTCATTTATTCTCTATTAAAAAACAAGAACAACCCTGTGCAGTAGATAGTATTATCTCTTGATATAAGTGAGGAAAAAGAAGATCAGAAAGCTTGAGTAGCTTGTCCAAGATCATATAGTTAGTAAGTACAAAGCTGGGATTTGAACCCAGGTCTGTCTGATTTCTTTATGTCACACACAGTTTACGAAGAGAGATGTGAAAATGAATAACAAAAGCCAAGTCATACGTGCTTTATAAAATCTGAACAAAGGGATTTATTTAGGCCCATCAGCCATGATGATCAGAGAGGCCGACTTCAGACAAGTCTTTTCTCTGTAGCAGGCAGCTTCTTAATGGTCCAGGATAAAGAGACAAAACCAAACATGAAATGATTTGCCCTGACTCTTCACAGCACCAGGAGGCCCTCGATAAGCCAGAATATTTGCTGACCAGGAAGCTAGAGAAGAGTAGGAGGGTGTTTCTAAACAGCTACAGGGAAGCCAAAGCCAGCAAAGATAGGAATAGCATTTGAGGAGCAGGCAGAGCCATATGGAAAGAAGAGATTGGAGGAAAAGGACAAACTGTTGGGAGGTCTTAGGGCTCAGGCTGGTGGGACTGACACCTTGAATGGCCTTGCACCATGAACAGGTGATGTGCCAACATAGGCCAACCTGTAGGGTGAGTGTGCATCTCATTGGAGGCCAGGTTGGGAGGAGCCTGGAAGCATTGCTTACCAGGCACTGGGCTGCAGCAGCTGATGAAGCTTGGGTGGGCTGAGTTAGTCTGCTGAGGGGTTTAGATTTGCCTGGACAAGATTCATGGAGTTGACCAGGCAGCATCCCATGAAGTCAGTCCAGGAAGAACGTCCCCAAATTGACAGCCCTCAGCTCTTTCTTTCCCCATCTAAGAGAGAACCTGAAGTGTGGAGCATGCACTTGCTGAGGGTTCACTGGGAAATGGCCACGCCCATGGGGGCTGGTCCTTTCCTTGCTTGTACTTGTTCCTTATGTTATAGCTGAACATCCCCCCTCCCCAGTGTAGGGATCATGGCAGAGGGCAGCGACTTGCCAACTTATTTTAATCCTTTTTTTTTTTTAACAAACAAAATCTTATATACTAAAATTTTTAATACATAAGGCAAGTAAGACTGTAGCTGCTGTCATCTGAGTGATCAGGGAAGCCAGTATCCTCTTCCTCTCTGAGGATGTTCTGTTGGGTACACAGTTTAAAAATCACTGACATAGGACCAGGTGTGGTGGCTCGTGCTTGTAATCCCAACACTTTGGGAGGCCGAGGTAGGAGGATCACTTGAGGCCAGGAGTTCGAGACCAACCTGGCCAACACAGTGAAACCCCATCTCACTAAAAATAGAAAAAATTAGCTAGGCATGATGGCACATGCCTATAATCCCAGCTACTTGGGAGGCTGAGGCATGAGAATCACTTGAACCTGGGAGGCAGAGGTTGCAGTGAGCCGAGATCGCACCACTGCACTCCAGCCTAGGCGATAGAGTGAGACTCCGTCTCAAAAAAGAAAAAAGAAAAACCACTGACATCACTAGAAGAGCCCAGAATTTAAAGTTAGAACACTCAGGTTCTAATCCCAGCTCTGCCATGGAAAAAGAGTGTGGCTTTCAAGAAGTCATTTAGCCTCTCAGACTATTTTTCATCTGTGAAATGAAGATAATTCTTGTCTGCTTCAGATGTGGTTGTGAACATCAAGCACAACCATGTGGGGGAAAGCAGCTGTAAAATGCCATATAAATGTGAAATATTCCTTTCCTTGGCTTTTCCACGTTTGCATAGCTCCATGACTTCTCCACATCCAGGGGCTAGGGGACAAAGCCATACCATTTGGGACCAAACAGTATGATCTACTCGCTTTTCTGATGTCCAAAAAGAGATGGTCATTTGAAGGTATATTTCTTTGGGTTTTTCTCCTCCTCCATGCTGTTATTCTTGGATTGCCCTTTTCACTTTTCTCTGCCAGTCAGACCCATTCTGTATCTCAGTCCACCACATGCAGAGACCCAAATCTGCTGCCCACAAGAGCACTCACCCGGGTCGCAGTCTCTTCCACACAGGTGCTCCTTGTGTGCTAGCCGATTGTCGTTTAGATTTTATAACTCTCTGGAAAATCCATCTTAGCAGAGAATAACAAGGTCATTTCCTCTACTTCTCCAAGAATACCCCAGGTCCATACAAAAGAAAAGCACCAACTCTCTTCTCTGGGTTGCATCAGGGAAACTTATTTCTAGTGGTTCTCCTATTGTTCAATGCTTTATGTTGCAGCATTATACGTGGAAAAAATATCCGAGAGACTGACAGTGTATTCACCCCAGATCCTTCCTCTTGAGGCCAGAGGTGTTAGGAATGAAGATGGTATTGGTGCGGAAAGTGGTTTAATGCTGGGGTTCAACAGAGAGGACCATGTCAATTCCTCACGGTCCTGGGCAGACTTAAATAACGGGCTTAATGTGGAGGTGGTTTTGTACACTCTGGTGCCTGTGCTGTTCCTAGCTTTTCCACCAGCAGTCCACACTGCTGAGGGTTGCCTTCTATAGTAGTCCCCTCTTAGCCTCAGTTGCACTTTCTATGGTTTCAGTTACCCACGGTCAACCATGGTCTGAAAATAGGTGAATATGATACAATTAGATGTTTTGAGACAGAAAGAGCCCCCATTCATGTGACTCATTACAGCATAGCATTATAATTGTTCTATTTTATTATCAGTTATTGTTGTTAATCTCTTACTGTGTCTAATTTGTAAATTAAACTTTATCACAGGCATATATAGGGAGAAACAGTATATATAGGGTTTGATACTACCCAAGGTTTCAGGCATCTACTGGGGATCTTGGATGTCATACAATACAGTAGTCCCCCTTTGAATAAAGTGAAGACTACTTAAATAAGGGGAGACTACTGTATTGCACAACACTAAGAGTGGGAAACTGACGAAAGTGGCATAAGTTGTATCTCCACGTTCCCAGCTATATATAGTTACCACCTATATACCAAAGGCATGTGGGTGTAGGTATTGTGTTAAATGGGATAGACTTTGATTTCTGGGTTAGGATCTCAATTGGTGTTATTGTGATATCTACTAGTAGAATGGCTTCAGGCCTGTGACATCAATAGTCCCCACCTTAAGAGAGAACCAGTGGGCTCACCTGAAGGGCCAGTGGTTTCAATGACCCACTGTGGGCAGAGCAGGAATTGGACTTCATTTGATTGATTGATTGATTGAGAAAGGGGTCTTGCTCTGTTGACCAGTTGACCAGGCTGGTTTTGAACTCTTGGCCTCAAGTTATCCTCCTGCCTCAGCCTCCCAAAGTGCTGGGATTACAGGTGTGAACCACTGTGCCTGGCCAGGAATTGGACTTCAAATGGGGGCAAACCAATCTGCCACATATCCTACAGACTAATAGAGCTTAATTTAGTGGCTGCTTACTCAGAAGGGATTTACTTCTTCTTTTCCCATCTGTTTGGATGTTTCCTATAGGTTCAGAGTCCATCTGACTTTAGTGGAGCCATGGAGACTCTTGCTGGAACTGTGCAGCCCATCTTTGCATTTTCTTTTGAGTGGCATCGTCCAGTGAAGAGGAAGAATAAATGAGGTGAAAGGAGAGAGGCCACTAGCAGGGAACTCTAGCTCTGATTTCCTGGCAGCAAAATCTGCTCCTCTTGCCAGAGGGGCACTTGGGGCTTTACTGTTTGGCCTCTTCCCACTGCTCATATCTGTTTCTTGATATTCCTCCAAAATGTACCAGTCCTTCTAAGACCAGACATCAGGACTCTGAGTTCTTCCAGGGAGTGACATAGAAAGAGAGGCTTCTTTTTCTCTCCTATTCTCTTCATTCCTGCAACCCAACCCTGTATCTTTCCATCGTGCCAAGGAAGCATCACACACACTGCTCCATAGTCCCTACTCCATAGTCCTCACAGGCAGGGCCTCCTGTCCTCCCATCTGCCTGGCATCACCCAGTACACAGGTCCCAGTGGCGCGTCCTGATGCCTGGGCTCACCAGCTTTCAAGTAGGAGACCAGAGAACTCACTGGGAAGTGGGTGTAAAATATGTTTAGTGCCCACATTAACATTTCATTCTGGTTATGCACCATCAAGGGGCCAGAGAGCAGATGGGATAATTAAAATCTCAAGACAATTGGTTTTAACTTCCTTCCCCATTAGACCTTTCACCAGTGCAATTAATTTCCCTATTTTTCTCCTTTTATTTTCTTTAATCAACCTCTGTTTAGGGAGCTAATGAGCCATGACAAGAACAAAAGGCCAGCAGCCAAGAGGAGGGGGAAATAGGAGCTGGCAGACCAGACCGGACTGCGGCTCCTGAGCTGGTTGTTTCCCTTCTCAAAGGCGCAAGTAAGGTGTCGCTGTCCTTTACTCCGCTCAAAACTTTAGGCCTCCTCTGCGAGGCTGCTCCCCTCCATGGCACCCACCCACAGGGCAGAAATGCAGAAAGCAAGGCTTTGCCTCTAGGGTGGGAGGGGAGGGAGGAGCTGGTTCCCAAGGGAACAAGGAATCCCGTTTGAGAGACTAGGATGTTCTCAGCCTCAGAACTGGCTTGCGAGCTGGCCAAACATGCAAATACCCACAGGTGCAGCATGTAAAAGAGAAGTGGCCTTGGGTGAGGCTGCAGGGGCAGCTGGCCGCACATTTTGCATATGCTCCTAGGAAGCTAAAGTTAGGCTCTGGTTTACCCCAGGTGTAGGGGCCACATTTAGCTATTCCTCACCACTGAGCAAGGGGCTTGCTGCATTATTTGGCTAGGGCAGGGTCTGGCTTGCCCTCTGAGTCCTGAATTGGGTCCCGGGCCATTGCTGTATTTGGGTAAGGTTAGGGTAATCACAACTACTCTTTCCCTTCCCCCAACCAAGTCTGAACATCATCGATTTAACACCTAAGATGGACTTGAAGGATTGTCTCCATCCCAGAGCTAAGACATCACCAGGATTCCATACTAGCAGACCCCAATCTGGTTTGCTCATGGACTTCGCCTGTACCATTTCTCCTAACCAGTCTTCTACAGCATCACTTGCTCTGCTTGGCACCCTGCCAGCCTCTGACCCCTAGATGGGCCTTCCTTTTTGTGGCCCAGCCTCATCCCCATACCCGATGCTCTGCTTCTCTGGCCTCCCATTTTTCTCTCTTCTTTGGCCACAGTTTGAATTCCTATTCCGATGAGCTACCTTGAGCCACGTGGCTCACTCCTAGGACCTCATCCAGTTCCCCATGTGTGCAGGACCCAGGAGTCTGGAGGAGGGAGCGGCCTCAAAGACCAGAGGAGGGGGAGGGTGTCGATCAGAGACTGGCACGGGGAGAGGAGGTGTAGGCTGTTGGTGCTGAGGGGATGCCTGCACCCCTCAGGTCTTGTTTCTTCCTCCACCAGCTGCCCCCTCCTCCCAGAAGTGGGATCTGAGCCACCCCAGGGTCCAGGCCAGGAACAAGGGCCCTGTTTGCCACACTCCAGGGCATCTGTGTTGTGCTAAAGGCATGGTGCCCTCTTTTTTCTTTTATAAAGAGTTCAGGATGTGCCCTGAGGAGGAGGGATGGGGAGGGAATGGTGGTGGTCAGAGGATGTGAAGCATCCACTTAGGGTCAGAAATTGCCATGTGTCAGTGGGTGTCAGGGGCAGGTGAAGTCTTTAGTGGTCTCTGAGACCTTGTACTAGTGGGGTGAGAGGGGAGGATGGAGTAGGGAGAGATCAGACCCCCTATCCCATCTTCACCTTGGGCAGCCACCCAGTCAGTGAGGAAGAGCGCATTCCTTTTTTTGGTCCTGGAGCTTAAGGGCTGTTCTCTTGTTGGTAGAAAGCTATAGATTCTAATGCTTCCAAATCAGAGACAGAGGCTGGCTGTGACTGGATTCTGGTCACTAGAATCACAGCGAGGAAGGCTGAAGCCTGTGACGGGGAAGTGTCTAGGAAATCATTGCCCGTAATCCTCCCTGGGCTATTTTTTTTTACATGGTGGTTTTTCCTAGTTCATTGACAGTGATGACCGGTTCCCTACAGAGCTGGCCACCTTGCTGAGTGCACTGGATGGCACACAGTGACAACAAATGACACAGAAGCCTCTCTTCTCGAGGACTCGAGGAGTTAAATATCTGATGGAGAAGAGAAGACAGGACCCAGGCACAAGCAGCGCAATCTGTATGAACAAATACAAGAATCACATACTCCACAGTCCCATGAGCCACGGGGATAGATAGCAAAGGGTTCCCCAGCAGCCCTGGCAGGCAGGTAGACAGCCACAGCTATGCGGGCCCTTAGGTCAGCCCTCTCAGATGATCTGAAACCACTTCAGTCTGTCTGAAGCTCTCATGAACATTTCCTGTTAAGTATTGTTTTCAATAATTTATTCTGGAGGAGATGTTGGCTCCCCTGGGAATCACTTTGCAGCACATCCCCTCCAGAGACCAGCTACAGACATCAGGCGCCAGGATAGAAGAGTCGCTCTGTGTAGACGGTGGACCAGGAATAAGGTTGCCTCAAAAAAATAATAGCTGACATCCGCCCCACCCTCCACTCTTCAATCAAGCCAGTCAGGCAATGAACCTTTTCACACCTGAGGGATTATTTTTGCTTTTGTCTGATTCTGCTGTGTTAAAGGAAACAAGTGTTGAGAAAGGTAAGTTGTAAAAGAAAACTGCTGCCTTTCCCTGATTAACTGGGAACTGACATAGAGGAGATTTTCTTCTTAGGGAAGTCGAAGTGGGAGAACAGAATCGGGGGTTCTGTTCCCTGGTTAGCTCTTTGTTCTGGGGGGCTGTCCTATGCATTGCAGGATGTTTAGCAGCACCCTGGCCTCTGTGACTATGCACTTCCTCTGCTTGTGACCATTGACAGTGTCTCCTGATGCTGCCCAAAATCTCCCTGTGGGCAGTATCACCTGTAGCTGAGAGTCACTGCCACAGATTAAAGAGGATGGAGTCCCAGGCAGCACCAGGGATGCCCCCGGCCGCCTGCTTTGGAAAGGGCTCAACTCCCTAAAATAGAAACAAACCCCAGAAGTGTCTGTAGGTCACAGAATTCAGCATGGCTGAAATTTGAGTGATGTGCACTGCTTTCTCAAGAAAAAAAAAAAAAAGGATGATTTCCAGTGTTAACATAAACCACTTTTATAAAGATTGTTAGTTGGATGTACACAAACATAAAATTGGGTATACAACCCTTGTAAGTTTTCTACAACTATAAAATCAAAATAAGTTCATGATTTGACAAATCAAATATAAAACCAATAAAACTCAAGGTAACATTAATTGAATGAGACAGATAGTGTGATTTTGTGGAGTCAAATTGCCCCTTGCTTGGTAACTCAAGCACCGAGTCGGTTCTCTGAGCTGGGCACGCCTTACACCTGCATTGTCTCATGACTTAAATCTCACGTGGCATCGTCTCTTCAAACTCCTATGGAAACACTGGTTGTGGGCCTTCTGTGAGCTCACTTGGCAAGTACATACTCTACTAAGGCCACTTGCGTTTTCTTCTGATTGGCAATTAACAGTTGACAACTGGCAATTAAAATAGCGCATCTAGGTTGCATTGTGATTGTGAACACTGAGCAAGGCTGGCACTGTACACTCAAACGTGGACATAGGGAGGACCCCAAATATGCTTATATTCTTTAGATTCTTGTCCAAATGAAAAGAATTTTATATTTTAAAAATGACAAACTTCCAACAGATGACTCTTAGTAATATATTAGGAGACTCTCAGAGGAGCAGATCCAGTCTGGGCCTCTACAGATGAGAAACCAAGCCTAGAGAATTGCCTGGGGAAAGAGATGTGGAGGAGCAGAGCTGGCTGGGAAGCAGCCCTTGCCTGGGAGCTGATGCTCCTTCCTTTCCTCTGGCTGTCCTTCCAGCACAACACTGTAGAATTCTGAGGCACAATGGTGCATAGATTCGGCTTGTTGTTTTGAATGTTCATTCAACTGAACTGAATACTTAAAGTTCATTTTTTAAAGGTACTAAATTGAACTAGGGAGTTTCTTTTTCTAGATTTTGATCTTTCAGTATTTAGTAGTATGACTAGAAAGCATCATGTGTGTGTATGTATGTGTGCGTGAAACATAACGTACATCCACAAACTATGGAAGTAAAGATCCAGTTCAGTGAATGATGATGAAGTAAAAACCCATGAAACCACAGCCAGGTCAAGAAATAGAACATTTCCAGAGTGCAGAAGTCTCAGAGTAAGCTCGGTCACAATTCTTTTTCTCCTCTAAAAGTAACCACCATCCTCACTTTTATTATAACAATTTCCTTGCTTTTCTTTAGAGTTTTACTATCTCTATATGCATCCCTAAACAATGTAGTTTAGCTTTGCCCGTTTATAAGCTTTATATCAATGGACCCTGACTCTGAGTATTTGTGTCTTGCTTCTTTTCTTCAACATTATATTTATTAACTCCAACCATGCTGTTGTTAAGTGGCTCTAATTCTTATGCTTTCTATGACAGGCCAGCATTTGGTTTGGTTCCAGCTTGGGGCTATTACAAACACTGCTTCTCTACACATTCTTGTATACATCCTGGTCCACAGCATATGCATGTACACCTGCCTTGATGGCATTTTCCCACATCAGAATTTCTCCACTTGTGAATAGGGTGTGTGAATCTTTAACCTTAGTAGAGAATGGCAACTATTTGCCAAAACTTTGCTTCAATTTAAACTCCCAAAAGCAGACTGGGTGCGGTGATCACACCTGTAATCTCAGCACTTTGGGAGGCTGAGGTGGGAGGATCGCTTGAGCCCAGGAATTCAAGGCCAGCTTGAACAATACAGTGGGACCCCATGTCTACAAAAAAAAGAAAAAAAAATAGCTGGGTATGGTGGTCCACTCCTGTAGTCCCAGCTACTTGGAAGGTGGAGGCTGCAGTGAGCCATGATCGCGCCACCGCACTCCAGCGTGGGTGACAGAGCAAGACCCTGACTCAAAAAATAAATAAAAACAAACTTCCAACAGCAGCGGTTCTCACTATATTCCATCCTCAACAGCACTTGTTATTGTCAAACTTTAAAACTTCAACTGATCAGGTGGCTGTGTAGTGAGTAACATTTCACTGTGAGTTTAATTTGCATTTCCCTGATTATTAAACAAAACCAAGAATCTTTTACTATGTTAATTGGCCACATGAATTTCCTGTTATGTGCCTGTTCAAATCTTTTGACATCTTGCTATTGCCAAATTTAAATTTCCTTTTTAAATAAATTTCATATTCATTAAAATTACATTTGACAGAAAAGTATGTCCGTCTTCCAGGGTACCTCTGCACACCTGAGAACTGTATATAGCTAAAGGTAAAATGTCTAAGATCTGTAAGCTTATAAGCAATTTTTTTTTACTATAAGTCATTGAAAAGATTATAACAATAGTTCACAGAAAAACATGGATTTAGATCATTTTTTCTTATCTCTATTTTCAAATCTAACATCCTTTTTTTGAATTTTGTCCCCTCATTTCCCTATACTTTCATAGAGAACAAACATACTCCTATATATCACAGTCCTTTGTTAAAATCAAGTGCAACCAAAGTTATTTATTATTCTATTCTGTATTTCTCATGCTGTGTGCGATATGAATTGTTAGAAGTTAGCTAAATGTCTGTAATAAAGTAGTGACACTATTGTATATATGACCTTTGCAGCTGAGATAATATTAAGTAAAATATAAATGGCTACAATAGTTATACATATCTAATAAAAATAAATAAACAGCTCACCCAAGCCTGACATCTAGCTTTTGCTCACCTTATCTCCTTTAGACATTTGGGTATGAGCTCACTGGCAAAGAGTGAAGCCCATATAATCTACCATTAAATAAATTATTCAGTAATCTGTGATGTCCTTGTAACATGAGAATCCCCTATTTAAAAAAAAATAGCTGCACTGCTTACAGAGGCACATGCCTGCTATTTATAGTCTTTATGGAAGTTGCTTTGCTAGCAAATCCAACTAGAACTCCCCGGGAATCTACAAGGATTGATGTTTACTGCAGGGTTTTTACACTGAGCTATTTTGCATATGTGTGGGTGTGTGATGCACACACAGAGGACTGACGGAGAAAGCCCAAGCAGGTATGAGGTATTTGTTAGCTCTGCTCCATTTTCCTCTTAACATTCAGGAAACTCAAATAGGGACAAAGTAACTACAGGTCACCCACAGATCCAGTGATATGTATTCCTGACTGTATCCAGGCAACTGGGGCTCTACTTTTTTCTAAGAAGACATGTTAGTTCTCTGCCAACAATGTCAGATTTCTCTCACAGACAAAGCAGACCCAGGGGCACTGAGCCTCCCTTTTTACTTCCCCTTTTCCCCCAGGTGCGAGTATGATGTCCTGAAGACAGGAGGGGATGTGGGTTGCAGGGAGTCAAGGAATCAGGGAGGCAGCTTGCAGATCAGAGTGGGGCAGATGGCCTACATGAATTCTCATTCTGGAAGGGCTGGAAAAGAAACAGCCAGGTTGGCTGGGCATGGTGGCTCACACCTGTAATTCCAGCACTTTGGGAGGTAGAGGTGGGTAGATCACTTGAGGCCAGGAGTTCGAGACCAGCCTGGCCAACATGGTGAAACCCCATCTCTACTAAAAACACAAAAATTAGCCAGGCGTGATAGTGTGCACCTGTAATTCCAACTACTTGGGAGACTGAGACACAAGAATCGCTTGAACCCTGGAGGTGGAGGTGGAGGTTGCAGTGAGCCAAGATGGTGCCACTGTACTCCAGCCCGGGTGACTGAGTGAGACTCTGTCTCAACAACAGAAAAAGAAAGAAACAGCCAGGTGTCTATTTTTTCATAGTTTCAATTAATTTTTTGATTAGAAAAATATTTTATAAATATAGAAACTTAATTGGTATGTGGATGAAGCAATTCTCTTTATAAAAGGCTCAGAATAGCCAATTAACTCCATTTTCATGAAGTATATGTCGTGTTAACTTTTGAGTTGACAATTATCAAAAAGGTTTCATCAAGTGAAACTTGACATCAAGTTATGTGTCAAAAGTAGGCATAGAATTCTTGGCATACTGAAAAAGTATGGACAGGCAAGTGAAATGGAATTATGTGAAATATTACTTGGATTTTTCTAACATGTTACACAGCTATTCAGTAATTAAAATGTTTCTGAAAAATAAAAATATAAAAGCTGCACAAATATTTAGTAACAAAAGTTGAAAAGTACAAATTGTTTTTTAAAACGAAATAACTTCAGTGAAATTTTACTACACACCTATCAGAATGGTTAAAATTTAAAATAGTGACCATATCAATTGCTGATAAGGATGTAGAAAAACTGAATCTCTCATACATTGCTGGTGGGTATAGCCACTCTAGAGAACATTTTGGAAGTTTCTTATAAAACTAAACATGCAATTACCACAAAACCCAGCAATTTCACTCTTGGGTACTTATCCCAGAAACATAAAAACATATTTTATGTTCACACAAAACCCTATATACAAATGTCCACAGCAGCATTATTTATAATAGGCCCTGGAAACAACCCAGATGTCTCAGTGGGCAAATGGTTAAACAAACTGTGGTGCATCTAGACCTTGGACTACTACCCAGCAATAAAAAGGGAGCAAACCATGGATACACACAAAACTTGGATGGATTTCAAGTGAAAAAGCCAATCCCAAAGAATTACGTATGTTATGATTTTATTTATATAACGTTCTTGAAACCATAAAATTAGTGTGAGAGAGTATAGTTTAGTGATTGGCAGGGGTTAGGGCCAGGGGGTGGAGGATGGAAGGAGAGGGAAATAGATTATGTTACAAAAAGGCAACATAAGAGATGGTGATTGATATACAAACCTCCACATGTGATAAAATGGCATAGAATTAAATACACGTGCACGTGCACACACACACACACACACACACACACAGAGTAAATGTAAGACAGGAGGGAAATCTGATCAAGATCTATGGATTGTACCATCAATTTCCTAGTTGTAATATTGCACATACTAGAGTTTTGTAAGATGTTACCATTGGAAGGAAACTGTGGATAAAAGACACATTGTATCTCTCTGTATTATTTCTTACAACCCGATGTGAATCTATAATTACCTCTATTTAATTAAATTGTAAAAAGTTAAATGGAATCTAACTAATATTCTCATGATATAGTTGTTAACCCTGTACAGAAAAAGAACCCAAGTATGAAGCCAAAGAAAGAGCAGTGGTGAAGCCTGAAAAAAGCTCAAAGCGCGGGACAAAGGCAGAGCTGGAGCTGTTCCTGCACCTGTGGGTGTATGGGGAGCAGGGGAGAGAAGGTATCAGCACAGGTCATTTTTAGGGTGCCAGGGCAGGGTTGAGGAGGGAGTTCTTAGCAGTAGAAACCCACTGTGTGCTAACAGCAGTGAGGAGAGTCCTAGCAGCAAGGGTGGGAACAGATAGGCAGCTTCCAATGGGTGCCCAAGGTCCAAGCATGAGTTTTTTTTTAACTCTAGAAACCCAAACATACACTATTTGATAAAACTAAAATTACTTTAGCTGCTGGAAGCAAATCTGTGTTTTTTGTGATCGATTCAAACCACAGATAGAGCAGGGGATTGTCTTTCGGTAGGTGTGAATGGGGCTGTATTAGTCACCAGAGTTTCAAGTGTGCTTCTGTTTAGTTATCAAACTGCAATTCCATTGATACCCCGTCTTGAGTGTCTCCTCTGTGAGTAACATGAAAAGGACCTCTGGTTAAATAGAAAACTTGTCTTGAATTTGGAATTACAACATGCCCTTACTTATTCAGGACTCAATTAACTGAGCTTCAGGATAATCCAAGGTGAAGAAAAACAAGAGCTGACAAAGAAAAGAAATGGGTGAGTCAAGACAGGCACTGGGGTCTCTTCCCACAGACCTTGGGTGGGTTCAATGGAACCTTGAGGCCTGGGTTTAACTGGGCCTAACCCCACCCCAGGGATGTATGGGGGTTAAAGGGATTAATACTAACCTACTGACTGGTTGGAAGGGCCTGGGAGTCTGGGAAATTAGTGGGAAAAACAAAACAGAAGGTACTTAGAGTCCCAATCAAGACAGCAACTTTTAATACTGATTTCTTAATGGCAATTCACAGCCTTGACCTAACCAGTTCCTTAATCCTGCTCCAGTATACAAGCAAGTTCTACAGTGTTTGTTCCTTAATAGCTCTTTCTGATTATCTAGCATTTTGATTCATTTGCTGACCTTCAGATATTTATTGTTGTCCTGGTTGTTTAAAGGGCACTTTATTTAGGTATCTTAATTGGCCTCTTCCAGGTGTTTTCAGCTTAAACATTCAGGTCTATTTTTTGTCACTCCTCCTGGTGGCCCACCAGGGTAAGATAGATTTGGGGCAACTAAGGGGGAAAGGATAAGCTCTGGGGCCAGACAGATCTGCACTAGCCAGCTACATGACCTCAGAGTTCTTTAACTTCTCTGAACCCCAGTTTCCTATTCTGTAAGGCAAAGTGATTTAGGGTCAGGTTGCCTGATTTTTATTTATTTACTTATTTATTTAGAGACAGAGTCTCCCTCTGTCACCAGGCTGCAGTGCAGTGGCATGATCTCAGCTCACTGCAACCTCTGCCTCCCAGGTTCAAGCAATTCTCCTGCCTCAGCCTCCAGAGTAGCTGGGACTACAGGTGCGCGCCACCATGCCCAGCTAATTTTTTGTATTTTTAGTAGAAACGGGGTTTCACCATGCTGGCCAGGATGGTCTCAATTTCCTGACCTCGTGATCCACCTGTCTCGGCCTCCCAACGTACTGGATTACAGGTGTGAGCCACTACAGCCGTTCAGGCTGCCTGATTTTAATCCTAGCACCACTACCTATTGCTTGGATGTCCTTGGGTAAATTACCGAACTTCTCTAAACCTCAGTTTCTTCACCTGTAAAATGAAGGCGGCAGAGATAGCTAGTTTCCCTCATTCCTTGGTTAAAAAAAAAACCCTTCATTTTTAGTTGTACACATGGTCTCCTAAATAAAGGCCACATTTTTCAACCTTTCTGAAAAACAGAAAGACAACACCAAGGCAGAGTTGCTGACTGCCTGGCTTAGTGTTGAAGGCACGCCCCGACACTCACACGAAGCCCTTGGCAAAGACTGGGAGACTTACTGGCTCCAGTTGTTTAAGAAAAATCTCTGTTCATCATCAGCTGACCATTAAACTAACTGAGCAGGGACTTCAGTGGCCTCACCTGACAAAGAAAACAGAGTTCAGAAGAGTCAATAAACAAACGAACTAAAACAACAGCACCATCAAAACAAACCTGGGGAGGGTGGAGAATCTGATTTCCAGAGTTGCCACATTATATTATTTAAAATGTCTAGTTTGGGCCAGGCGTGATGGCTCATGCCTGTAATCCTAGCACTTTGGGAGGCAGAGGCTCACTGCAGCCTCTGTGTTTTGGGTTCAAGCAATTCTTGTGCCTCAGCTTCTGAGCAGATGGGATTATAAGCGCCCGCCACCGTGCCCAGCTAATTTTTGTATGTTTAGTAGAGACAGGGTTTCACCATGTTGGCCAGGCTGGTCTCACTCCTGACCTCAGGTGATCCTCCTGCCTTGGCCTCCCAAAGTGCTGGGGATTACAGGCATGAGCCACTGTGCCTGGCCCAGTTATTTTAAATATATTCAAATATATATTTGAAAACCATGTCTAAAAAAACTGAAGGAAACCATCTCTAAAGAACTTGGCCAGGTGCAATGGCTCACGCCTGTAATCCCAGCACTTTCAGAGGCTGAGGCGGGTGGATTACTTGAGGTCAGGAGTTCAAGACCAGCCTGGCCAACATGGTGAAACCCCGTCTCTACTAAAAATACAAAAATTGGCCAATCACGGTGGCTCGCACCTGTAATCCCAGTACTTTGGGAGGCTGAGGTGGGTGGATCACAAGGTCAGGAGTTCGAGACCAGCCTGGCCAATATGGTGAAACCCCATCTCTACTAAAAACACAAAAATTAGCTGGGCATGGTGGCAGGTGCCTGTAGTCCCAGCTACTCGGGAGGCTGAGGCAGAAGAATTGCTTGAACCCGGAGGTGAAGTTTTCAGTGAGCCGAGATCACACCATTGCACTCCAGCCTGGGCAACAAAGTAAGACTCCGCCTCAAAAAAAAAAAAAATATATATATATATATGTGTGTATATATATAAAAAATATATACAATATGATATAATATATACACATATATACATATATTATATATTGGCTAATTATATTATTAACATACTATATAAATATAATATATAAATAATTATATTAATATAATTTATATATTATATATATAGCCAGGTGCAGTGGTACATGCCTGTAGTCCCAGCTACTTGAGAGGCTGAGGCAGGAGAATCGCTTGAACCCAGGAGGTGGAGGTTGCAGTGAGTTGAGACTGCACTCCAACCTGGGCAACAGAGTGAGACCCCATCTCAAAAAAAAAAAAAGAACTAAAGCAGAGTGTGAGAATTATGTCTCAGCTGGGTATGGTGGCTCACATCTGTAATACCAGCACTTTGGGAGCTGGAGGTGGGAGGATTGCCAGCTCAGGAGTTTGAGACCAGCCTGGGCAACATGGCAAGACTACATCTCTATTACAAAAGAAAAAAAATAAAAATAAAGAGAAATGTCGCACCAGATAGAAAATATTAATAAAGAGATATAATTTGGCCGGGCACAGTGGCTCATGCCTGTAATCCCAGCACTTTGGGAGGCCAAGGCAGGCGGATCACAAGGTCAAGAGTTCGAGACCAGCCTTACCAACATGGTGAGACCCCGTCTCTACTAAAAAAATACAAAAATTTCCAGGTATGGTAGCACGCACCTGTAATCCCAGCTACTCGGGAGATTGAGGCAGGAGAATGCTTGAACCCGGGAGTTGGAGGTTGCAGTGAGCCAAGATCACACCACTGCACTCCAGCCTGGGTGACAGAGCGAGACTCCATCTCAAAAAAAAAAAAAAAAGGAGAGAGATATAATTTATTTTTAAAAATCAAATAGAAATTCTGGCATTAACATGAAAAATTCACAAGAGGAACACCAGGAAAGGTGTGAGCAGGAAGAAGAGAGAATTGGGAAACTTGAAGATAGGCCAATTGTGGTTATCCAATCTCAGAAAGAAAAAGAATGAAGGAAAATGAACAGAGCCTCAAAGACTTGTGTGGGACACCATCAAGTGTTAATAGGCATAACTGAAGTACCAGAAAGAAGCAAGAAAAAGAAAGGGGGAAAAAAAGTACTTGAAGACATAAGGGCTCAATACTTAACAGATTTGATTAAAAACATGAATTTACACATCCACGAAGCTCAACAAACTCCAAGTGGAATAAATTCAAAATATCCACACCTAGACACTTCAAAATCAAACTGTCAAAAGCCATAGACAAAGAATCTTAAAAACAGCAAAAAAAAGTAACTCATCATATACATAGGATCCTCAAGATTAACACTGAAACACTCCAATTAAAAGACAGATATTGGCAGAATGGATTTTAAAAATCATAGAACTATATGTTCTTTGTAAGGGACAAAATGTAGATTCAAAGACAGAAACAGTCTGAAAGCAAAAGAAGGGAAAAAGATACACCATATAAACAATAACCAAAAGAGAACTGGAATAGAAATACTAATATCTGAGAAAAAATACAAATAAATTATACTATATTATGCTAATATATAACAACATTTTCCTAGAGAAAAAAAAAGGAAATTTTATAATGATAAAAGAGTCAGTCTATCAAAAAAAATTTCAAATATATATGCACCTCTCAACAGTTCCAAAATATATGAAGAAAAAAATGACAAAACTGAAAAGTTAAACAATTCAACAATAGCAGTTGAAGATTTCAATATCCCACTTTCAATGATGAATATAAAAACTAAGTAGAAGATCCACAAGGAAACAGAAGATTTGAATAACACTATAAGCCAACTAGACGTAACAGTTTCTATGGATATAGAAAACTCCACACAACACCAGCAAAATACACATCCTTTTCTTTTTTTTCTTTTTTTTTCCAAGACAGGGTCTTGCTCTGTTGCCCAGGCTGGAGTGCAGTGGCCCGATCTCGGCTCACTGCAATCTCTGCCTCCTGAGTTCAAGTGATTTTTCTGCCTCAGCCTCCTGAGTAGCTGGGATTACAGGCACCCGTCACCATGCCCAGCTAATCTTTTGTATTTTTAGTAGAGACAGTGTTTCACCATGTTGGCTAAGCTGGTCTCGAACTCCTGACCTCATGATTCACCCGCCTCAGCCTCCCAAAGTGCTGGGATTACAGGCGTGAGCCACCATACCTGGCCTACACATTCTTTTCAAATGTGCATGAATATTTCACATGATGGACCCTGTATTAGTCCAGAAAACAACTCTCTAATTTTAAGAGGACTGAAATCATACAAAGTATGTCCTCTAACCACAATGGAAGTAGAAACCAACAACAGAAGAAAATTTGGGAAATTCACAAATATGTAGAAATTAGACAAGCGATAGGTCAAAGAAGAAATAAGAGATATTAGTAGTCTTTGATATGAATGAAAACAAAACACATCATACCAAATCTTATGGGATGCAACAAAAACAGTGTTTACAGGGGAAAATTATAGCTGTAAATGCCTATATTAAAAGGTAAAAAGGATCTCAAATCAATGACCCAACCTTCCACTTTAAGAAATTAGAAAAGAAGAGCAAATTAAATCCAAAGCAAGCCAAAGAAAGAAAGTAATAAAGGTGAATAGAAATAAATGAAATGGGGGAGGAAAAAAAGTAGAAAAAAAAAATCAACAAACCCAAAAGTTAGTTCTTCAAAAAGGTCAAAAAATTGACAAAACTTTAGCTACACTGACCAAGAAAAAAATACAGAAAACTCAATTATTAAAATCAGAGATGAAAGAGGGGACATTGCATTGAACTTAGAGAAACAGAAAGGATTATAAGGGAATACTATGAACAATTGTATTCCAACAAATTAGATAACCTAGGCCGGGCACGGTGGCTCACACCTCCCAGCACTTTGGGAGGCTGAGGCGGGTGCATCACATGAAGTCAGGAGTTCCAGACCAGCCTGGCCAACATGGTGAAACCCCATCTCTACTAAAAATACAAAAATTTGCCAGGCGTGGTGGCGCATGCCTGTAATCCCAGCTACCTGGGAGGCTGAGGCAGGAAAATTGCTGGAACCCGGGAGGTGGAGGCTTCAGTGAGCCAAGATCATGCCACTACACTCCAGCCTGGGCAACAGAGCGAGACTCTGCCTCAAACACACACACACACACACACACAAACACACACACACACACACACGAAAGAGAAAGAAAGTCTAATTTGACCTATAACAAGAGATTGAATTATTAATCAAAAATCTTCCCACAAAGAAAAGTCCTGGACCAGATGGTTTTATTTGTAAATGCTACCAAACATTTGTAGAAGAATTAGCAACAATCCTTCACAAACTCTTTCAAAAAGAAACAGAAGAGAAGGGAACACTCCTAATTCATTCTATGAGGACAGTAGTGCCCTGATACCAAAGGCAGAAAAAGACATCACAAGAAAACTACATGACCAATATCCCTCATAAATATAAAAGCAAAAATTCTCAACAAAATACTAGCAAACTGAATCCAGCAACATATAAAAAAAGGTTATATTATTAACTACTCCATAGGGTTGCTGTGATAAGCGAGTTAGTAGGTGCACAGGGGCTGCACATAGGAAGTGTTCCATAAATGTTCATTTCTTCTTCCTGTTTTCTCATGAATGGATGTGCCAGGAAGTACTAGGTTCACCAATATCTGGATTCTCTCTTTTATGTATAGTTGATCTCATTACTCATGGATTCTGTATTTGTGAATTCACCTACTTGTTAAAATTTATTTGTAATTCCCAAATCAATACTCATGTTGCTTTCTTGGTCATTCATAGGCATGTGCAAAGCGATGAAAAATCTGTGTTGCCTGACAAACAACTGTCAGTGAAACAAGGCTATATTTTACCTTATTTTTTCAGTTCTCATATCATAAACAAGTATCCTTTTTGGGGATCTATTTAGTGACACACTTTTTACTTTTTTTGCTTTCTGCTGGTTATTTCACTTTTTCCCAAATGTAATGCTATAATGCTGATGTTTATAAGCACAAAAAGTCTGTGATGTGCCTTATGGAGAAAATACAGGTATTAGATAAGCTTTGTTTAGGCATGAATTATAGTGCTTTTGGCCATGAGTTCAATGTTAAGAAATCAACAATATGTATTTAAAAAATAAGATGTCTTCAAATAGACACACATAGAACAAGGTTATATATTGAATAGGTGATGAAAATGTTGTGTCCAGGGGCTTGTAGGAACCTAACCCTGTATTTCCCTTAGGAGCAATGGTTCAATATTCTCTAAGTCAGTGTTCATAACAACTTTGTAAAACATAACTACCACACATAATGAGAATTGGCTGTACATGTTCCTGCTGTGATAGATTAAAACACATGGCGACAACATTTGCAACTCCTCCATTAAGAGACTATTTCCCCATACCTTGAATCTGGGCTGTCCTGTGACTAGCCTTGACCAATAAAATATGGCAGTTTTGTGCAATTTTTGGAGCCTGGACTCAAAGGATCTAGCAGCTTTTGGCTTTGTCCTCTTGGAACACTGTCCTGAGATCATCATGTAAGGATGTGAGTTGAGACCGCCCACTGGAGGATGAGAAGCCACATGGGGAAGAACCAAGACACCCCAGCCAACAGCCAGAAACAATTGCTACACATGTGAATGAGGACATCTTGGACTTTCCAGCACAGTCAATCCTCCAACCACATAGAGCTGTATGAGTAAGCCCAGGCAAAACCAGCAAAAGAGTTGCCCAGCTGACGGATCACTTGAGGTCAGGAGTTTGAGACTAGCCTGGCCAACAGGGTGAAATCCTGTCTCTAGTAAAAATACAAAAAATTAGCCATGCGTGATGGTGGGCACCTGTAATCCCAGCTACTTGGGAAGCTGAGGCAGGATAATTGCTTGAACCCTGGAGGCAGAGGTTTCAGTGAGCCGAGATTGGGCCACTGAACTCCAGCCTGGGCGACACAGCCAGACCCTGTCTCAGAAAAAAAAAAAAAAAAAAAGAGTTGCCCAGCTGAATCATAGAACCATGAGAAGTAATAAACTGTGTTGTTTTGGGGTGGTTTGTTTTACAGGAATCAATAACTGGTATACCTACCTGCTGGGAGTTCAGTGTGGCTATGGGACTTGCTTTTGCAAATTAAATATGACACATGTCGCTTCTAAGTGGAAGCATGTAATTGCTCTTCCCCTACTGTGGCAATCAGGGAAGGGTATGTTGATAAAGAAAAGCTGTGAGATCGAATGGCATGCTAAGTCATCACGCAAGGACAGTTGCCCTGGATGGCAGCCACCCAAACCCAAAAGCAGACCAGGGTGAGCTATGAATAAACTTGTATAAATCCTAAGATTTGGGGGATGTTTTTTACTGTGGCATATCTAGCCTATTTTGACTATCAGAACTGGAGATTTTAATAAACATTTTATTTATTTATTTATTTATTTATTTATTTATTTATTTATTTATTTTGAGACAGGGTCTTGCACTGTCACCCACGCTGGAATACAGTGGTGCAATCTTGGCTCACTGCAACCTCCACCTCCCAGATTCAAGCAATTCTCCCATGTCAGCTTCCCAGGTAGCTGTGACTACAGGTGCCACCATGCCTGGCTAATTTTTGTGTTTTTAGTAGAGACAGCGTTTCACCATGTTGGCCAGGCTGGTCTGGAACTCCTGGCCTCAAATGATCTGCCTGCCTCAGCCTCCCAGAGTGCTGGGATTACAGGCATGAACCACTGCGCCTGGCCTAATAGACATTTCCTATGCTAAGCCTTTTTCCTACTCACCCAAGAATTTCTAGACCTCTCTGGAAAAAGGAAAAAAATGCTTGAATGTAGGCTGACAGGTCAATGCCAAGCTGGGTGTCTGGGATTAATTACAAATATTCATCTGCCCCTTTGAATCCATTCATTCCACATACATTTGTTAGTGTCCTTACCAGTTAATTGTACAGAAGATGCTCTTGGACCACCCTGGTGATAATCTGATAGTCCTTTGCAGAACAAAGAGGTGATCCCGAACCAGGTCAGTGGATATGCGTACAGAAAACAGAACACCAGTCAGCTGACCTTGCTGTCTTTGCTGAGCTGTGTCCCATTATCACAGTCAAGTTCACCTTACAGCTCAATTGGCATGCAACATTTTTCTCATATGTCAAATGAAATGAGAAGTAAAATGTGTCCTGAGATCTAAATGGTAGCTGATAAAAATGAAAGTTTCCTAATGATACTTCTTTAAAAATAAATAAATAAATAAGACCTAGTTACTTCTACAGACAGGGCCCTGCAAGGGGGCAGACACTAGTTAGGTTTTTACAAATTTTAATGCCTGAGATGTTTCTACACAGAATGCCCTTAGCTTAACAACACGGGACTGATTTAACACAAACAGGGAGATCCTTGCTGAGAAAATAGGCATGGACTTTGGTCTTGTTGTCAAAGATGAAAGTGCCCCTTGGCACATATAGAGACAGAAGGCAGATTTATATGTGCAACCGGACAGGGCTGAGGAGATTAAACTGTGCTTAGCAGCTTCAGTACCCATTTGGGCTCATGGTGAATGGCATTTTTGTTCCACCTTGCTGTCAGTATTCTCGGTTGCTTCAGATTGGTGTCAATCAGCATTAGAAATTACACCACTGGAAGACTCAGGTATTTCTGATTTTCCTTCTCATTCATTTTGCCAAGTGGGAATTGTTCACGAACTTTTCTGCAGAACAATAGCTCCCTTCCTATGGCTGCAGTCCAAGCCTCTGTAACAGTGTAATTCATTTTCTAGAAATGCTTGGTCCACAATTTCCATTGACTGTGGTCACAGACTTTTCCCTTCCCCAGCTACTCCTTTTTCTACAACTCTGGATTTTGTGGCTCAAAATTTGGGACACTGACAAGGACTCAACTTGAGCCAGACCAGAAGAAATGAATTTGAATCTGAATTAAAAGAGGAATGATTTAAAAGATGTGAAGGAGGACTTTTTTTCTTTTTTTTTTTTTTGATATGGAGTTTCATTCTGTCACCCAGGCTGGAGTACAGTGGTACGATCTTGGCTGACTGCAGCCTCTGCCTCCTGGGTTCAAGTAATTTTCCTGTCTCAGCCTCCCGAGTAGCTGGGATTACAGGTGCCCACCACCACATCCAGCTAATTTTTGTATTTTTAGTAGAGATGGGGTTTTATCATGTTGGCCAGGCTGGTCTCGAACTCCTGACCTTAGGTGATCTGCCTGCCTTGGCCTCCCAAAGTGCTAGGATCACAGGCGTGAGCCACGGTGCCCAGCCAGAAAGAGGACTTCTTGATAAAATTTATCTTCAGATTAGAAGATTGGTGCCTCTTCCCCAGTGAAATCTGCGGTGTGTGACCTGCATATGACCGGGAGCACTCAGCTGCTCCCTACCTTCACCTCAAGCCCAACCAGTTACCTCCCACTGCTACCCATTAGCGCCAAATGCACCTGTTAGTAACATAAATTTGACTGAGGCTTGCATGGGGAAACAGGAATGAGGAAAGGTGAATGAATGCATGTCACACAGCCACCTTCCATCCCATTCATCATCTCCTCCTCTGAAGTTCCCCTCCACAGTCTCCTTTTCTGCCTCTCCAGCCCCTGCTCACTCCACTCCCATCCCCGAGTTCCCCTCTCAAAATCTCATCAACTCACATGCCCCTCAGACAACCAGAAACCACTGAATAGCATTCACCAAAGGAAAGCCCTGTGGGTGCTGAGTGCGACCCTTATGCCCCTGGGGATGCAGGTACCCCCACCACAAGGGGACCTCCAAAACAGGAGGTCAAGTGAGGAGCTACCCTGGCCCTTTCTTCTGCTCTGAACTCTGGAGCAGGCCCTCAGCACCCCAAGGCCCCCTCAACCCAGCTTGGAAACTTGGGGTTGGGCCTCCACTGGGCTCAAGGCCTCAGGTTAGTCCCTGATGGCTGAATGGTTCTGTGACTGACTTTCTCGGTGAGTTAAACAAATTGTGTTACCGAGAACCCAAGCATCTGTCAGAAGGCAGGACACTTTCCCTGGAGATAAAAGTTCTTATGAAAACCAAGAATAAAGGGAACAGGGACAAGCCAGAAAGAATGGCAATGGTGTTGAATAGAAAGTACTTGGAACTAGAAGACACAATTTCTTGTTGCAGCTGGCCTCAGACTGGCTGTTCTGGGCCCGGAGGAAATCTCTCAGGTCTTGTGAACCTTTGCTTCTAATTTAAAAATGGAAATGCCCTTCCCACCTCACGGGGTCATTGTGAGGCTAACATGAGGTGCTGCCTAGGAAAGGAGGAGAAGGGGGATAAGGGGAAAGGGGGCTTAGCAACATGAGGGAGCCGACATGTACTTCCGTTCAGCCTGAACCTAGAGCCTCTAGGATACAGTTAGACTAGCTTTTCCCCCGCGACAAGGGTTTACGGTTCCCGACATGTTGGTACTTGTGAAGAGCTTACTCATTGTTTCAAAAGAAAGCTCCTTGTACCGTGAAATTTTTGCCCTTGCAAATCATTATAGCTAAAAAGTAGAGGTCGGGTGCGGTGGCTGACGCCTGTCATCCCAGCACTTTGGGAGGCCGAGGCAGGCAGATCACCTGAGGTCAGGAGTTCGAGACCAGCCTGGCCAACATGGTGAAACCCCGTCTCTACTAAAAATACAAAAATTAGCTGGGCGTGGTGCTAATTACTGTAATCCCAGCTACTCAAGAGGCTGAGGCAGGAGAATCACTTGAACCTGGGAGGCAGAGGTTGCAGTGAGCCAAGATTGTGCCACTGCACTCCAGCCTGGGCAACAAAGTGACACTCCATCTCAAAAAAAAAAAAAAAAAAAAGAGTAGAATCCCTGATATGCCAAAATTCTCCCTAGTATAGCTCCAAGGCTAGGTAGTTCAAGGGACAGATGAGCTTCAAGGAGCAAAAGGAGCCAGAATTGGATTTGAATTTGGGGCCAGAAAACTGGTGGAAAACTTTCTGAAAACACGGCTGAGGGTCAGAGCCCAAAAGGGGCCAAGAAAGAAGCCAAAAGTATCTCAAGAGGGCTGGTGGGTGGGGTGGCAGGAAGTAAGGGGGAATCATAATAATGGCCTCTCACTTTGTAGAGCACAGCAGAGTTTTAAAGGTGCTTGTGCATTGGTTATTTCCTTCAACTCTCACGTGAATCCCATGTTGTATTACCTTGACCCTCATGAAATTGCCATATTGGCTCAGAGAGTTAAGTGACTTTCACAAGCTCACACACAGTAAGTGTTAAGAGCGTGGCAGAGAGATGAGGTCTGGTAGTTTGTAAAGTGAAGAAGTTTGAATTTTTTCCCCCACAACTTCTCAAAGACTTTTCTTTTTACTGTCATATGTTGCTGAGTACAGACACCAGCCTAGAGAAAGAAGTTGTAAATGGCATTTGGAGGTCTGGTAGGGCTGGGGTTTCAGTGGGATGGCAAAAAGGTAACCACCTTTTTCACCCCTAACTCCCTGTTTATCACTGAACCAAACCCAGTTGATTAGCAAGTTTAGGAGCAAGTTTATCTCCTTGTAGGAAGCCTCTCTGAGCCAATATGGCAATTTCATGAGGGTCAACATAATATGTACAAAACAGGATTCTTGTGAAAATTCAAGGAAATAACCAATGCACAGCATTTTTAAAACTCTGGTGTGCTCTACGAGGTGAGAGGCTGTTATTATGATTCCCTCTCTCTTCCTGTCATCACCCCACCCACCATCCAGGCTGCTTGGCCCCACACGTCCTCCGGCCTTGGCCACTGCTACCATCGCCCCTGCACTTCACTCCTGGGAGGACACTGGGCTTCTGTATGTTTCTCTTGTGCCCAATGCCAGGCCAACCCTGAATGAGTGAGACAGGCACAAGGTGTGTCTACTCGGGGAGACAAGGCAGCAGAACCTCAGGGGTAGTAACGCTCCACAGAGAGACCCGTGATCAGTGACAGACAGGAGACAGCAAACAGCCTTCAGACATTCCTTTTCTCTCCTCTCCCACTCCGAGGTGTGATGGGTCCATGTGGCCCCATCTGTAAGGCTGCAGGGTGTATTTTCTCCCATCCCCCCCATCCAAGTACTAACCAGGTCAAACCCTGCTTAGCTTCCGAGATCAGATGAGATCAGGCATGTTCAGGGTGGTATTGCTGTGGACAGGGTGTATTTTCTTGTGAAGCTGTTCCCAGCTTGGTAATACCCCTGCCTTCCCTGCCTCAGCTCTCCTTTTCCTTCCCTCTTGCAGCCTTGGTATTGCCCCTCCCGGTTAAGCCTTAACACACAAACTTTGCCTCAAGGACTTTTTTTCCTAGAGAGTCTAGGTTAAGACAATCACTTTGACCCAAATTCCCATTTCCTACCCACTCTGTGGAAAGCTCTGTCATCTTCATGAGCATGAAGTCTTTGGACTCAAAGCACAGGACCCCGTCCCTTGGTGAGGCCTGCAGCCACAGAGAGGACTGATGGATGACATTTGCAAGAATGCCATTCTGTGCAAAGCTACCAGACGGTTTGGCTAAAGATGGAGGCAGGAGAAGAAAAATTTCTCAGGTGAAGTTCTCTGGGTAAAATGGTTTTCTCAGGCCCAGGTGTTGTGAGCAGGCACCCCAAAATCTGGCCATAAACTGGCCCCAAAACTGGCCATAAATAGAATCTCTGCAGCACTATGACATGTTCCTGATGGCCATAATGCCCACGCTGGAAGATTGTGGGTTTAAGGGAATGAGGGCAAGGAATACCTGGCCTGCTCAGGGCGGAAAACCGCTTAAAGGCATTCTTAAGCCACAAACAATAGCATGAGTGATCTGTGTCTTAAGGACATACTCCTGCTGCAGTTAATTAGCCCAACTTATTCCTTTAATTTGGCCCAACCCTTCATTTCCCATAAGGGATATTTTTAGTTAATTTAATGTCTATAGAAACAGTGCTAATTACTGGCTTGCTGTTAATAAATACGTGGGTAAATCTCTGTTTGGGGCTCTCAGCTCTGAAGGCTGTGAGACCCCTGATTTCCCACTTCACACCTCTATATTTCTGTGTGTGTGTGTCTTTAATTCCTCTAGTGCTGCTGGGTTAGGGTCTCCCCAACTGAGCTGGTCTCAGCAAGTGGCGTCCATTCGTGGGAGCTTGAATCCAGGTCGAAGGGTCACCGGAGCAATGGTTGGAATGGAAAACTAGCTGGAGGACACCCGAGTACTCTAAAAGCAATCCCCATGGTGAGTAAGAAGGGGAGCTCGGAAGTGTCAGGGTAACAATGGGACAAGTGTGGGCTGTGGTTTGTTCCACCTTGGAACTTTTTCACACTGATAATGAGGAGGAAGGACTGTATAACGAAGTAACAGAAGAGGTTACAGACCAGGTTTATTTGCCAGCTAAATCTAAAGCGGCAAAGGAGGGAGAGGTCCATCCCTACCCTTCTGCACCCCCTCATTATTATTTTGAAGAAAAAGACACTCCAGATCTTTCTTTTCCGGAGGACACTGGACGAAAAGTAGTTGCCCCAGTGACTGTTTGAGCAGCACCTTGAGCGACCACTCTTAGTTCTATTCAGGCAGGAATTCAGCAAGCTAGACGAGAGGGTGATATAGAGGCTTGGCAGTTCCCTGTTAGAATATACCTCCACTGATCAACAGGGAAGTATTATAGCTACATTTGAGCCTTTTCCTTTTAAATTCGAGAAAGCACATTTAGTTGATTATATCAAGGCCTGTGATGGTATCGGAGGTAATCTGCATAAAGCTACTTTGTTGGCACAGGCAATGGCAGGACTGAGAGTGGATAAAGGAAATACTCCATTTCCTGGAGCTTGTTTTAACTGTGGGAAGCATGGTCATACTAAAAAAGAATGTAGAAAAAAATCAGTGAGTCAGGCCACCAGATAGGGGAAAAAAGAAAACTGCTGAGCCTGAAATATGTCCAAAAGGTGAAAAAGGAAAACATTGGGCTAATCAGTGTCACTCTAAGTTTGATAAAGAAGGGAACCCGATTTCAGGAAATGCCACAAGGGGCCCGTCCCGGGCCCTGTTCTAAACCGGGGCACTTCCAGCTCAGGCCATTCCCTCACCCCTGTACAATGTCTGTCCCCTGTCACAGCCAATAGTGCTGCAGTAGATTTATGCCGCACAAAAGCTGTGAGCCTTCTGCCTGGGGAACACCCACAAAAGGTCCCAACAGGAGTCTGTGGACCCTTGCCAGTGGGGACAATAGGATTACTTTTAGGAAGGCCTAGTTTAAGTTTAAAAGGGGTACAAATACATACAGGAGTCATTGATTCAGATTACAATGGGGAAATTCAAATTGTCGTATCTACTTCTGTTCCCTGGAAAGCAGAGCCAGGAGGAGAGCGCATAGAATAGCTCCTCATTGTGCCGTATGTGGGAATGGGAAAAAGTGAAATTAAATGAACAGGAGGATTTGGAAGCACAGAAAAACAAGGCAAAGCAGCTTATTGGGTAAATCAAATTACTGATAAATGCCCTACCTGTGAAATAACTATTCAGGGAAAGAAATTTAAAGGTTTTGTAGATACAGGAGCAGATATTTCAATCATTTCTCTATAGCACTGGCCATCCACGTGGCCAATTCAACCCACTCAATTTAACATAGTTAGAGTTGATAAAGCCCCTGAAGTATATCAAAGTAGTTATATTTTGCATTGTGAAGGGCAAAATATACGTGATGGACAACCTGTGACTATTCAACCAATTATAACTTCTGTACCTATAAATTTATGGGGAAGAGATTTATTGCAACAATGGGGAGCACAAGTTCTAATTCCAGAACAATTATATAGCCCTCAAAGTCAACATACAATGCATGAAATGTGGCATGTCCCTGGTATGGGACTAGAAAAAAGTTGCAAGGTTTGAAAGAACCGCTTCAAGCAGAAAGACAAAATTCCCGCCAAAGATTAGGATATCATTTTGATGGCAGCCATTGTTAAGCCTCCAGAACCTATACCTTTAAGATGGATAACAGATAAGCCAATTTGGATAGAACAATGGCCACTAAGTAAAGAGAAACTGGAGGCTTTAGAGAAATTAGTTGCTGAACAATTAGAAAATGGGCACATAGGTCCAACATTTTCCCCTTGGAATTCTCCAGTTTTCATAATTAATAAAAAATCAGGTAAATGGAGAATGTTAAATGACTTAAGAGCCATCAATTCAGTTATACAACCTATGGGAGCATTACAGCCAGGATTGCCTTCTCCTGCTATAATTCCAAAAAACTGGCCTTTAATAGTCATAGATTTAAAAGACTGTTTCTTTACTATCCCTTTAGCTAAGCAAGACTGTAAACGGTTTGCATTTACAATTCCTGCAGTAAACAACCTGCAGCCTGCTAAGCGTTATCATTGGAAAGTGTTGCCACAGGGCATGTCAAACAGCCCAACAATTTGCCAGACGTATGTGGGGCAAGCAATTGAACCTACGCGTAAAAAATTTTCACAGTGTTACATTATTCACTATATGGATGATATACTTCGTGCTGCCCCCACTTGAGAAATATTACTCCAATGTTATGATCACTTGCAAAATTCAATTTCTCACGCTGATTTAATTATAGCTCCTGACAAAATGCAGACTACTCCTCCCTACTCCTACTTCGGGACCTTAGTAAATGACACTACTATTGTGCCACAGAAAGTAACCATATGTAAGGATCAACTAAAAACATTAGACTTTCAAAAATTACTAGGGGATATTAATTAGATATGACCTGCTCTAGGCATTCCTACCTATGCCATGAGTAATCTGTTTTCTATCCTTAGAGGAAATCCTAGTCTCACTAGCCCTCAGCAGATTAACAAAGGAGGCGGAGGCAGAGTTACAACTGATTGAGAAGCAAGTCCATAAAGCTCAAATAGATAGAATAGATCCAGAGAAGACTCTAGATTTGCTCATTTTTTCAACTCAGCATTCACTTACTGGTTTTATTGTCCAAGAACAGGACTTAGTAGAGTGGCTTTTTCTTCCACATACTACTTCACAGACTCTAACTCCTTATTTAGATCAAATCGCTACTATGATAGGGATTGGGAGAACTTGGATTGTTAAATTACATGGATATGATCCTGGAAAAGTTATTGTCCCTCTCAGGAAGGCACAAATACAGTAAGCTTTTATAAATAGTCTTACTTGGCAAACCCATTTAGCTGACTTTGTGGGTATTCTTGATAATCATTTTCCTAAAACGAAGTTGTTTCAGTTTTTGAAATTAACTAATTGGATTCTCCCTAAAGTAACTAAATTTAAACCAATTGAAGGTGCTGAGAATGTTTTTACAGATGGGTCTAGTAATGGTAAAGCTTCTTATTCTGGCTCAAAAAGTAAAGTTTTTCAGACGCCCTATACTTCAGCTCAAAAAGCGGGGCTTGTAGCTGTAATTGAGGTATTGACTGCTTTTGATATGCCTATTAATGTGATTTCTGAATCTTCATACATGGTTCACTCCACAGAGTTAATTGAAAATTCTGTTATGATTTCATGCAGATGAACAACTGATGACTTTATTTACCCAATTGCAAATAGCAGTTAGGAGTAGAATGTACCCTTTTTACATCACTCACATTAGGGCTCTTACACCTCTTCCAGGACCTTTGACTGAAGGGAATCAAATGGCTGATCACGTAGTTGCTACTGCGATATCCAATGCTAGACACTTTCACAATTTAACCTGTGTTAATGCCTCTGGTCTCAAATGCAGATACAGCATTACCTGGAAAAAAGCTAAAGCTATTGTCCAGCAATGCCCAACTTGCCAAATGGTACATTCCTCATCTTTTACAGGAGGAGTTAACCCTTGAGGACTGGAACCTAATTCTATTTGGCAAATGGATGTCACACATGTTCCCTCATTTGGGAGACTAGCTTATGTACATGTATGTGTGGACACCTTTTCTCACTTTGTCTGGGCTACATGCCAAACAGGAGAGTCTTCTGCCTGTGTTAAACATCGTGTTTTGCAGTGATGGGCATTCCGGCTTCTGTTAAAACAGATAATGCCCCAGGCTATACTAGCCAAGCTCTAGCTACATTTTTCTCTATGTGGAATATTAAACACATTACTGGTATCCCATACAATTCTCAAGGACAAGCCATAGTGGAAAGAATGAATCTCTCCCTAAAACAGCAGTTGCAAAAGCAGAAAGGGAGAGACAGAGAATATGGAACCCCACAAATGCAACTGAACCTAGCATTATTAATTTTAAATTTTTTGAGCCTGCCCAAAGGCCAGATGTTATCAGCAGCTGAACAGCATCTACAGAAACCAGCTGCAAAGACAGAAACAGAACAACTGATTTGGTGGAGAGATCCGATAACAAAAAGTGGGAAATAGGTAAAATAATAATTTGGGGTAGAGGTTATGCTTGTATTTCTCCAGGCCAAAATCAACAGCCAATTTGGATACCATCAAGACACCTGAAACCTTATCATGAGCCAGATGCCAAGGAAGAGATTCGGGAGGATCCTGAGGACCCCCCGGTTGCAGCCATGTTGAGACTGATGCTGAGGAGGACCCCAACTGTCACGAGCAACACCCGTCGACCACAGCCACCCACCTGGGGACAGATCAAGAAGCTGTCACAGATGGCGGAGGAAAGCGGAACAACCAGTCACAATGAATAATTTAATGGTAGCTATGATAGTGGTTATCACCACTGCCGTGAGTATTCCTACAATAAGGGCTGGTAATAACGCCTGGATGCAATCACTCTATGACACAGTTACATATGCTTTCTGATCTCAGTATTTACCATAATAAATCTGCTCCTATAATTGAGGCATACCACCCTTAAAAACCTATTTGTAAACAGGATTGGACCCAGTTAGAAAAAATGAACACAATTGTTTAGGAAGATTGCCTTGCAGAACAGGCAGAGATGCTGCACAACGATTCCTATGGAATCATTATTAATTGGTCCCCTAAGGGGATGTTTAGCTTGAATTGCACCTCTCAGTCTGCGTGCCACAGTCACACTATGTTTAGATGATCTGAACAAAACAGTCAGATGGTAGAAATGTTAAGAAGTACGGCAAAAGTTCCTATTATGTGGAACCATGGCGGTATAGTGGCACCTCAACCTCAAATGATATGGCCTGCTCTAGGAGCTAAACATAAGGATTTGCGGAAACTATTAAATGCTCTTAATAAGATCAAAATTTGGGAAAGAATAAAAAAGCATCTAGAAGGACACTCTACAAAATTGTTTTTGGATATAGCAAAATTAAAAGAACAAATATTTAAAGCATCCCAGGCACACCTGACCTTAATGCCAGGAACTGAAGTGCTTAAAGGAGCTGCAGACAAATTAGCAGCTAGTAACCCATTAAAATGGATAAAAACACTTGGAAGCTCTGTGATTTCAATGATGACTGTGCTTTTAATCTATGTTGTTTGTCTTTGTATAGTCTGCAGATATGGATCCTGACTCCTGCAAGAAATAGCTCACCGTGACAAAGCTGCCCTTGCTTTTATCGATTTGCAAATCAAAGAAGGGGGACATGTTGGGAGCAGGCCCCCCCCCCCAAAATCTGGCCATAATCTCTGCAGCACTATGACATGTTCATGACGGCCATAATGCCCACACTGGAAGATTGTGGGTTTATGGGAATGAGGGCAAGGAACACCTGGCCCACCCAGGGCGGAAAACTGCTTAAAGGCATTCTTAAGCCACAAACAATAGCATGAACGATCTGTGCCTTAAGGACATACTCCTGCTGCAGTTAACTAGCCCAACCTATTCCTTTAATTCAGCCCATCCCTTCTTTTCCCATAAGGGATACTTCTAGTTAATTTAATATCTATAGAAACAATGCTAATGACTGGCTTGCTGTTAATAAATACGTGGGTAAATCTCTGTTTGGGGCTCTCAGCTCTGAAGGCTGTGAGACCCCTGATTTCCCACTTCACACCTCTATATTTCTGTGTGTGTCTTTAATTCCTCTAGCGCCGCTGGTTTAGGGTCTCCCTGACTGAGCTGGTCTCGGCACCCAGGGGTGCTACTCACAATGACATGGACTTCTTTAATACAAAAGGGACAACTTTGTAAGATAATAGCAATTTCAAATCAAAATCTCTAAAAGTAGGGAGCCATTTATATCCAGAAATTATTCACATCTATAAAAAGATTAATGCTACCCCTACTTAATAACAAATAGATAAAAAAGAAAAATAACTTCTACATGGTACATGACAGTCCATTGTGTAAATCATTTTAAAAGAAGAAGAGGCCAGGTGCCTCTCTTCCACCCACCACACCTCAGAGCAGGAGAGGAAGGAAAAGGAATTTGTCTGCTGGCTCTTTGCTGTCTCCTGGGCAAAGTCTCCTAGCACTCCCAAAGTGCTAAGATTACAGGTGTGAGCATCGCTTGAGCCCAGGAGTTCAAGAACAGCCAGGACAACATGGTGAAACCCCATCTCCACAAAAAATACAAAAATTAGCCAGGAGTGGTGGTGTGTGCCTGTAGTCCTAGCTACTCGGGAAGACCTCCACTTGAGCCTGGAAGGTTGAGGCTGCAGTGATCCGTGATCACACCACTGCACTCCAGCCTGGGTGACGGAGTGACAGTGAGATTCTGTATCCAAAAACAAAACAAAACAAAACAAAACAAAACAAAACAAACAAACAAAAAACCCGCAAGAAGAAGAAGAAAAATGTCCATGTGGAGTCCAGGCATTTTTAAATTCCCTAAATGGGAGGGCTCTGGAAATGTCAGGTGTAGTTACCACTAAATGGGTTTGGGGTTTAAAAGGCAACCCTTTGGGATCAGCCATCATTTCCACTCTCTGTCCTCCTCCAGGAAAATCTGTCACACCTGACATTTGGTAACTTTATCAGCTGGGGCCATGGACAGGCTGTGTTTGGGACTAGGGTGCATCTATAACCTGAGCATTCCCAGGGAGTGGCCCTGGCTTGTCCCCAGGCTGAGAGCTGCTATCAGGTGAGCAGGGCCAGCTGGTGCCAGCAGGAGGAGAGGGAGCCCAGGACCTCTCCCCTACATGTGTGAAGAGCTGCAGATCCCGTGGATGCCAGCTCCCAGAAAAGCAGGTGCTGGTCAGGAGGCCGCCCTGGCGGCAGCCTCTTCCCTGCCCTCCTCCTTTTCTCCCCACCCAGCCAGGGCCCATCCTTGCTCCCTGTTCTCTCCCTGGAATCCAGTTTCTCTTCCTCTCTATGGTGGTGCCTGCTTCAGTCAGGCCTTTGCCAACTCTCACCCACAATCCAAGCTCCATACTGATCTGGCCACCAGCTTAGCTTTTCTCTAGTCCAGTGTTTGATAAGGTCTGCCAACTGTCAGAATCATGAGGTGAGGGGGCAAGTACACATGCTTAAAATGCAAATTCTCAGGCCCTGCCCTGGCCTAGTGAATGAGAATTTCCAGGTAGGGCACAGCAACCTTTACCTCCAACCAGCTGTCTAGGAGATTCTGCTGCAGGCTAATCATTCTCTCCTTGGCTGCCATCTAATTTTATGTAAACACAGATTGGCTCATATCACCCCCTTGCTTTAGGTAGCTGGGGTGGGGATGGGAGGGGTTCGTGTGTCTAGATGTGCCAGACGAACTGGTGGGATTGAGCCACCCAAAGTCTCTTTACTGAGAGCCGGAGATGCTGCCTGACCTGAGAAAGAACTTGTCTTAAGAGACAGGGCGGGCTGGACCTCATGAGGAGGATCAGCCCCAGGAAAGGCCAGTGCTTGGCATTAACTTGGCCCTTGGTTAATAGAGCCAAACAGATACCTGGCCCTAATTTACTATGCCTAAGGACAGAGGGAGTTGTAAGTAAAATCTGGATGTACGATTGCACTAAACATTGCTTAATGCACTCACGCACACCCATGCACTCACATGCAGCAGCACTTTTTAGAGGCCCCTGTAGGAGAGCATTTCTCCCACTTCCACACAGGGTGACTCTGGCCCCCTGAGGACTCTGTGTGTTGGGATGTCTGGCTGGAGAAGGTGAAGACCAGTGCAAAAGGGCAGCAATGCCTGCCAAGGGACACCAGGACCTCACCACTTTAAAATGAAGGCTTTCTCCCCTCCATAGTTAACCCCTACCTGTCGTTTTAGATTCATCAACCCCCTCCCCAAGCAGGCACCCTGATTTCCAGTCATTCCAACCCAAACAATTCCCCTCTGTCCCCTGCACGGGATTAGGCTGCAAACTTCAGTGGCAGGACAATTCGTGGTTGAGGAACTTAAACCCTTATGGGGAAAAACAGACAGTTGGGAGTTGAGACAACAGAGAAGCTAGAAAAACTTCTGTAAATACTCATATAACCAGGACACCACATAGAATACACCACAGAATAAAGACAACGTTTGTGATATTTGCTCATCTTTATTAATTTCCATTAGAATTTGTAGACAATGGAATCTTCCTTCCCTGTATTTTAAAGGAAATGCTTGTCAATGGATTTTGCTTTGCCCCCTATATTATAAACATGAGGGTACTGTCCTTGATTTTTTTAAACTCAGAATGGTTAGCTGTTGTCCTGTTCACAGGCCCCACAGCTGCAATGTCGCCTGGGGAAATGGTAACTTGGATGTTTGCACAGAAAACATGGAGTTGTCCTTTTGCCAGAGGCACAGAGTCCTTACTGCTTCTGATCTTTGGGCCAAAGCTGGCACCATCTCTGCTTCCCCCCTCTCTGATCCCACCACAGTTAGTTCCAAGGCCAGGGTCAGCTCCCTGTAACTTCCACAGAAGCATCTTACGGACAAGACTTCAGCCTGTACTCATCTCTGTGGAAGGAGGCGGATGCCACGACTGGCCACTCTTTTCACTCACCTTATTATCATCTTCCTATAATCTGGTCCCCACAGAGTAGTCACAGTAATAATTGGAAAGTATAAATCAGTCTTATCATGTCCCTACTTAAGATCTTCCAATGACTTCCCATTCTCCTTGGAAGAGAATCCAAGCATTTGGCCATGCCTAAAAGGCCCACATGGCCTGACCTCTGTGACTTCTTCATCTTCCTCTCCCACTTTTCTTCCTCTTCTCCAGCTCAGCGATACTGGCACCCTCTTGCTCCTCATCCAGCACATCAGGGTCCTTCCTGCCCCAGGGCCTTTGTACTTGCTCCGTCTGGAGTGTCCTACCCCCGCCCCCGGTGCTTCCCATCGCTGGCTCCTTCGCTGCTCAGATGTCCTGACCTCAGAGAGGCCTTCCCTAACCACCTCTTTAAACAGCCCCTTTTCTTCTCTCACACTTAAATCTCTTTACCTTGCTTTATTTTCTCAGCGCAAATCGCCATGTGCAACTCTTTCAATTATTTATCTATGTGTTTACAGACTGTCTCCTCTGACTAGAATGTCAGCTGCAAGAGGCCAGGAACCTGCTCTCCTTGTTCATGGGTGTGTCCCCAGGACCTAGCCCAGTGCCTGGCACATAATTAGCACTCAAAAAGTGCATACTGTGAACAAATGTATCCAGACCTTAAGGTGAGGTGGCTTAGGAAGGCTGGGCCTTGGAAGTGGCACATCCACCTGGAGGCACTTGGATCTACGACATGACCAGAACTTGTGGCTTGGACAGGTGAGCAACACTTCCTGGTGAAGGTGCAGGCAGTAGCCACCACAGTGGGGGCTCTCTTCTGTCACCTTTCCGATCTCTTGTCTCCTTCCAATCCATATCTGACGCCCATTCCCCACCTTTCTCAGAATACTTTCTCATTCAAACCTATTTTCTTTACCTTATTGGTTTTATGATGTTGTTCATATAAATTAGAATATGCCATTACTTGCAGTTGGGAAAGCTACTAGATCCTAAACTGCCTTCTAATACAGAGGTAGTCACCTTCAATATTGTCAAAAGTTACAGGCACTTTTCTTTTTGACTATTTATGAGCCTTGTACAATTACTAGTTAGATGAGTTTACCGTAAAATATCTTTAAAAGGATAAAATATACTTATATGATTCCTTTATGAAACAGCTCACAAATCATGTAAAAATGGGCTGTTCAAAGGAAAATAAGCTGGCACTTAGATCCTTAACCAATTTTCTTTTGTGTTTGCATACATGTCTGTCTACAATATTATAAATTTCACTCAATTGCCCTTCCGCAACATCAGATTCTTAATTAAATGAACACCACTGCTACAATTCTCTGAAAAATAAAACAGCATTTCCACATGAATTAGAAATGACAACTTGTTAATTGCGTCCCTGAGGTTTTGTTACAAAATCATCACTCTTTTTGTCATTGTTCAGGCATAAAAAGACCATGCTACAATCTGGAAATAAGAATGTTCTTCAGGCAATTGATTCTCAAGTGTGGACTCAATATTCCATAAGACGGCTTTCCCCCTTATTCCTATTATAATACATGACAACAGTTAATTGCGTAGAAACGTTTTTCGTATTGTTTTATTTTATTGAAATTCACCAAATTCAGATGAGCTGGAAGAGGAAGCTGGCCTGAACTTATTAGAGAATTTACATTAAAAAATACTAGGTGGTAAACTTCTTAAAGGCAGACAGCCTGTTGTACTTGTCTTTGCTTTCCTAGCATTTAGCTAGGTAATTCAGGCAAGGCACTTGGAGGCCTTCATTTTCCTCCTCTATAAAATGGTCATAATCCTAGGCCTGTGGTGAAGACTAAATACTTGGAACTGAGGAACTAGCATGTAATAAACACCTAACAAATGTTACCGACTTAAAACGACTCAGTAATTATTAGTATCTGCCACCTAGGCTGAAGGGCAGTGGCACGATCATGGCTCACTGCAACCTCTGCCTCCCAGGTTCAAGCGATTCTCCTGCCTCAGCCTCCTAAGCAGTTGGGATTACAGGCGCATGCCACCATGCCCAGCTAATTTTTGTATTTTTAGTAGAGACAGGGTTTCACCATGTTGGCCAGGCTGGTCTCGAACTCCTGACCTCAGGTAATCCACCCACCTTGGCCTCCCAAAGTTCTGCAATTACAGGCATGAGCCACCACACCTGGCCTTCAACAACTTAAAATGCTCCCCAAGTCTTTCCAAGAAGAGATCCTTTTCCAAGAAGAGATCATTCTTCAAAGAATGAATGATTCATTTATAATTCACAACCCCACTTGCATACCAACAATTATTCTGGTTAAGCCCTTTAAAGAGCTGATTTCTTAATTAAACCTAACATTCCCTTTGCACTTTCGTTTGTCCTTTGAATTTTTTTAGTAAATCTTTTCTTTTAAGCAGTGTAGACAAGTGCTCCAGTCTAGCCTAACCATGTACATTTGCCCATATATTAAATGAATGGCATCTAAAAGAATGATGCTATGCTGTGTTTTACGTAATAGAACAATACCAAGAATGGTCACCACAAATAATGCACACTCGTTTTTGAGGAGGAAACTTGGTATATTCAGTTTGATGTCAGCTGCCTTCCTCTTCTAATCACCCCCCTTTGCCTTATACTCCCTTTTTAAATTAATGCATTGTTGGAACGGAGTCTTTGAAATCATTACAGGGACCTGCAGTTTGCACTTTTTCATAATTTATTTAGAAAGACCTCATGGTTTTGTTTTTAAGCTTAGGTAGGCATTTCATTATTTTGGTGACTTGTTTCTTGGCACCACATAGGTGACAGCAAGATGAGAATTAAACAGGGCTTTGAGGGATTGAATGGGCCAAGACATACCCAGGCTGCCTTGAACATGTGTGAGGCCTGGAACAAGAGATCCAACAGAAGCCCACATTCCTTATGCTGGGAGGCATCTCCTCACACCTGCCACTCCAGCCAGGTAACCTCTGCCCACCAGGTGTCTCCAGCACTGCCAACGTCTGCTGGCATTACCTTTTACATCCTGCAGAGGAACATGAGGCTGGGGAGTCCAGTTCAAATGAAGAATTTGTGGCCTCTCTGGAACTCTACACTAAATGTGGTGGCACGAGGTGATAGTCCCTGGTGCCCAGTCTATAGCCCAGCCCACTTCTCTTCCCACCAGGCTCCGGTGCCATGAAAGTTCTTCCATACAGGCATGTGGACACCCCAGCTCCACAGCGGAGCTCTGTCAGAGCCTCTGCAAATAGCTGCACCTTGGCCATTCCATAGAAAAAGGAGTGTGCACAATGCTGTGGTTTGAATGTCTGTATCCCTCCAAAACTCATGCTGAAACTGAATCCCCAGTGCAACAGTAATAAGAGATGGGGTGTTTAGGGAGTGATTAGCACCTTATAAAAGGGATTGATGGAGTGAGTTTGGACACTTTCTGCCCTTCTGTCTTTTCTGTCATTCGAGAACATACGTTCATCCCTTTTGGAAGATCCAGCAATGAGGCACCATTTTGGTTTTTTGTTTGTCTTTTGAGACAGAGTCTCGCTCTATCACTCAGGCTGGAGTGCAGTGGTGCAATCTCGGCTCACTGCAAATTCTGCCTCCTGGGTTCAAGCAATTCTCTTGCCTCAGCCTCCCAAGTAGCTGGAATTACAGGCATGCATCACCATGCCTGGCTAATTTTTTGTATTTTTAGTAGGGATGGGGTTTTCACCATGTTGGCCAGGCTGGTCTTAACCTCCTGACCTCAGGTGATCTGCCCGCCTTGGCCTCCCAAAGTGCTGGGATTATAGGTATGAGCCATCACGCCCAGCCCCAAGGCACCATTTTGGAAGCAGAGAGCAGCCCTCGCCAGACACCAAACCAGCTGGTGCCTTGATCTTGGATTTCCCAGCCTCCAGAACTGTGAGAAATAAATGTCTATTGTTTATACATTTTTCAGTCTCAGGTATTGTTATAGCAGCAGGACTAAGATACCATTCCATGGAAATACAGGTGTGCACACCGACAACACAGTCCACTCAAGGAGGACAAACCCAGTAAGTGACTTATGAAGCCCTAGCTACCCAAAGAATGTTCTAGAAGGATGGCCTATGGGCTTGGCCCTTGAAAGTAATGTCCCAAGGCTGGGATTCCTCTTACCTGGGTCTAAAGGCAACGCCCACTAGGTCTGTTCATTCTTCTCATTGAAAAAGCAGCTCCTGCCCCCAATCTGTGTGTTGAAGAAGGGAGTGCAGTCAAATGTAAGAGGGTAGGTTATTTAAAACACTATGGTATATTCTCTACATTAGAAAAACCTCAGATGGGCTGGGTGTGGTGGCTCACGCCTATAATCCCAGCACTTTGGGAGGCCGAGGTGGGTGGATCATTTGAGGTCAGGAATTCAAGACCAGCCTGGCCAATAGGGTGAGACCTGGTCTCTACTAAAAATACAAAAATTAGCTGGGCATGGTGGCACGCGCCTGTAGTCCCAGCTACTCAGGAGGCTGAGGTAGGAGAATTGCTTGATCCAGGGAAGCGGAGGTTGTAGTGAGCTGAGATCATACCATTAGACTCCAGCCTGGGCATCGCAGCGAGACTCCATTGCCAAAAAAAAAAAAAAAAAAAGAAAAATCTCAGATGACATCAGCGAACAGAGAGAGCTGAGATTCTAGTGTTGCTTGTGAGCTTCCCCAGAGGAGGTCGAACCGAAACCAGGTCTCAAATGCAGTAGGGATATCCATCTGCTGTTTTTTAAAAATATTTTTTAAAGTATATTTTTAAAATACAGATAGGGTCTCACTTTGTTCCTCAGGCTGCTGTCAAACTCCTGGCCTCAAGCAATCCTCCGGCCTCCTCCTCCCAAACTGCTGCCATTACAGGGATGAGCCACTGCGCCCAGCCCATTGTAGTTTTTATTAGAATTTATGATAAACTTTTCATTTCATGGCATTGTCAATTATATCAGGTATTTTCTTGGTCATTTTTTATTTTTTTTGTCTGGAAAGCTGCTCTGGGGAGACCTCAGTTTTCTGCCCACCTCCTCTGTGTGTGGCCCTCAAACTAAAGACAAGCCCCTTAAGGATCACCACTCCCATGCCTTGCCCCTACCACGGGTACCTCAACCGCTTCTAAAATTTTTAGATCATCTCTGCTATATTCAACGGCCATGGAAGTTTCAAAAGTTTCCAAAGCAAAATGTTTTGTCTGAAACAAGCTGCTTTGGATTTTGTCTACATGATACAGGCACCTTCCTCTGGGCCCCATAATTGTCTCCTCTGTCACTTGCTTGGTGTTATGACATGTAACAAATCAGAGTGGGAAGGTCTTAGTTTTCTCTTTGTCAGCATTCTGGGATGCCCTGGTGGTAACAGGAAATGCACCCACAGCTCCATGCAGCTCTCTTGTAGGTGCTTTTCTTACCTGTGGGCCAGATCCTGTCCTATGTAATGTTGATGTTTGTAGAGTTTATTTTTTGGTTTAGGGCATGAAATGATAATCGGCTTAAGCAGCACCAGAATTGAAGCAGAGAAGGTGAGGACACAGATTTCTTGGCCCTTTGACGAACAAACTGAAGATCACTGTTCAGTCTTCCCAACTGCAGAAGCTGTGATGTGGCGGAAAGAGCTGGAACCGTGCAGCTGGGCTTGCTCCCCCATGTCCCTCGTCCATCCTTCGTGGCCCACTCACTTGCCAAGAGCTGTTGATGTTGAAGCACCCAGGATATCCAGGAGGCAGCACCACATTCAGCAGGGCATTGTGACTTGGGGCCAAGTCTTTCAGCCTCCCTCAATCTCACTTTCTTTACTTGCAAATAGCAATACCACAGACCCCTCACAGGGATCATGGGAAGGTTAAAGAAGTGGAACTGGTTCAGCTGGAGCTTAGTAAGTAGTCAAAATCAACCTTCAAGAGTCCGTGTCCTGGAGCTCAGCAGCTGTCCTGGGCCTGGAAGACGGGGTGTGCTTCTGCTCTGTCTCCTTCTGTGGTTCTGGGGTGGGGGATCTGCATAGCCTGTGGGGTCCCCAGAGAGCCTGGGGCTGCTGCAGAGCAAGTTCTCTGTTGTTGGCAAATAAAGCCATAGCAGAGATGACTCCAGCAAGTTGAGCACCCTCTGAACAAAGAAGGAAATGTATTATCTCTTTCCTGAGGCCTATTCATATTGGAAAAAACACTACCAGATTTAACTTCAAAATATAATTTTTCCAGCACAGCTGGAATGCACCCCCCGGCCATCCAGAGGCTTCTAAATGCATTGGGAGCTCAGTTACGACGCTCACCAAGTTGTCTCATCTCGCCTGGAACCCACTGGCCCTCACAGAGTTGAGAGAATATTCATTTTCTTGAACTCTTATGAACGACAGTTTCTCGCTTGCCATGATTCTGTGGAACTGGGCATCCGGCATCTCAGAGATGGGAAGTCGGAGAAATTCTGAGCATAGGCTGTATTTGCTGAGAAGATAAAGAGACTACTTTCCATTTCTCACTTCTCTCTCAAAGCGCAAAAACAACGGGCCTGTCTGGCCTAGTCACTGCTTTCTGTCTCTGAAGTGTTCCAGGCGCCAGAACCAGCCTTCCTCCTTATTAACGTTCCATGATGATTCCTTCCAGGTGCTGGGGATCCAGCCCGTGGGGTTATTAGAGGGCAGACACCAACAGGGAAGGTGTTGTTGACTCACCCTCACAAATATCATTCCTTACATTGTCAGGGCAATTACAAAACACGACTTTAAAAATACTATAATAAAATATCCAACTGAAGACTTTCAGTATAATTAATCCGCCAACCTTATATTTTGAGAAGGTTGAGAGCCGTGAGGGAAAATAAACCCTAGAGAAATACATTGTTTTTAAGTTCTTTCAATAAAGACATGTAGGCATTTTCTAATGTTTTTCCCAAAAAGAAAGAACATCTACTCCTCTAATTCCACAAGAGATATAAAGAATTAAAGAAATTGTGATTAACAGCCCTGTGTCTGGAGCTCATGAAGCTCAGAGGATTGGGAATGGAAGTGGCAGGTTTAGGCTTGAATCAGAACTTCTGGATTTAGGAAAACAAAACAGGCCAGGCGCGGTGGCTCACACCTGTAATCCCAGCACTCTGGGAGGCCAAGGCGGGCAGATCAGGAGCTTGAGACCAGCCTGCCCAACGTGAGAAACCCTGTCTCTACTAAGAATAAAAAATTTAGCCAGGCATGGTGGTGGCACGCCTGTTAATCCCCGCTACTTGGGAGATTGAGGCAGGAGAATCGCTTGAACCTGGGAAGCAGAGGTTGCAGTGAGTCGAGATGGCGCCACTGCACTCCAGCCTGGGCCACAGAGCGAGACTCCGTCTCAAACAAACAAACGACAACAACAAAATGCAAACTCTGGCCAGGCGCGGTGGCTCATGCCTGTAATCCCAGCACGTTGGGAGGCCAAGGTGGGCGTATCACTTGAGGTCAGGAGTTCAAGACCAGCCTGGCGAACATGGTGAAACCCCATCTCTACTAAAAATACAAAAATTAGCCAGGTGTGGTGTCATGCACCTGTAGTCCCAGCTACTCAGAAGGCTGAGGCAGGATAATCGCTTGAACCTGGAAGACAGGTTGCGGTGAGCACAGATCGCGCCACTGCACCCCAACCTGAGCGACAGAACAAGACTTCATAAAAAAAAAAAAAACCCCACGCAGATTGCAGATTCCTGGGCCCCATCTTCGCCTTTCTGAATTGCAGCCTTTCACCCTTTAAGAATGAGAGGGTGAAATCTGCACGTCATACAAATAGCCCAGGGGCTATTAATCTGATGTTGCTCCCCAGCTCCCTCCAACACCGTCAGAGGGTGCACGGATTAGGCCTCTGCTGCGTGCAGAGAAGCATCCTAGGTGCTGCGTGGCTGTGCCAAAGCAGCAGAAACCGGTGGTGTGCCTTAAGATGCATGCTCCAAAGCTGTCCACAAGGCCTCTGGTACAGGCTTCCAGGTCTACGTCTCGGCTTCCCCGACAGTGTCCATGCGACACTGTCACCAGTTTCTCCTCTCACAAGCAGAAAATCAAATTCGGATTGGGCAAATGATTCCCTGCCCGGGTGTGGAATAAGGGTCAAGTCCTAAGTATGGAGAGAGAGCGCCGGCTCCCGCCAGGATATGCGAAGCTCTGGAGGGGAGGCCAAGCCACCAGGCACCCGGCGGGAGAAGAGGAGGCTGGAGAGCGCCGCCCAGTGCCTGCAGGCCGGGCGCTCCACGCCTCCCCTCCCTCCTGCACACCCCATTCCCCTCCGGTTGCCCCGCCTGGGAAGCCCCCTCCCCACACCTCCCGGCCCAGCATCTGCACGAGAGCCGCGAGCCCTGGCCCAGAGCTCTGGGTGGGCCTCTCACCCCAGACGGCGGCCGCAGCCCGTCCCTGATCACCGGCCGCCTGAGCCCTCCGTTCGCTCGGCGCGAGCGCCGCCACCCGTCCTTACCCCCATCCAGTCCGAGGCCAGCCCCGTAGGCTCCGAGCCTGCTCCGTGAAAAGCCTTTTCCCCAGGAGGAGAGTTACTGTAAAGCAAGAGGAAGCCGAGAAGAGGCGGTGGCTGCAGCGCGCGGGGCCCGGCGGGGGCGCGGGGGCGTCGGGGTACTGACTGGGCAGCGCGGTTTCCCCTCATCCCGGGACACGGTGCGGCGCTAGCGCCACCCAGCGGGCGCGGTGGGAATTGCGCTCCCTTCCTGCGCTGGGGCTCTGGACACACAGGCGACCAAGAATGACGCCTGCAGCCGGATAAACGCTCGGGGCAAGGCCGCTATCATCCCTCTGCCGGGAGTGAGTCAAGTCTCAGCAAAAGAAGAAGCCACTTTGGCCAAAATTCCAAGAGTGCTGATGAAGACGGTGACATCTGACATTTCAATGGCACTTTCCATTTCCCCCGGGGTGCGCATTCCGGGCCAGTGGAGCGCTGCGTCGCCTGTGCAGGACCTGGAGGTCTGCAGGACTGTGACCAGTCGGAGTCTCGGAGTCGTGGGTTAAACATTAGTCGGGAGCACTCGTTCATTCCCTGAGCTCCCCTTGCCCTTCACCCTTCGGTCCCGGAAGCCGGAAGGGAGACTGCCCCGCCCCTTGCCTGCCGCCCAGTGGCTCTCCCGGGGCCCTCTTGGCCCCTCTCTCCCAGCCCTCCATACAGTGAAGGGTTGTTTCCGCTGGTGACTTCCACCTGTGGGAGCAGAGAAAGGAAGCGGGGCAGAGGAGAAGGGGAAGGTGTCAGGCGATTCCCCTCCTTGCGCTGCAAGCCGGGTGGGAATAGAACACCTGCAGCCCTCCCCGGCGCCCTGCGAATGAGGTGGGAGTGGGAACGCCATCAGGGCAGAGCCCCTCCAGCTGGCTGGGGTCTGCACCTCCTCGCCAGCCCGGCCACCTCAAAACGGTGCTTGCCTCCCTGCGGGGGTGTAGAAGCCTCTTGGAGCAGCACTTGTAGAAAATCAAGTCCCTGGAAAGAAGCAAAATTAATCCGTTTGTTTCTCTATTTATTTTTGCTTCCCCACACCAGGTATTCACTTCATCCAAGGCTGCCCAATGTCACCTTCCACCCAGAGGAATCTCCCCTCTCCACCCCAGGCCAACAGCCTCTGCCTTCAGCTGTGGCCTCCACTCTGGCATTACTCTGGGCAGAGGGCTCAGGAGGGCTCAAGGAGGACCAGTGACATTCAGAGTGGCCAGAGTAAAGGGAGGGAGGGGGAGTGGTGGGAGAGGCGTGCAGAAGGCACAGGTGAGGTGGCGGAGGGGGGCAGGTGGTGGGGGGAGCGGGCTGGGGTGGGATGGGCCTGTCAGCATAGCAAGGGCTGTGATGGGCTTGAGTCTGACAGGGGGCAATGACCTGACCTACGGTTTTGTAAGATCACTCTGGCTGCCACCTGGAGAGCTGGTGTGGGGATGATGGCCATGGTAGACACAAGGGGAGCAGTTAGGAGACCACCACAAGTGACCATGCGGCCCAGGCGAGTAGGGTAGCAACAGAGATGGGGAGAGGAGGTCAGATTTGTGATCTGTATCTGAAGGTGGAATGGACAGGAATTGCTGATGAGCTTGGGTGTGGTGCATGAGGGAAAGAGAGAAATAAGCATCATTCTTAGGATTTGTCCTGAGCAACTGGAAGAAAAAGAATGACAGTGGCTAATACGGTTAGCCAGGCGCTCCTCTAAACCCTTCACATAGTTTAACCTGTCTAGATTTCATAACACTCCTATGAATTAGGAATTAGTTCTTCCCACATTTTACAGAAGAGGCAATCGAGGCCCAGAGAGTTGAATCAGTTTGCATAAAGTCCCACCATTAGCAAATGGAAAAGCTGGAATTTGGACCCAGCACTTCACCACTGCACACTTCCCCGGCTTTACAGAAAGAGAAATGCCGTGAACTGAGCTAGATGAGCCCGGGGGAGGAATGGGGTTTTTCCGTGGGGGTGTGAATCAAGAGTTCTAGTTGGAATGAATTCAGGCTGAGGTGCCTTTTAAACATCCAAGTAGAGATATTTAGCTCAGCAGATGGATGTATGACTCAGGCCCTGGGTGGCAAGGAGGAGCATCTGGGGCTGGCGTGTTAAGCATGGAGAGGAGACAGGAGAAGAGGGCAGAAGGCTGGGAAGTGGGATTAAATGCTGCATGTGAACGGATGAGGACAGAAATGGATACTTTAGAGCATCCTGTCAAGCCTTGGGGTGTCGGGTGATGAGTGTGTTTAGGAAATATTATTCTAGAGCAGTGCTTGTTTTTGTTTGAGGATTCAATAAAGGCTGTCACCTTGTTCCAGAAAAAGTACATGAACACACACGCAACATTTTGCATACAATTTCAGGGTGTCCGTGGGTCCCCAGAGGACATGCATGGGCCATTCTATTTCTATCAAACCTTACTTCATCCACCAGCCACAATCAAATTTCACTGTATCTCTCAAGTCCTGACCAGACCTCTGATGCAGTCACCCCACCCTCTCTGTCTGCATGAGATAGGAGCTGCACTCCTCTGAATCGAGACGGTTTTGAATTGAGACGGTTTTGAATGTCTATGTAGAATGCAGCTCGCCCTGCAGGTATTGCCTGTGTACATGTCTCATTTGGAAATGGTTCCCCTGAGGAATGAGAGGATGAACCCACAGAGTCTTTTGCTCTCTTATTCACCTGGGAGGTGATGTTATTCATCTATTTCCTAGATTTATTTGTTTTTTTGGTGTTTTTTGTTTTTGTTTTCGTTTTGAGATGGACTCTTTCTCTGTCGCCCAGGCTGGAATGCAATGGCGTGATCTCAACTCACTGCAACCTCTGCCTCCCGGGTTCAAGCGATTCTCCTGCCTCAGCCTTCTGAGTAGCTGGGATTACAGGTGTGCACCACCACACCTGGCTAATTTTTGTATTTTTAGTGGAGACCGGGTTTCACCATGTTGGCCAGCCTGGTCTCGAACTCCTGACCTCAAGTGATCCACCCTCCTCAGCCCCCTATAGTGCTGGGATTACAGGCATGAGCCACCATGCCTGGCCTTATTTCCTAGGTTTAAAGACAAAACTAGCTCGTTCTATTGTTTCCATCGACACAATTGCTTCCCCAATATATAATGGGCATTTGTTGCTATTGTTCTGTTTGTTTTGGCGGTCCAGCTTCCAGCATCCATTCTATTTGGGAGGATTCCCCGGTGACTCTTGGCAGGAATCCATCAGCCCCTCTGGAAATGGAAGGAATGGAAGGAACCAGGTGTCCCTCTTGTCCCCCACCCCTGCAGAGGTCACAGCCTTCCTATCCTGCCCAGCCCAGTGGGGCTTTGAAGGCTAGGGTGCAGGAACAGAAGAGAACTTATTTTTGGCCATGGCAGCTAGGCCAGGAGACCATCTGTGAGAGTAGCATCCTGTGTCCTGTGGCAGCAGTCCCGGCCACGGTATCCTCACCACAGCCTGGCCACAGCTTGGCCTCGCCTGCATCTCCTGCTGCCAGCCGCCTTGATACCTGCCCATTTTCCCCATGCGGTTCTCCAGCCTTCCGACTGATAAGTTCTGCACATATTTCCCCATGTCCATTGCCTGCACGAGTCAGCCAGGTCAGCTCTGTCGCTTCCACCAAGACCTCTCACTGCAGTGGCTGTGCTGAGCTTGCAGCTGACGTCTGCTCTACAGTGTCAGCACTTGGGATTCTTCTTCTGTTGGGGGTCCCTGAAGGTGGGATTCCTGGCCTGTCGAAGCATTGCTGTGTGACACATGCCAGATCCTTGCGGTTGCCTGTGAAGCTCGGAGCCCTCCATATCGAGGGAGGAAGGCTTTCCTTCCAGCAAAGTCTTGTGGCTTTCAGCGAGAGCGACTATGCAGCAGCCAGACCAACTACAGAGGTCACAACAACAACCCCTGTCCCGATGACAATCCTGTGATTTTCCTGGCTCAAAATGAAGTTTGACAAGTCTTGTTTTATACTCTTGTCATCACTGGGATTTCTTCTGACTTTACAAGACCAACAGGAATTGGAGTCAGACTCACAGGGGAGCCTGAGAGCCTCTCTATCCCACACCGCTGTGGGAGCCACGCCCAGGTGGGGCCAGGGCTGCAGAGGGGGAAGCTGGGAATGGCTGGGCAAGGATAGAGGCAGCTCAGCTTCCCCTAAGCCTGGGGTGGCCTGAGGGGCCCCCTGCACTATGCTGGAACGTACCTTCCTTTCCAAGGAAGGAAAACAGCAGCTTCTGACTCATGACTGTGTCCTCCTGCAGACAAGTACACAGCTCATCCCCTCAGAGTGTCTGAGTGCTGAGCTCACATCTCATGGTGGGGTGTTGCGGCCATGTCGCTGCCCCATCCCACGGGCATGGTGAGGATTCTGTTACTGCACACTCTTTAGGGTCCTTTATAGTTAATAAAATATTGAACCACTTCCATACTGGTTGGTAAACAGCTGCTGCCCTGAGCTGCCCCCACCTCCGACCCAGTGGCCACCTGCCCATCATTCTCCTGGTCCTTTCCCAGGACTGGCCAGGTGTCCCCACAACCTAGCAGCTAAGGGTCCTACCTGGCACAGATTCTGGTGGGTCAGGGCCCATGGTTAAGTATTTGGGGGTATCACCCCACCCACGAGTGTTCTCAGCACGCACTCACTCCTGCCTCTTCTCTGGTCCCCACACACTCAGCCACCCTGTCCCACCTCTTCTCACCACCAAATTAATATGCTCATCCTTCTCACCTCATCCTAGCCCCACCTCCTTCAAGAATCAGTCCTGAGTCCATAGCCCCTGCATCTCCCCCTCACACCCAGAGCACTCCGCCTCCTACAGATAGCGCTTCCCAAATACGTCTCTCTCAAAGCTCTTTATGAGTCTTCAATATTTCCTTGGCCGGCTGGCCGATTGATTGGTTACAGAGCCTTGCCTTCTCATTTTCTGGCAGCAGATAAGTGAGGCCGGGACCTCTGGGGCCAGAGGCAGAGAGGCAGAGGTCCCAGGCCACACCTGAAAAGGCCGCCTGAGAAGGGAAGTTTCTGAAAGAGGCCAAGCAAGAGGGACCCCAATGCTGGGGCACTGTGAGCAGTGCTGAGCTGGTCAGTGGTCAGAACAGGTAAACTGGTGGGGCTCAGGCAAAGAGAAGGTCAAAGTGCAAGTCACACCTGGAGCAGGCGGGCATGACGCAAGGCCAGCTCAGCCACAAACCCCGTGTTGGGGGCAGGTGCCTTCCCTCTGGATCAAGATGTCCTGGAAGTGATTGGCTCCTGTTGGACAGGCAAAAGGTTAAGCAACACTCATCCTAGCTTCGAGCTGTCCCTCCCACCGACCTGAGTGGCAAGGAAGTTGCAGGGAAGGGGGCCTTGCTCTGTGCCACAGCTAATACCTGAGAATAGAATTTGGGAAACTTGAATCACAGTTTCCCATAACGTGTCGCGATTGCTTAGAAACTACGTGTCTCCCCTCCCCACAGTCGTCGGGGATCAGTGGCTCCTGACGCGTTTGCTTTAAATCTCTCTGTTCCCTGCCAATTAGCCAGTTTGACTTTCTGCTGTGGCAGGGATGAAAGTCACACTATTCAGCGCTAGACACGGATGCTGGGGGAGGAATCTCATTGCTGTGGAGATGGAATCTGGGCTTGGCACTGCCTGTTCAGCTGCTGAGTGTTACTTTGGGTTGACTCACAGCCCAGCATGAAGCAGGAGGCCAATCTTCGTGCACTCCACAACTCTTCCCTCCCCAGCTTTATCCAGACTGTGTCTTCTGCTGACCAGCTGTTTACGCTTGTACTTGATATGCGCTTGCCAAAGCCTGCAGCATAGAAGCCCACAGCTCAGTCCAAAGCAGCCAACCTTCGGCCTACTAGGATCTTAGCCACACCCCAGAGTCCCAGAGAGAAGTGACTCAGGTTGGACACAGTGGCTCCAAATGACCTCAGGTGACTCACAGCAAACAGATTAAAGGTGACACCCAGTGTCTCACCTATCAACTCAATTTGTCATTGAGTTGGCAGCCATGGCTGCCACCATTTCCCAGCTCGTTCACCCAGCTGTTTTTAAATATGGGCACACCAGCTTAAATCCCAATCTTGCCTGTCCTAACACCACAAGTCTCAACTCTGGCTGCAGGTTAGAATCACCCGAGGAGCATTTGAAACCACTGAAACCCCAGGCCTCCCTCCTGCAGAGATCTCAATCTAATTGGTCCAGGATGGGCCTGGGCATCTGTATGTTTTCAGAGCTCCTCAGGTGGGATGTTTGTTTGTTTGTTTGTTTGTTTGTTTGTTTTGTAGAGATGGAGTTTCCCCATCTTGCCCAGGCTGGTCTCAAACTCCTGAGTTGAAGCGATCCACCCGCCTCGGCCTCCCAAGGTGCTGGGATCACAGGTGTGCGCCACTGTGCCCAGCCCCCAGGTGGTTTTAATGTTCAATGGTCCTGAGAACCAGGGATCTGCCATCCAATTCTGTGAGGAAGGAGGATGCCAGACAGATATGCTATTTTCATATCCAATTCAGTCACCAGCACGTCTGCAGCCTGGCTCATGCCTTCAGTAGAGGACCTTCTGGTGTGAACACTTGCTCATTTCTGACCCAGAATCTTCCATAAATTTTTCTGCATCCAACTCTTTCTCCTTGGGTTTTAGTAATCTGTAAGTTTCTGCTTAATTTTCTGGATTAGGAGTTGAGAGTCCCAGCTTGTGAAACACACATTGCCAAAAAACCTAGTTATGGAAAAACTGGCTGAGATGAGAAAGATCTTGTTCTTACATAATTATGGATTCTCAATCTGTTCCATTTTGTTTATATTTGTTTCTCTGGAGAAATACTTTGTTATACATCATATATATTTTTTGATCTATATATATCTTTGTTTTAGCTTTATTAACTTTGGAGACTCGAACATACACAAAAGTAGACAGGATAGTATCATGAACTACTACAAACCTACCCACTCTCCTGCCCCAGCAATGGCTTAACCCAGCCCCATCCCCACACCCATCAGTTCACTCCATCTTCTATTATTTTCAGTCAAATACCAGATATCATACTATTTTATCTGTGAATGTTTTAGCAGATCACTCGAAAAGAACTTCTTGGGTATCATAACCACCATTCTACTGCACAGCAAAACTAGCAATAATTCCTAGAATTTAAATTTCCCAATTGTCTTAAAACTGTCCTGTGTGAATTATTAAAAAGAATTTGAGCCAGGCACAGTGGCTCATGCCTGTAATCCCAGCACTTTGTGAGGCCAAGGCAGGTGGATCACCTGAGGCCAGGAGTTCGAGACCAGCCTGGCCAACAGGGTGAAACCCCATCTCTACTAAAAATACAAAAATTAGCCGAGCGTGGTGGTAAGTGCCTCTAATCCCAGTTACTTGGGAGGCTGAGGCAGGAGAATCACTTGAATGCGGAAGGCAGAGGTTGCAGTAAGCTGAGATGGCGCCATTGCACTCCAGCCTGGGCAACAAGAGTGAAACTCTGTCTAAAAAAAAAAAAAGAATTTGAATCAGGGTACAAATGAGATGCAGATGTTGAAACTGGCTGATATAACTTTTTAGTCTGTTTTAGTCTATAGATTACCCCTCCTTTTTTTTTTTTTTTTTTTTTTTTGAGATGGAGTCTGGCATTGTTGCCCAGGCTGGAGTGCAGTGGCTTGATCTCGGCTCACTGCAGCCTCCACCTCCCGGTTTCCAGTGATTCTCCTGCCTCAGCCTCCCAAGTAACTAGAATTACAGGTGCTCACCACCATGCCTGGCTAATTTTTGTATTTTTAGTAGAGACGGGGTTTCACCCTGTTGGCCAGGCTGGTCTCGAACTCCTAACCTCAGGTGATCCACCCACCTCGGCCTCCCAAAGTTCTAGGATTACAGGCGTGAGCCACCACGCCCGGCCTCCATGTTCCATTTTTGAGGAACTGCCAAACTGTTTTCCAAAGCAGCATCACCATTTGACATATTCAGTTTGATGAATTTTTACACATAGTACACACCCATATCCCCACCACGAGATCAGGAATAGGGCATCAGCACTCTAGAATCCTCCCTGTCATCCTTGCACTCTAAAGGTAACCCTATTTTGACTTCTGTCACTCTGGATTAATTTTGATGGCCAGGACTTGAGAGGTGATCCGAGGAATGCTTCCACTGGAGAACTCAGCGTTAGCAAAGGCACAATGGCCGAGGCAGGGCAACCCCAGCTTTACATTCTGCAGGACAGGGACCCAGATTCTCTTGTGGTCCCACCAAGGCCTGGTGAGCAGGCAGGTCTCCTCCTCCCCTGCCCCGCTTCCTGCACAGCCAGCAGAACTTTTCAAAGGAACAGCAAGCAGGGGGGCTTCTTAATTGGGATCCCCTGGGAGGCAGAGGAGGAGATCCATGTGCGCGATGACTAAGTTTCATCCTAATGGAGGACTTTAGCATGCAGTGCCATGGCAAAACCTGGCTTGCGGTGGGAAGGGAATCTGTCCTTGCATGGCCCTGGCACAACTGTGTCCCCGGGCCTGTTAGGCTCTGCTCACCTCCTACAGCAGGCTCTTTAGGAAAGACCCAGGCTCCCAGAGCCCAGCTCACAGCCGCTGAGGCAGGACTTTCTGAGCAAGTCTCTCCTGACCACAGGGAACTGCTGTGTGGGCAATTTGGCAGCAAGGGCATCTGTTCTGCAGGGCAAAATGCTAGAGAACCAGCTGGAGAACCATGCTGCATGGGGAGGGCTCTCAGGTGGTGGCCCCTGGAGAGTCAGGCCTGCTGCAGCCCCATTACCTTGAGGCCTTTCTCCCAGCTCAGCAGTTCTCTGGCTTCCAGCCTTTTCCCTGAACTGACCTTCTGTCTCTGGCCTCACCCAAGCACACATGCAGAATGACACTGAAGTCACTCAAAACTGCTAGAGATATTTACCCCTGATCTGCAAACCCCCTAACTTGCCAATGATCTTTCCATCCCAGCCCCTAACTCTAATTTGCTTCCAAATTCCATCCTCAGCACAGTCTGAAATTGTCACTCCCCTCCAGCCCACTGCCTGGGAACTTACCAATTAGAGGTTAATTTGGGTACTCATTAAAAGATGCAAACAGGCTGGGTGTAAGGGCTCACACCTATAATCACAGCACTTTGGGAGGCCGAGGTGGGAGGATCACTTGAGCTCACAAGGGGTTGGAGACCGGCCAAGGCAACGTGGTGAGATCTCCGCCTCTACAATAAAAAATATTTTAAAATTAGCTGGGCATGTGCTTGTAGCCCTAGATACTCAGGAGGCTGAGGCAGGAGGATCACTTGAACCCAGGAGGTTGAGGCAGCAGTGAGCCATGATTGTGTCACTTCATTCTAGCCAGGACAACAGAGCAAGACCCTGTTTCACTCAAAAAAAAAAAAAAGATGTGCAAAGTCCCTGGGAGGGCTGGTCTGTCCCATATCAGGGTGCTTTCTTTTAAGAGATTGAGCTCCTACCAACACTGAGCTGGGAAGAGCAGCAGCTGCAGACACTTGGCTTTGGGGCGCCTCACATAATGCTGTGCTCTGCAGAGATAAGTCTCGGGTCCAGGTCTAGAAAGGGAAATAGGATGATGCCAAAACCAAACCTTTTATGGTTCAGTATTTTGTGTACACCAGGGCCGGGTGCAGTGGCTTCGCCTGTAATCCTGAGCTTTGGCTGAGGCTTGAGGCAGGAGGATCACTTGAGGCCAGGAGTTTGAGACCAACCTGGACAACATAGTGAGACCCTGTTTCTACAAAAAGAATTAAAAATTAGCCAGGTATGTTGGCATGCACCTGTAGTCCCAACTACTCGGTACTATTTTTTTTACTCAGGAGGAAAAATAATAAAATAATTATAAATATATATATACCATGATGGGATTGAAACCCAGCTTCTTTTTCTCTCCAGTCCTCTCGCTCCTACTTGTCTCCCTTCCTTTCTCTCTCTTCTCCACACTGTCCTTCCCCTATTCCTTTTCTCTGACCCTAAAACAGAAAATAGTCTCATTCCATTAAAGATATAAAACAGTTTTTTTTTGGCGGGGCGGGGTGGGGCAGCAAACTTGGAATCTAACCATTGTCACAGCATCATTTTATGGAAAAAACACCTCGTCCAGCCCTGTACCTGGCCCATTGCAGGTACTCAACAAATGCTAGTTAAGTAAATAAAGGAATGAATGGAAGTCCCTTTATTGTGAGTTCCGAATACGGATTTGGGGTGTCCTTTTGGAACTGATCCCTCTGTGAGGGGCCACTGGCTTTCCTGTAGGCACAGATCAGCGGTGTCAGTCTTCCTGGGTCCCCCTGAAAATTCCAAAGAGGAAGCCATGGTGGGACCGCGTGGGACGCAGGGTCTAGACTCCCAGTCTGGTCTGATTTTCTTGTTTGCATCCTTGCCGCTTTTCCTTCTGGAGAGTTCAGTGGGCAGGGACTGATGGGGCCACAGCGCCCTCTGCTGGCGTGTTCTCACAGTCGACTTTTGCCTGCCCGAGCTTATACATACAGCGCCCTCGGAATTGGAGGGCTTGGGGCAGACTGAGAATGGGGATTTCTGGTTTTATTCCAGGCCCACTCCTTAGTGAATGTCAAGACCAAAGGTGGCTCCTGGTAATAAAATGAGTGTCAGGGCTCCCAGGCATTAATAACCTAAATGAGAGTAGGTTTTGTTTTTGTTTTAACAGCCTTCCTGGTCCAAGTGCCTGAGAAGTGTCAAGGGGAAATGGCTTCTTGCCCGGGCTCAGCGCTGTACCTCTGATGTCAAATTGGCTCTCTGCCTGCTTTTGAGAGGTGCAGCCTGCTGCTCCCTAAGTGAACGGGGAGCGTTTTCTCCAACAGCCCTGTCCATGACAGGCCTGGCTCTCACACACAGGCAGGGGCTGAGCCTTCCCTGATCAACACGAAATCTGGCCCTCCGACAGAGGCCCGTGGGCAGCTGAAGAGGAAGCCTAAAGCCTCACTACCTGCACCAAGCCCTTCTCAGCCTTCTTTCAGGATTGCAACAGCAGACAGGGGAGCGCTCCTGGGTAGGGCGGGGGGCGGTAATGGCAGGGGAATGACCCCCAGGCCGTGGGCAGCCCCTTGTTCAGAGCGAGGCCCCCTGTTTTCCATACAGCAGATCCCATTGCTTATAGTGGTGACTTTAGTGTGCCCTGGAAGGGCTCACCCAGGAAGTATTGTGAAAATGCAGATTCTGATTCAGTAGGTCTGGGGTAGAGCCTGAGATGCTGCACCTCCCACAAGCTCCCAGACAGTGCTGATGCTGCCGGGCCGGGGACCACATCGAGAGAAGCCAGAGTGTCCAGGAAACAGGTTCTGAAGTCAGAATGCTAGGATTCGAATTTCAGCTCTGCCACGTATCCTGTGACCTCAGACAGATTATGCTCATTACCTTCTCTCTGAGTTTATTTCATCCTGTATAAAATGGCAAGAATGACAATTTCAACGGCTGCATAGAATGACAGAGGGACTTCACAGGGTTGTCATAAGTATAAAATGAAATAAATAACCAGGCGTGGTGGCTCACGCCTGTAATCCCAACACTTTGGGAGGCTGAGGCAGGCAGATCACAAGGTCAGGAGTTCAAGACCAACCTGGCCAACATGGTGAAACCCTGTGTCTACTAAAAATACAAAAATCAGCCAGGTGTGGTGGTAGGCACCTGTAATCCCAGCTACTCGGGAGGCTGAGGCAGGAGAATTGCTTGAACCCGGGAGGCGGAGGTTGCAGTGAGCGGAGATCACGCCACTGTACTCCAGCCTGGGGGACAGAGCAAGACTCTGTCTCAAAAGAAAAAAAAATGAAATAAATAATATTAGAAAAGCTCTTAGCCCAGAACCCTCAGTGCCCAGTAGATGGTAAGTCTCTTGATGTCCACGTGGCCTTTCGACAGGTGCTTATCGATCCCCTGCTAGTGCCTGGCACTGTTCTGGGCCCTGGGATATGGCAGTGACAGAAACAAAATCTCCACACTCAAAAAGCTTAGATTCTCGTAGAAAAAGACAGACAATAAACAAATAAGTAAACTGTATGGTATGTGAGTTGGTGACAAGAGTGCTGGAGAGAAAAATAAAGCAGACAGTAAGAGAGATAAGGAATGCTGGGACTGGGGGCCACTGAGAAGGTAACTTTGAGGCGAGGGAGCTGGCCGACTGGAAGGCTGAGAATTCTAGTGATGGTGGTGGCAGGGTGGTGAGAGGGGGTAGGGTTTGCAAGTGCAGAGGCCCTGAGGCAAGAGGGTATGTGTTGTGTTTGAAGAAAAACAAAGAAACCAGCATGGCTAGAAAGTGCAAGTGAAATACTGTACAGGGTTAGGGATGGGGAAGGCAGCAGGGCGGATCCTGTAGGGCTTTGTGAACCATTGACTTTGCATTTTGCTCTGAGAGAAGTGGGAAAACACTGGAAAGTTCTGAGCTGAAGAGTGACATGTTCTAATTTATGTTTTTAAAGGACAGCTTCAGTTTGCTGAGACTAGACTGTGGCAAGTCAGAGTAGCACCCCTTGGGAAGGTGGGTAGGCAGCCCGTTGCCATGGAATTGGGGGATCCTCAGAGCTGCTGAGTTTAAGAGAGATGGATCTGGGCCCCAGTCAGAAGTGTTGGATGCCTGAGCCCATCCTCAGCCACCTTCTGGGCTGGCCTGTGGCCTGTGACCCAGGAGAAGGAATGTTGTGAGTGGGCACTGGGCCAGTGCTGTGGCAGTGATGGGATGGATGACACAGTCTGGCCTCCTCCTGGGCCTCCCCTCTTAATTGCTCCCAGATGACTCACCCTCATGTTTCTCTGATGACCACATGCGTCAAGGCCTGGGGCTGCCGCACCTGTTACCTATGGGAGGGCTGGGGTGAGCCAACTGCCCCTCACTCTGTTGTCATTGGCCACCAGGTTGACAGGAGTGAGATGCTGTGTTACAAGGGACCCACCCCTGTCCTCTAGAATAGCCAGTCCTGATCCCCACCCACTCACGTTTTCCTATTATTTTATTTCCTACCTCCTCTCAAAATAACTGTAAGTCATTTGTTTATTTTTTAAGGTAGATCAAAATTCATTTCATTGCAGGCCTCGACATGATAAGTGTTAGTCAATGTGTCAGAAAACTGGGTCTGTGAATGGAAGGCCTTTGATCCAGGAAAGGCAACTCTGACCTCATGGTTACTGTCAACACAACAGTTTTTAAAAAATCTAATTCCTCCATATATACTCATTTAATTCTCACAACACTCCTATTAACTAGATGTTATCACCCCTACATTCTGGAGGAATATGCTGAGTCTCAGAGAGGCTAAGTAACGTGTCTGCAGCATCCACCAATTTGTATCTGGATCCGGCTGGCTGTGACCTCTGAGCTCCTCCTATCTCACCTGCTATCTCTAAAAGAGTTGCTGGCCCCAGAGGGCCACAGGGCAAAGGGAGCAAAGTGCTGGGCCGGGAGCCAGAAAACCTGGGCTGTAGTCCTGGCCTGGCCACAGCGGAGGGCGCCTCGCCACACACCTCTGGACCTCAAACCCCTCACCTGTAAATGGAAGAGATTGACCAGACCATCTCCAAGATCTCTTCTGTGTGGCCTTAGCTAAGGCTTGTTTGGTGATAACAGAAGCCCACTCTGCCTAAACAGGAATGGGTGATATAGTCCAAGAGGCCAGGGGGTCCCTCAGAGCTAAGGTGGGAACTACAACTGGACCAAGAGGGCCTGGGACCCGGAGAGTGGCTCTTGCAGCCCCCTCTTTGGATTGCAGGGCCTTTCCCTCCACTCCTCCACTTCATTCTTCTCTTTCTGTGAACTGGTTTTCTTTTCCAACAGATCAGCTTTTTCTGCATCTTCAGCTAACGGTGGCAGATGGCAACCCAGCTCCCAGTTACATATCTTCAATTCTGGGGCCAACTGAGCTCTCACCAAATTCCAGTTCCAAATCCCCAGGGAAAGGAATCCAACTGGGTGAGCTGGGTTTGGCATCCACCCCGGTCCAGTCAACCGGCTCCTGATTATGTCCAGGAGGGCAGGGTCCCATGGCACAGAAGTAGGGGCCTGGGTCAGGGAGATGCCCACCATGGCTCTGTACACAGGACAGGAATAGTATTTTTAGGAAAAGAGACAAAATTAAGTATCATTCTGTCCCAGAGGAGGTGACATTGAGACCTACGAATAAAGCACAAGCTTGCCAGTAAAGCTGGCCTGTGCGCAGTGTCAGCAGGAACGTCTGGCGGTGGCTCCCTGCAGGTCTCTCCCCAGGGGCACAGGAAACAGCTTTTTGACAGCCAGGCAAGCCTGTCCCTGAAACACACACAGATGTCCTGTTGCCTGTGAGTTGGGTGACATGGGACTGGGGCATGAGGGGGCTTGGGAAAGATCAAGGGATGGGGAAGGCAGAGACCACTGCCACCAGTCCTCGGCACTGAATTAGAGCTGCAGCATCATTTCCATAAAGAAGTTAGTGCCTCAGCAGATTGTGGCAGCTCAGTTTCCCTGATGACTTTGCTTCTGTTCTTAAAACTGGCACCTACGTAGGCTGGGAGGCAGCCTTGCTCATCCCGTCTGCCAGCCTGGCACCATGGTGATGTATGTATATTTCCAGATATGATCTGGGATGGACACTGGATAGTATGGAGAATTTTCTTGGGATCGCCCCCAAACCTGCACAGTCCCGGAGGGCTCCATGTGACAGGAGACCCCTGTTGGCACCCCAGGACCCTCGGGGATGTCCACAGTCCCAAGGCCACAGAGCCAAGAGGGCAGGAGTGGGTCAGAAGGGCCAACATGTGAATCTGTCAGGCTAGGCAGCAAAAGTTCAACCAAAAAATTTTTCCTCAGCCCCTGCCAAGTGCAGGGTTCTGACCACCATGCTGAGGATGAAGATGAAGACAGCATAAGCTCTGCCTCTAGAAACTGACAATCTGCATGGAGAGGAAAGACATATGCAGGTTGGAACAGTAAGATGGGAAACACCTCTACACGGCCGAGTGACCTATTCCTTGGGTCAATGAGGAGCTGTTAGAGCAGAGGGCAGTGCAGCGGGGATGATGGGAGATTCCTGGAGCTCAGAGAAGAAGGGGAGTGAAGGCAAGGATATGGGAATGTGAAGGGCACATTTGGGACCCTAGAGTGTAGGGTTTACAGATAGGAACGGGGGAGAAAAGGTGAAAAATAATATGGGAAATGCAAGGCCTTGAACGGCAGGTTAAAGAGTGTGTCTGTTATCCCACCAGTAATCAGCCCTGGGGATGGTTTTTGAGCAAGACGGTGAGTTGCAGAGTAAAGTAGTAGTTCGGGAGGAAATCTCTGGAAGTGGCGTGGACAATGGATTCCAGGCTGTGAGAAGAAACTCCTGGAGTCAAGAGGACTGGGTCAGAAGCTACTGGACATAGCTCAGGATCCAGACACTAAGAGCTTGGATTAGAGTGTGTATGGGAGAGGGGAGAATTCAGGAATAAACATTTGAAATGGTTAAAGGCCATGGGACCCAGGTGCTCATTTGCTATGGGAGATGGAGAAGATGTGAAGCTTTAATGACTAACGTGGTACCAAGGGCAGAAAAAGGGCATGCTCTCCACAGCCACGCAGCCATCAAGTGGCAGGGGCAGGGCATAATCAATGAATTCTACACAGTCTCTGCCCTTAAGGGACTCACATCCTCTTTTTTCATCCTCAGCTCTTCGGAAAAGGCCCTAAGAAGCCATCAAAGATATGTCATGGAGGAAGCCATCGAAGAGGAAAGAGGAAGCTTTGTAACAGGTACTTTACCTGTATTCTCAGAAATCCTCAAAATAACCAAAGGAGCTCTGGGACCAGCTGCTCAGGGCAGGGGGCTCTGAGCTCCACAGCACTCCAGGTTTCCTCCAGGGATGTTTAGTCCAGGGCACCAAGTGGACAGGCAAACAGACAGGCTGGTGAAAGCCCTGTGGGGGGATGAGGTCCAACCTTTGGCTGGAGATCAGCCTGTGCTCTAGCTGTCAGAGAACTGAGCAAAGACAAGGACTCCCATCAGCAAGTCAGACAGAGAAGGGTTTGGGGACACGGGGAAGTTTGGTTTTGGCTGTGTTGAAGTTGACAGGATGATGAGGCCCTGAAACAACAGGTAGATCCAAGCTTGGGTGACAGGTCAGGGCTTGAGTCCAAGGCTTGGGGTCACCTGCCAGAGACCGTGATTTGAGGCCACTGGTCAAGTTCATGCTTCTTTTCTTTCTTTTTTTTTTTTTTTTGAGATGGAGTCTCACTCTGTCCCCCAGGCTGGAGTGCGATGGTGCAATCTCGGCTCACTGCAACCTCTGCCTCCCGGGATTAAGTGATTCTCCTGCCTTAGCCTCCGAAGTAGCTGGGATTACAGGGGCCCACCACCATGCCAGGCTAATTTTTGTATTTTTAGTAGAGATGGGGTTTCTCTATGTTGGTCAGGCTGGTCTCAAACTCCTGACCTCAGGTGATCCACCCACCTTGGCCTCCCAAAGTGCTGGGATTACAGTCATGAGCCACCGCAGCTGGCCAAGTTCATGATGCTTTAGAGCAAAGTTGACATTGGTACCTCTTAAACAAATTTATATTCCCTCTCAACCAGTTTACCTGGGAGGAATAACAAGCTGCCATATGAATACTGATGAGAAAGGAGGTGGGAGAGACATTTGATCATCAATCAAGTTATGATTATGAACACTCAGTTAAGAAAGAAATGTGAAGTCAGTGTTCCTGAACATGAAGAACAAGACCAGGGGTTGGGTTTTGGAGTCACACGGACTTTTTTTGTTCCAGCTCATTTGTCTTTTTACCCATTAATAAATTAATCTAAACTCTAGATTCCAGAGCCAGTTTGATCTCTTTCAGGAGGCCCTGTGTCAATTTGGTTTCGACCTCCTGGTCCTGAGGGTTGATACTGAGTGCTACATACTCATTCACTGAGCAGTGTGTTAATTCTGGGGCTGCTGTGTTGAGTGAGACAGACTCAATTTCTACCCTCCAACTCCAAGAAGGAAGTGAAGTAGGTCCCTAGAAAAATGTCAGGTAATTAAGGGAAAAGCCTAGGGGTCATCCATGTTGAGAATGGAGGCAGATGCTATGGTCTGAAAGTTTATGTCCCTCAGAACTTGTATGCTGAAACCTAACCTCCAAGGGGATGATGGATGGTATTAGAGTTGGGGGATTGGGTCATGATGGCAGCACCCTCACGAATGGAATTAGTGCCTCTTATAAAAGAGAGACCTCTTGCCCCATCTACCATGTGAAGACACATGAGAAGATGCCATCTGTGACCCAGGAAATGCCTGCATTAGAAACCAGATCTGCCGGTGCCTTGAGCTTGAACTTTACAGCCTGCAGGACTGTGAGAAATAAATCTCTGTAGTTTATAGGCTGCTCCATTTACGATATTTTGATATAGTAGCCCAAACTACTAAGACAGTGGAGGAAGAGTAACCAAGAGAGATACAAAAGAAGTTAGGGGTAGAACAGGAGTCAAGGAAACCGGGGAATTCAAGGAAGATCGATTACTCACCAGGGTCAAAAGCAGGAACTCAATCAGAAGAACAAGAGCTGCAGAAGGGTCAATAGAATTGGCTGTCAGGAGGTGACGAGCTTCCTTTAGGGGAGCAGCTTCAAGAGAAAAGCAGGCAGAGGACAGGCATTCAGGGCTAAGCAGAGTAGGCATGGGGAGGCAGGCAGGCCCTTTCGTACACTCCTCAGTGAAGAGGAAGCAGTGTAACCCACCAGGCACTGTGGACTAAGGAAAGTGTTCAAATATAGGGAAGAATGGACAGAGGGCAACTGGGAAAATGGCTTTTACTTAGATTATTTTAAAGAACAATCTGGACTACCAACAGGAGAATAGAAAAATAGATTATGAGGTAGACACAAGATAGAAACTTCATGGCAGTTAAAAAATAATGAATTACTGCTATATACAAACAATATGCATGAGTTGTACAATTTTGAGCAAAATAATACATAACATATTATCCCATTTATGTCAACTTTAAGAACAGGCAAAATAACACAAAATGGTAGAGATTAAAATAGTGGTAACCTGGATATGGGGCAAATGTGAGCTGGGAAGAGGGGATGGAAGTGTTCTAGAACAATTCCAGTCATGTATCTGTATGTAAAAGTTCATCAAGTTGTACATTTGTGTGCATAACCATATAAATCTCAATGTTTCAAGTCTTTAAAACAATGAAGAGGAGATAGACACATTCTTATCTGTTGCTAAGTAACAACAAATTACCTCAAGACTTAGCAACTTAAAAACAACAAGCATTTATTATTTCATGGTTGCTGCAGGCCAGGTGTCTAGGAGAAGCTTAACCGAGTGGTTCTGGCTCAGGATCTTCTCAGGCAGTTGCAGGCAAGAGGTCAGCCAGGGTTGCCATCATCTGAAGGCTCTACTGGGGCTGGAGGATTCACTTCCTGGTCAAATGGCTCACTCAAATGGCTATTGGCAGGAGGCCTCAGTTTCTTGCCATGTGGCCCTCTCCACAGGATTGCTTGGGTGTCCTTACAACATGGCAGCCGGCTTCACTCAGAATGAGTGTCCAAGAGAGAGCAAGATGGAAGCCACCATGTCTTCTACGACTTAACCTCAGAAGTAATACACATCACTTCTGCTATGTTCCATTCATTAGAAGCAAGTCACTCTGTGTAGCCCACACTTAAGAGGAGAGGAACTGGGTTCCTCTTGAAGGAAAGAGTATAAAAGGAGTATCAAAGAATTTGTGGGCCTAGTTTAAAACCACCACAGCACAGAACTGAATAGTGCAGTGTTCCCAAGTGTTTGGAGGCTTGGTAGTCAAGGGACAGGGTCTGGGAAGTCCCCTGTGGTGGGTAGAATAATGTCCTGCAAAGATGTCCATGTTCTAACTCCCTGAGCCTGTGAATATGTTATGTTACCTGGAAAAGGGGAATTAGAGTTGCTAACTGGCTAACCTTAAAATAAAAAGATTATTCTGGATTACCCAGGTGGGCTCAATGTAATCACAAGGGTCCTTAAATGTGGTAGCAAGAGGCAGAAGAGTCAATGTCAGAGTGATGAGGCACAAGAAAGATCCCATGGCCATTGCTGGCCTTGAAGATGGGGAGGGACCATCAGCCAAGGAAGGCAGGTGGCCTCCAGAAGTGGGGAAAGGCCAGGAAGCAGATTTTCCCCTAGAGCTTCCAGAAGGAATGCAGTTGTGCTGGCACCTTGATTTGAGCCCAACAAGATCCATCTTAGGCCCATTTCTTGTTGTCTTAAGTCATTAAATTTGTGGTGATCTGTGACAGCAGCAATAGGGAACTAATACAGAGTTCTGCCCACCCTTCTTCTTTTCCCTATTTCTGATCCATTTCTGCTTTCATCACATGCTTATGATTATTGTACTTATTTCTACACGGTCCATATTGTTATTCTGCATGTTTGCCATCTCACCTTTAAAGCTATAAGCTCCTTGCAAACAAGGCCTACATGTGTTTTGAGTTTTGTTTTTTAAATATTTATCTGAAGCACCAAATACATTGCTCATTAATTTGCAGCCATTAAGAACTTGACCCGGAGAAAAGGGAATCTTTGTACACTGTTGGTGGGAATGTAAATTAGTACAGCCACTATGGAGAACAGTTTGGAGGTTGTTCCTCAAAAAACTAAAAATTGAGCTACCATAGATCCAGCAGTCCCACTGCAGCGTATATACCTACAAGAAAGAAAATCAGCATATTGAAGAGATATCTGCACTCTCACATTTGTTGCATCACTGTTCACAATAGCCAGGATTCGGAAGCAACCTAAGTGTCATCAACAGATGAATGAGGAAAATATCGTACACACACACAATTGAGTTCTATTCAGCCATAAAAAGAATGAACTCCTGTCGTTTGCAACAATGTGGATGGAACTGGAAATCATTATGTTTAGTGAAATAAGCCGGGCACAGAAAGACAAACATCGCATGTTCTCACTTATTTGTGGGATCTAAAAATGAAAACAATGAAACTCATGGATATAGAGTAGAAGGATGGTTACCAGAGGCTGGGAAGGGTAGTCAGGGGCTTGGGGGCCGGTAGGGATGGTTAAGGGGTACAAAAAATAGAATAAATTAGACCTACCATTTGATAGCACAACAGGGTGACTACAGTCAATAACTGTACATTTTCAAATAACTTAGAGCGTAACTGGATTGTTTGCAACTCAAAGATAAATGCTTGAAGGGATGGATACCCCATTCTCCATGGCATGCTTATTTCACCTTGCATAACTTTGTCAAAACATCTCATGTACCCCATAAATATATACACCTACTATGAACCCACAAAATTAACCATAATAATAAAATTCCAAAAAAAAAGAACTTGGCCAATTATTTATTAGATGGTAGAAGCAGCCAGCTTAGCAAAGAGATGAAACAAGGAGGAACTGGTGTGAAATAAAATATGAAATCCCATCATTCCTCGTCCTTCAAATTGAAGCCAAAGAATCACACCCAGGGCAGGACAGTTTCTGAAACACTGTTTGCTCTGTATCTTCTTTACTCTCATTTCAAGCTGGCAGTTAAGCTTCACCTTCCCTCAGTCTGGGACTTTGGGGCAGGCACAGCGTGGCCCACAGAAGGTTGGGTGGTCACTGGCTCCTCTCCACCTTTGTAAAGGCCTGAGGCCTCTGAAGGAATGTTCCCTTTGGGGGTGGAGGGAGGGAGAGGAAACCTTCAAGGGGGTGAGAAGGGTGGATCCCCAGAACCCAAGAAAGCTACCCAGTTCCTATGAGCAGCAGGGACCTGAGTCCTGCTTGGTGACAAGACCTCAGAGGGGTGTGGTGCAGGCAGAACTCGAGGCTGAGGGGTTCCCTGCATCACCCAAGACACCCTGGCCCCATGCACAGGTGGAGGCTGATTATGTGGAGGGAGCGGATGGGCCAGGCAGCAGGGTCTCTCCTGAGACCACACAGACTGGCGTCCGCTATCATCAGGGGCCCTCCCCATGCTATGACCTGGGACGTTTGCAGACCCAGGTGGAATGGAGGGAGGTGGTGGTTGGGAGGACCCTAAGATGACTAAGATGTAATTTCCCACCAATCCATCAGGAAGCAGGGGGAAGGGTTGGAGTCTGAAATACACTGATATAGAACCAAAAATAATCAACCTCCACACACTCAAGTTTTGGACTGGTACTCAAAACCATGACATCCCCTTTGGCTTTGAATGAAGGTTTTTAATCTCCAGTGGAGGCCTGGGGTTGGGGTGGTATTTAACAGGACAAGAAGCCCTGACTGTGCATCTTAAGGAGCTTGGAGGTGATGAATCGGAACTGCTGGTAGGTTCTGCAGCTGCGCTAGGTTGGAAACACATATTCGATGTCACCGGGGTTGAGGTACAGATAAATCAGAAGGCAGCTCCAGAAGCCAAGGGTGAAAAGGGTGCCCAGACCTGGTGTGAATATTTCCCACTGGATGGGGAGAAAGGGCAGGACCTGAGGCAAGGTCAGTTCCGCCACTAGTGGTGCACCCTCCCCACCATGGGAGCCCCAGGCAGCAGCCTCTAGGCTGGGTGACCCAAGTCCTCCTTCCTGGTGCCACATCCTGTATGACTGAGCATGCTGGGTGGCAGCATCTGCTAACAGTCCCTACTCCTGGCACAACCTCAGGAGGGGTGTGATGTGAATGCGGCTGGGAGCACATGGCCTTGGGGACAACAAGGCACCTGATCGAGAAAAGGCACATCTTGTATGAATCTACCTACCCCGATTGTAGTTGTTCTTTAGAGCACACAACAAACATTTCTCCTGCAGAGGACAGAAACGGCACAAGAAAGATCAATTTCCCCTGGTCCAAGAAGGGCAGCCTGCTAGGCACCTTATCTGCCCTTGCTAAAGGGAAGGACAGAATAAGAGGGTGGAGCTGGCGGGTAGGCCCATCCAGGGTCAAGTCCTGCATGGTCACAGCTAAGGAGGCTCCACAGGCCTAGAAGGCAAGGCAGGTCAGGGAGGGCGCAGGCTCGGGCGGCACCCAGAAGTCAGCAGCGGGCGGACCTGTCCCTTCACTATGATACAGCACAAGCTCGGGGAAGTCACCAGGGAGCCGGAGCCAGGGGTCTGGCACCAGTGCTGGGCTCGGGCAGGGTTTCACTTACGCAGCAGGTCCCACAGTGATGAAGGGGATCCAGTGAGCCCTGTTTTGTTTTTTGTGGTGCCATCGTCTTCTTGTGAAGAGCACAGGGTGCTCCATTGACTCCACTGGCTCCATCCATTTTCTTGGGCCTGAGCTGTGGTTCTCTGTGAGTCTTTCCCATCAGCCTGAGTTCCTGCTGCTCCTTTGGTGCTCTTCTAAGGGGACTGGGGGAGGAGGGCCAGGGAGGGGCAGAGAGTTGGGGAGACATTTTGCAGCATGACAAGGAGATAACCAGTACACGGGTGGCCATGGAAGGCCTTGACTCCAAGTCACAGGGGCAGTAGGAGCAAAGACAACTCCTCCAAGAGTCTGGGTGTCCTCTGAACCCCAAAGGGATCCAACAAAGGGAAGGGAGGAGACCCTTTAGGGATGAGGAGAGACGAGTGCAGGTTACACTTACAGCTTATAGTTCTTCTGTGTATTTATTAAAATGTCCATCTTCTCATCCATATCTTTCTGCATTTCCTTCGAGAGAGAATTCAGAACTAGCATCTTCATTTTGAAGGACTTTGGAAATACCTTCCTCCTGCCTCTCTGCAAACCATTCTGCATCTTACTTCCTCAAGAATCCTCGCTAGACTTGGGTGAGGTGGCTTTTGGAGTGTCCGTGACATGTACAGCTTCTCCCCTTCCTCATCCCCCTTCCCCAATGAGACGAAAGCACAGGCAGAGACATTAGGGGACTTTTCTGAAGTCTCTAGGTGAGCCAGAGGCCAGCTACTGTTTTATCTGATCTCACACTTTGGATAAAACCAATGCTTGCCTTGGTTTGATGCCTATAAAATGATGGAACCAAGAAGACCAATCTTGTGACCCCAAAGACAATTTGACTGCAATGTTTTGACCCTTGGCATGCACCCAGATCCTGCATATTTATGTTTGCTTCATCTTTTACCTAATTCCTGGCAAAGATGGTCAACAAAAAGTAAAATGACAGCAGCTAAAGGGATACATCACACGTATTATTCGCTCAGAACAGAAGGAATAATAAAATCTTGACAAAGTTTTGATCTATAAAATGTGACCTGGGTAAATTGAATGGAAATAGTGGACATGAGAAAAATTCTAAGATGGTAGAAGCTATAACTGACAATATTTGTCACAGAGAAAAACAGGTTTGGGTTGTCATAAAACAGAAATAAAAACAATTTATTCCAATAAAATAATTTTCATTAAAAATGAAAGATTTGGTAACAGTTTAATTGATGTACTATAGAAAATTGATCAAGAAATTACACCATCTGCATAGAGATGATTTCATAAAATACCTTCTTGAAAAGCATTTTTAAATGTTAGTACAAATTTGAATAAAATATTTGTATTCATAGAGTCAAAATATCCTTGAAGTCAATGTCCCCTAGGTCCAAAACATCAGAGTCAAAATGTCCCATATTCTTACACGTTTCACCAACATGTACCCCTTCAAAATCATCATGTTCCAAACTGATTTCATTTTCCCAAGCTACCTCTATCTCCCCACTGTCATTGTCATCGTCACCACTTTCTTTTAATCAACCAGATTAAAATTTGGTGTCATCACGGACGCTTGCCTCTCAAGACTTCAGTCTCCATATTGAATCAGTCACCAGGAACTGTTATTTTTCCCTCAGTGCATCTTTCAGATTTATCTCTTCCTTCTTTCCCTACACCTGGTCCAGCTGTGGTGTTCTTGCTGTCAGACATCTCCACCTGCTCCCTGGGCCCCACCCAGGCCGCCTTGCAAACAAAACCTGCCGGGCTAAGCTTTTTGAAGTGCTCCTCCCAGAATGTTCTTTGATTAAGAATCTCCAGAGGCCTCTTGCTGCTCACAGAACCAAGTCCTAGCTTGTCTGCATGTCTTTCAAAAGCCATCATTACCTACAGCCTTTGTGCCCATTCATTTTTTTTTTCCCTCACAGTTTCCCCCAGTGGTCCCACTTCATGACTGATCCCCGTGCTGACCACCATATACAACATACTCCTCCTGCCTCCTGCCCTGCTTAAGGGGTTCCCCTGCCTGAAATCGCCTCCTTTGTGCCTTTCCATACCCAGCCTCCCCACCAACAAAACACTTAACTTTGTTTGGATTTTAACAGAGAAATAATTAATGCATGCCCTTTGTAGAAAATTTGGACAGTACAGAGGGATATAAAAGTATGAATATTCTCATCCAGAAATAACTGCTATGAACCCCTTTGGTATATTTCTTTCCAGTCTTTTTTCTATATATTTGCTTATTTTTTTTAACCTAGCTGAGATCAGCCTATGTATATTACTTGTATCTTGCTTTTTTAGTTCTTATTATAAATATTCTTTCTAAACATTGTCTTTAATAGTTCCTAACTTTTATTATATAAGTATTTCATAATTTATTTGGCCATTCCCCTACTGTTGAAAATTGAGGTCGTTTCCAAATTTTTATTATTACAAATAATCCTGTCATGAACATCTTTTTATGTATACCCATGATGGCGTTTCTGATTATTCTCATAGGTTAAATTCTAAGAAGTGAAATTGACAAATCAAGAGGTTGATTTTTTTATATCTATTGTCTAACAATGTTCCAGTTTTGTACAAATTTGCACTCTAATTAACAGTATAAGAGCATTTATATGTCTTATACTGTAATTGTAATAAATTAAAATTTTGCTTGAGTGTAACAATAATTGATTGTTCATTTGCATGTATTTAATTATGAGGTCAGGCCTTTGTTAATATGTTTATTGCTTTTTAGTTATATTCTCTTCTGTGGATTGTCTGTTCACACTCGTCTATTTTCCTACTTAGTTCTTATTGATTTATGTGAACTTTATATGTTATGGATAAAAACCTTTTTTCTGTGCTTATATTTTTGGAAAAATGTTCCCCCAAACAGTTTCTTTAATTCTGTAAATGTAAGTGATTTTTCTGTCATAATTCTTTTAAAAAAATCTTACATAGTTAAATATATCAATATGTCCTTTGTAATTTCTTCCATTGTATTTATATTTAGAACTTCTATTTACATATTTACTTAACATTTCTTCTTATTGGTTTTTATTATTTAAAATCACTTCATAGACTATTTAGCTTTACAGTGTTAACTGGCTTAAGTTTTTTCTTCATATAGTCAAGCAATGTTTCTAATATTACTACCTAATCCTTTCCTTCTGACTGACATCAAAAAATCACCTTTATCATATTGTAAATTCTATAGAGCTGTGATTCTCAACTTGAGTATACACTGGAATCACCTGGGCAACTAAAACCCACTGGCGTCTGGACCTCATTCTAAGAGCTTCTGACTTAATCGTTATGAGGTGTAGCCTGGATGGGGAGGGCATAGGTGAAAGGCTTTCCAGGTGATTATAATGTGCAGCCAAGGTTAGTAACTGCTGCTAAAGTGTTTAGGACCTGGTTCTCATCCACAGGCAAGCATCTGAATCTAAACGGAGTTTTAAGCAACTCCGGCCCACCCTGGAGATTTTTATTCAGTTCCTCTGGGAAAGGGTCTAAGTAAATGGAGTTTTAAAATTCTCACAACTGATTCTCATTACATCCCAGGCAGAGAGGCTGTTGAGGCGTTATCTATCCCATTTCATTCATGTGTTTGGTTATCGTTGGGCTGATTTAATAACTTTGTTTTTATCGTGAATTTTAATATCTGGTAAGGCTAATGTCCCCTTACAACTCTTGAAAAATGGGTACCTATTTGCTTTTGCCAGCTTATGCTTCTCAGTCTTTCCCCTGGGAACTTGTCTAAACTACAAGGGCCCAGCACCATCTGAACATGAGCCCAGGCTCTGTTTTATTAGTGTTCCAGGTGATTCTGAAACACACCACATGTTGTCAATCACTGCTCTAGAATCTAGATCATCCTAGTAATTTTTTGAGTTAAAAAAGAATCTTACTGGGCTCTTGATGAGATTTGCATTAAGCTTCCCATGCAGTCTTCAAGGCTCAACTTGAGACTCACTTTCTCTGTAAGGACTTCGCTGCTTACTCCAACCCGCATTCATTTCTCATGTCTCTAAGCCCCTAACTAGCAAACAACGAATTAATTATTTGGCTTGCAATGCTTTCTTGCAATGGAATATGGGACTACTAGTAGATAATAAGCTCCTGGAGGGCAGGGTCTGCTGGTGTCTCTTCCACAGTTTCCAGTATGGTACTGGCCCATGGAAGGCACTCAAGTAATGCTTACCTTCATAATTTCCACAAATTCGTGAAGTTTATCAAAATCCTTGTCCATTAGATCCTTTATCTAACAAGGAAGAAAGGCATGGCTTGACAAAGCACAGAGCATGTTATTGAGGTTAGTTGTGGCATCTTTCAGGCATTTTAAGCAAAGGGCAGTGGCTGCTTCTCTGGCATGGACTAATAATGGCCTGTTAGAGCCACTTTCTTCTCAAGGAGTCTGTGAAGGGACTAGGGTGCAAGCACCATCAAGTCACCACCACCATCAGCCTTGGCACGGCTTAGATCTGGCTACTGCAAGACTGCATGTGGAGCTTGAACCACAGCTTCGATTACACTTTCTTGCTCGATTATTCGCTTTTTTCCTAAGGATGCTACAGGTGGTTGGTTGGTTGTATCATAGAAATGAGAGGTTTCCTGCTTTGCAACTTGCTCAGGGGAAGTGAATAAGGAAGATGGGGTTGGTCCCTGACTTCCCCTAAATTCATATTCCAAATCAGCCCCTCTTACTCAGCTTCATCACTAAGGTGACATCACCCACCCTTACCAAAGAGACACTTTAGGGAGTCCTCAGTCACTCAAAAATTGGGTTTAGGCATCAAACAAGTAAGAAGTGAATAACCTAATACTGAAGTGCTCTGGGTATTAGGACTGAGTTACATTTTTCCATGCAATTCCTGCTTTCCTTCACTATTCAAACTTAAGGATTGCATTTTTCCTGAAGCTACACTTTCCCTCCATGATATGGAAGGCCTCATCTTCTTACCTGTTTTATCTCCTCCATTTTCTCCTTGAGCTCTTCTCTCACTTCCCTGAGTTCATTCTGAGGAAATAAAATGGAGAAGAGAAGGAGGAAAGAAATATCTAGGATGGAGGGGAAACCATCAACAGGAGGAAAGGAAAGATCCTGGGACACTGTCAGAGAAAAGCTTTCAATAGGGAGGAAAGAAAAGATGTTGTTGAGACAATAGGATAGACCAGGTGCACTGGCTCACACCTGTAATCCCAGCACTTTGGGAGGCCAAGGCGGGAGGATCACTTGAAACAAGGAGTTTGAAACCAGCCTGGGCAACATAGCGAGACCCCCACCCCCATCTCAAAATTAATTAATTAATTAATGTTTTAAAAAGACTATAAGATAGTGGGACCTACAGGCATCATGTGTCTCTGCCAAAAAATGCACAGCCTGAATCTCATCATGAGGAATCCAACAGACAAAGCCAAATTGAGGGTTATCCCACAACATAAGTGATCTGTAATCTGTAAAAATGTCAATGTCCCCAGACGAGGTGCAGTGGCTCAAACCTGTAATCCCAGCACTTCAGGAGGCCAAGGCAGACAGATCAGCTGAGGTCAGGAGTTCAAAACCAATATGGTGAAACCCTGTGTCTACTAAAAATACAAAAATTAGCTGGGCATGGTGGTGCACGCCTATAGTCCCAGATACTCGGGAGGCTGAGGCAGGAGAATTGCTTGAACTTGGGAGTTGGAGGTTGCAGTGAGCCTAGATCATGCCACTGCACTCCAGCCTGGGCGACAGAGGGAGACCTTGTCTCAAAAAATAAAATAAAAATAAATAAATGTCAGTGTACCCAAAGAAAAAGAACTGTTCTGTTCCAGATTATAGAAAAGACACCTGGTAATTCGAGGCAATGTGTGATCCTGGATCAGACCCTAGACCAGAAAACGTCCCCTTTCTGTTGTTATGCAACACATGTGTGGGACAACTGGTGAAATTAGAACAAGGGCTATAGATGAGTATTGTCTGTGTGTTAACTTCTGGATTTTGATAATTGCACTGTGCCTATGTAAGAGGATATTCTTGTATTTAGGAAACAGGCACTGAGGATTTGGGGAAAACTTACACTCACGTGGTTTGGAATATAGACATGCCTCCAAGTTCACGCACTCACCTTTAGGTCCTGTGTCACTCCTGCTTTGGTAAACCGCCCTTCTTGTTTAACTGCTTTGTAATCAAATGTCTGTGGATTGAAACAGGAACACAGACCTTTGGGAATTGCAGATGGGCGGTGGAAGTGCAGAGGCAGAAGAGATCCCCCTGTGTTTCTGTTCCTCCCTTAGGGCTAAGGCAAGAGGAAAGCTGGTGGCCCCACCTGTGCAGAAGGTTCCTCTATCCTCCTCCCTCTTTCAGCTCATCTTGTTCCACTCCCCTGCTGGCCCACGGGGCCTCAGCTCCTTTTGTCCCTTGAACAGCCAGGCTCATTCCCACCTTGGGCCTCAGTGCATGCTGCCTCCTCTGCCTAGAAGGCTCTTACTCTGCCTTTGCAAAGCCAGAGTCTTGTCCTTCAGCTCTCAGCTCAAAGGAAGGCCTTTCCCTACCACCCACTCCACGGCAGCCACTCAGACATGTCTCCCTGTCTTGATTCCCAGCAGAGCAGGTAACACTGCTGAATGAGTCCTTGTTCGTTTATGTATCTGATTGGTTACAGTGTGAAGTTCTATGAGAGCAAGAACTCTCAGTGCATCCCCCAGCACCTGGGACAAATCTTGGCCACTAGGATCAGCAAATGACCCCTGACTCCTGGTCACTTCCCCATGGATCTCAGGCCTGGCTGCCTGCATGGCCTCAAAAGGGCTTCTTACTTTGGTCGGCTCTGGCTTCAATTCCAGGCAAACTGCCTTGTAGTTCTTGCTCTGCAAAAAGAGGAGACTGAGATTCAGGCTGGCAGACATCAGGATTGGGGAGGAGAACATCTGGCCCTTGCACGGGAACCCTGCCCCCTGCCCCCCACAACCATGCAACCCTGCCTGTCCAACTGGCTTGAGCTCAGGCTCACAGACCCCGCAGCACCCGGATCCGATTCCTAACAAATCACATCTTGTCGTGCTGTCCTCTTCCTATGGGCGTGTGTCTGCCTATTTGGCAGGCAGCCCTCTCCCTGCTGGAGGCGCCAGCGTGGAGAAAGCACTTTAAGATAACTAGAAGCAAGCCCCGGAAGTGTTGTTTCCAGAGCAAGGGCTTTGGCCATAGGCAGATTTGCACTATAGTCTCAGCTGACCTCTCTACTATCTCTGTTATTTTGGGTGAGTTGCTTAGCCTCTCTGAGCCCCCATTTCCTCATCTATAAAATCGACGTGATGATTATATTTATCTAATAAGGTTATTCTGAGCCTTAGCCCTGCTGGTTAGATGTGGGCCTGGCAGGCCTGGCATGGGCCGTGGAACCATGAGTGGTCTTGGAGTAGGGAGTGCTCCCTTGGCAGTGCTCCTCATCCCCAGAGGGAGGCAGCAGAGGCCTCTTTCCTTCCCACCCCCAAGGCTAGGGATTAATCCCACACCCCTTCCAGACTGAGAGGCTGCTTTATGCTCAGTACAGAGAAAGAAAAACCAGAGATTCATGCGAGCATTCTCTGTATCCCTTGCCCCGACACCATCTCCATTCAGTAGGAGCTCAGAGAGGACCCACACTGTCCAGCAATGTCTCTCTTTTACCAGATGTGTTTTCTTCAATTCTGCCCTCTTGGCCGACATGATGGAGGAGGCCAGGGTGTTCTTCAACTCCCCACAACAGCCCCTGGGACCAGGCCACTGTCCTAGGCAACTTACAGGTCAAGGTGAGGGCAGGGTGACCACCCCTTTGTGTACGGAACAGCTGAGGTCACAATGCCAGGACCCACATGGTGGTCCAGAGCGTCACCACAGCTTCAGGCCTGGGGGGCTTCGGCCACTGAGATGAGGGGTTCAGGCCAGGTTTCAGAGTCCCACCAGGCCTCCCTCTTGCAACAGAAGGAAAGTCCACACTGAGGAGGATCATGGCCTGCTACGGTCGAAGTGCAAGGCACGCGTCAGAAGCAGTGGCTCCTTCTGCAGCAGGACTCACCTACTGACTCAGAAGGACGTCCTCCAGGGACAGCCAGCTCCTCCTCTGAGCGCACAGCCCATGTCCTCTGCTGTGCGCTCCTCGCGCGAACCGACCCCACCTCGGACCGGAAGCCACCTTGGGCTGGAGGATGCCATGAAGTCTCTCTGGTTCAACGTGCATGCACCGTCTCACTTAACCTGGGTTACTCTGTATGAGGTGGGGTAGCCAGTCTCAGCAGGATGGTTTCTGATGCCTCTGACCTCACACTGCCCCTGTCCCACAACCACCCCCAGACCCCTGCCCACCTAAAAATTCTCTTTTCCTAGTTCTTCTATCATCCGGGAAGAGGGTTGGGACAAGAAGCTAAAGATAAGAAGCTTTTCGGGCAAATGAAGAATACTAAAGAAAAGGCCATTCTGCGGGTAGCCATAGTTTGTGCTAAAGTAGACAGTCAGAGGAACATGGCACCCCATGGGATAAAAAATCACTGGGGATCTGGGTTGGTGAAATTGATTTCTCTTTTCCTCTTATCACTGGTCATTCACTTCCTTCTTCCCTCTCATTTCAACTGCTAGTTGCACAGAAAAGGCCAACATGGACATCTGAGGACAGACAGCACAGGAGTACAGGAACTAATGCAAATTGCATGTGAATGACATCCCCATGCAGGCCACTACTGACCACACTTACCCTCCCATTTCACACACCTGCTTGGGACTATCCTTCCTGGAGGCCACTGGAACTTCTGGAGCCACCTGCAGCACTTCTGATGCATTTCCTAGGTGGTGATTTCCCAGCCCTGACACTGGTGACAGCTGTGGGTCTTACTCCACCATAGCCAGAGGAGAATGTGTCTGCCACTGCATCAGCGGAAGGAGAGGGAGTTGGGGGTGGTCACCAGCTTCCCAGGCTTCACTTTCCCCACTTATAAATGAGGGGCTGGAACTTTTCAGTTTCCTTGGACCTTTTAATTCAGCCCTCTCAGATCTGATGGCCTCGTGGTAGGAATGCCCTTCCTCTAAGGGAATTACAGTGAAAATGACTGACTCCATCTCAACATCCACCAGCCCCGTGAAAATGTGCCCCACCTCCTTCTGCTAATTTTGGCTTGGGGGCCTCCTGGACCTGCAGTAGAGCTTCCCTTGCTTGGCTGAGCAGTTGTTAAATGAGCTGCCTTCTAGCCAAGCATAGCACATGAGCCCACTGGCCTATCTATTAGGAAAGAAGGTCTAAGAGAAATCAGGGTCTCAATGCAAAGCTGCATTATAAAGTAAAAAATTATCTATGTATATATACACAAGTACACATGGTATTATCATTTGGGCAGAATTTTAACTACAGAGCCACAGCTCTGGGCTTGTGCCTTCTCACAGCGTTTACTATTCATGTTCTCAAACATTGTACACCATTGTTTTATCGATATATTCTGGCGGGGCTGGGGGAATCCACGTGGCGAACCTGAATACTGATTATTTATTTATGAAGAGACAGGATCTTGCTCTTTCTCCCAGGCTGGAGTGCAGTGGTATGATCATGGATCATTGCAGTCTCGAACCCCTGGACTCAAGCAATTCTCCTGCCTCAGCATCCTGTGTAGCTGGGACCACAGGCATGCGCCACCCCACTCCCAGCTAATTTTTAAAATTTTTTTGTGGAGACAAGGTCTCACTATGTTGCTCAGGCTGATCTCCAACTCCTGAGCTCAAGGGATCCTCCCACCTCGGCCTCCCAGAGTGCTAGGATTGCAAGCATGAGCCACCATGCCCAGTCTGAATAATGATTCTCATATTCTTTTAAGAAGCTTTTGCACCTGCAAGAGAAACGAGGTTGAAGCAGTGTTGCAGTGTTGGTATTGCTGTGGTGTGACTTTGTTCTAGGTAAGCCATAGGACGTTCTTACTTGAAGAACGCCAGACACGCTTTTCCTAATCCCCCTTCAGGGCAAAACCCCTCTGTACCAGGGCAAGCAGCATAGAGCCCACTGCTGCTCCATCGGAGTTTGGGGGAAAAGGAATATTCACAACAGACAGAAAGAAGCAGCCACCTGTCTCTGTTCTCCAAGTTGATATCATTTGGGTTTCATTTTCTTTACAAGGGTCCTGCTTTTTTTTTTTCAGTTTTAAGGATACAGTGTTGTGAGGGGAGGCTGGGGTCGGGGGGAATTTTAAAATGGTTTTAAGCCTCTGAGTTTGGCATTTTGTGATTCTGGGTCTGGCCCATGATGAGGTCCAGGCTCAGCCACTCCCTGCGTCAAGGCCCAGAGAACATGAAGAGAACATCATGCGTGCTGAGGGGCCTATTCGACCACTGGGGGCCCAATGTTCTAAAGTCCTTTGATTAGGGTGGAACATTTCACAAAGACCCAGAATCCCACAGGCTTTGCTGTCCAGTCAAACTCAAACAGACACGGCTCAATACATGTGACCTAGACGACTCACACTTAGGATGCCCTGGCTGTTTACATCCCAACAGGCTGCAGTATCTGGGTGGCTGCCCTCAGCCAGAGACGATCTTACATGAGATCCTCTTACATGACATTTTTAGAGATCTCATATGATTGATTCCTGTGTCATCCTACTTGACTGATTTATAGACACCTTGGAAAGCTTTACTCCGAGCAGAGTAGAAATAGCTTTTATCATTGGCACACTGATTACTATGCAATTTCTGATCATTTTTATCATAGTGTATCAGACCTTGGCTGGAATCATAATCCTATTATGTTGTTTCTTTGGAAAATTTATATCCAGTTTTTATCATATGAACTTCCTGGTACCTCTATTTCAGCAACAAAACATAACAGTCTGAACAGATCATTGTAAATCTCTGGCTATTTCAATACAGCCAATGACAAGTGAAAAGTCTGAGCAAATGTATTGTGGAAGGATCTTCTCTGTAAGTTCACCATGACAGGCCTATGCTTGCCAGGGCCTTCTGAGACCCAGGGGAAACTGCTACTCTTCCCACAACCAACCATCACAGGGCACCTACCATGTGAGATAAAGACAACACCGCCAGCCAGCAGAGGCTCTCCCTGCTCCTGCCAAACAGGGCTCCTGAGGCCTCCTTACTTAGCCAGTTCCCTTTACCCTCTTTGGATGGAACCCAAATAGAGTACAGTGATGATTTCACGCCTGTCTCTCTCAGCTTCCCTGCCGGAAGGTGCTCTGCAGTTGAGATTCCCTCCCCTAATAGCCTCCTGTCCACCTCTGACAGCTTCAAATTCCCATCCATCACTGAAACAATCAAACTGAGTGGCACAGTAGCCTCTTGGGGCTGGCCTTGCTGGGGGACTATGCTTCACACAGGGTCCATGGAGAGTGGAACGTCTCAGATGGGAGGGTTTCTTGGGTTAGTCCTGGGAATAGCCCTCGTCTCTCCCACTCACATTCCTTTGGCTGGAATATAATCACAAGGCCATATCTCACTGCAAAAGAGGCTGGGAAATATGGCCAGGTTTCTCCCAAGAATAAGAGGAGACAGGCTTATGGGGCAGGCAGCTAATCTCCGCTATACTTTCCTGACACATTTCATCTTCCTTATTCTACTCTAACAAGTCTCCTCATAAGAAAACTTGATTTCGAGTTCTTCCACACTTAGGGTAAAAGGGAGGTAGCTTACAAGGTCCAAAATCCATGAAGTCAGTAGCTGGGTTTGGTGGTGCACGCCTGTGGTCCCAGCTACTTTAGAGGCTGAGGTGGAAGGATTGCTTGAGCCCAGGAGGCCAAGGCTGCAGTGAGCTAGGATCACACCACTGCACTCCAGTCTGGGCAACAGAATGAGACCCTGTCTAATTAAAAAACAAAAAACAAAAAAGAAGAGGAAACCTACACTGGACACTCAAACAGAATGAAATCTCCTAGCAAATGTGAACTGGAAGAGTTAGGATTAGGGTTAGGGACTCACCTCTGTGTCACCTGAATGGCCAGTGGGCTGGAGCATTGAGACAGAGACTGGAATAATGATCTGGTTTGTCCAGGGCTTTCCCGTGCAATAGTTCCAGTCTGTCCCAGTCCCAGTCTAACCCAGTCTCATTCTGTGGAAGGCCCTGCAAACCTCCCTCCCCACCACAGGCTTCTGCCCTTCTGCAGCACAGAATGTGGGTCTGGTCTACACTTCTCTTGCTGTTCTAAGCCCTCTGAGTAGCACTAGGGCCCAACCAAGTTGCCTCAGCTTTGCCAGCCCCTTCCTGAGGGGTGGGCCCTGCTGCTGTCTTCTTGGCTGAGAATCCATAACCTTCTTCAGCTGAACCTTTGTGTCCAGCCCCATGAAGCCACCTGAACTTGATTCCTGCCTGGAGATGCCAAATGCTAGGCCCCACCCACCGAACATGGCAATGACTCAGATTGAGCCAAGTTTTTCAGAACCCGGAGATACTGACTGCTGGTTGGCATCCAGTGGGGTCAGCCTGGCCATTGACTCTTTTACATCTGGTTTACCTCCTTCCCTTGAACGTTCTGCCCCCGAGGTCATTAGGACCTCAGAGCTGAGTCCATGTGAACATTGGCCCAGAAAGTTTGAATCCTCTTCTCTTGGTAGGGGTTTGGGCCTAGGCTGGAGACAGAGCATTTCTCTCTCTCTCTCTTTTTTTTTCCTTTTTTTAATTTAAGACAGAGTTTCACTCTTTTCACCCAGGCTGGAGTGCAGTGGCATGATCTCAACTCACTGCAACTTCCACCTGCCACGTTCAAGCTATTCTCCTGCCTGAGCCTCCCAAGTAGCTAGGATTACAGGACCCCATCACTATGCCTGGTTAATTTTTTTTTTTGTATTTTTAGTAGAGACGGGGTTTTACCCTGTTGGCCAAGCTGGTCTCGAACTCCTGACCTCAGATGATCCGCCCACCTTGGCCTCCCAAAGTGCTGGGATTATAGGCATGAGCCACTGCGCCTGGCCTAGAGCATCTCTTACCTGGGGCTGTGGGGTGGTGATAAAAGTGAGGGAACTTGTAAAGCCAAGAGTCACGTAGAGAGCTGAGGTCAATGTGCTCAAGAAAACTGGTTAAGTGGGTCTCCAAACAGAGAAGCCAAAGGCAGATCCTGAGAGCTCTGGTGGAGAGACCCAGGGGAGATGAGAGAAGTGAGGGAACTGATGCTAGCATAGACATAGCCAGCCTGGGAGGTTCTCCTGGGTGACTGAGTGGTGAGTAGGGAGCATCTGGGTGCATTTAAAGACTAAGAATTAGGCAGTTTCCAAGGTGGTTTGCTCCTTTCTTCTTGTTACATCACTGAGCCCTGTGCAGGGCTGTGGATTTTTTCTCTTGTTGGCAAAGAGCATTGGTAGAATGCTCATAAACAGGCTGTGTGGTTTTCTAGAACTTGAATTCAATGGATTCTATTTTCCTCTCGCATTTAATGCCAAAATATTTTTCTTCTCTAGTTTAGGTTTAACAAAGTTAAACAATATACATCCAGATCCACGTTGATATGCTGGACATAAGATTGGGTTGTGTTTAGCTCTGAGTCACGCCCTGAAGAAACCCCTGCGAGGCATCCTGTTTGCCTCTGTGAGTGGAGCGAGGGAGCCAGCTCCCTGAATCAGCCCATCTCCGAGGTGGCTCCGAACATTGTTGCTGGAAGCTTAGAGTCCAGCCTTATTCTCTAGTCCTTCCAACAATTAAACCAGCTGAATGTGGATTCTCTTTGCAACTGAGAACCTAACTGACAGAGCTGGCCGCATGTTCCTGGTCATTGTAGATCTTTGGGGATGCCCAGGTGTGCAGAGGTAACTCCTGGTTGGTGACCCATGAGGACACTTCCTATGCAAACATCAAGGATGTCTACTTCGTGCCATGTCGTGAATTCTCAGGGTAGGTAATTTCGACTCGTGGCCATGAGCAAAAGGAAGCCCGATGTGTTTCTGTTTAAGCCTCTCATGATTTTTTTCCACAAATGCTCTCACTTGGCTGGTTTTCTGCAGCCAAACATCAGACCTTTTACTGCACCCAGACACCTGGGACAGCCTTTTCCTCACAGAGGGTTGAGGTATCCTTATCTTATCTGCTCACCCAGCATGCACTTTCACCAGCAGCCCTGCTTGTGCAGTGAGCAGCCAACAGAAGCCTGCTTCCTGACGCTTCCGGCTCCTCCCTACATGGGACTCTGAGGTGTTCTTGAGCCATGTGACAAACCAACACTTCAAGATGAACCCTCTGGGGCCCTGGACTCTGACTTAAAGCTGAGGAAGAGGCATAAGTGACATTACTCTTCTGGGTGGCAACATGTGTGAAAATTGCCCTCTAGGGAAAGACAACTTGGATTGAATCAAACGCTAGAGCAAGCTGCACTCATTTGCCAAATCCCCTAAACACACATGTGAATTTATTTGTATCTAATTATTGATTAAACCCCATTGATCCCCTTCTTGTGCCCTCATCCCTCGAAAGACCATGATGATCATCCAGAGAAACCCAGCCAGAGAAACACGGATCCCGGGGCCTGCCTGGCTCTCAGCCCCACAGCTCGCTGGCAGGCCCAGGCTCCGGGCCAGGCTGGCTCTTAGCAAGCAGCTCTAGTTCAACATGCAGGTGACACCACACCCATTCCCATGTTCATTCAGCACAGGCTTCCTGAGCATCTACCATGCGTCAAGCACTCTGCAAGGCACCAAAGGCACACAGGTAATTAAGACATGGTGCTGGCTCCTGGGAACTCACCATCCATGAGGCTCACAGAGGCATCATTTGACCATTTTAGCACAAGATGGTAAGTGTGATGCTTGCGGTAGGCTCAGGGAACTGAGGGAGCCCAGAGGAGGAGCACAACCCAGCTACTGGGGCTGGGTCTCTGCCATGTTCATCTGGACCTCATTCCTGGCCTGGTGAGCTTCCCAATACCCCAGCTCCCCAAAATCCTAACTCCTCTGAATCCTAGCTCCCCTGAATCCTAGCTCCCCTGAATCCTAGCTCCTCTGAATCCTAGCTCCCCGGAATCCTAGCTCCCCTGAATCCTAACTCCCCTGAATCCTAGCTCCTCTGAATCCTAGCTCCTCTGAATCCTAGCTCCCCAAAATCCTAGCTCCTCTGAATCCTAGCTCCCCTGAATCCTAGCTCCTCTGAATCCTAGCTCCCCTGAATCCTAGCTCCCCTAAATCCTAGCTCCTCTGAATCCTAGCTCCTCTGAATCCTAGCTCCCCTGAATCCTAGCTCCCCTAAATCCTAGCTCCTCTGAATCCTAGCTCCTCTGAATCCTAGCTCCCCTGAATCCTAGCTCCCCTAAATCCTAGCTCCTCTGAATCCTAGCTCCTCTGAATCCTAGCTCCTCTGAATCCTAGCTTCTCTGAATCCACTGCAGGAGCCAGGCAGGGCCACTGAATGCCAGGCTTTGCCAGTCCCATTGCCTGCCTGAGCCTCTGAAGACGGCACACCCCCTCCGCTCATCATGGGGAGCTCCTGTCCATGCTGGGCCCTGGGGGGGCAGTGTGCCCCTGTCATATCAAATGGCTCTTTCTTCTAGCAGAGACCATGCTCACCTGTCCCAGCAGGCATGCTGCATACCAAATCAGCCCTCTGTCTGCTCCACTGGCCCAAGAGCACCTTTGCCTGGCCTTGTCACTGCACACAGCAGTTTGGACTGGACGGAAATCTACACATCCTCTAAGACTGTTGAACAACAAGGTGTTCTCTGAGCTGTGTGTGTCAGACTGACATTTCACCACATGGGGGTCTGGGCAGCTAACATATTCTTGTTTTTGGAGGTCCTATCATTCCTGCCTCAGGAAATGATGGGCTATTCATAAACGCAGCAGCCCTTGGGTTCTGAGTATTGTCTCCTTCAGCTGTCAGTGCTCAGAGAATAAGAAAAATGGGAGCCGGCCGGGCACAGTGGGTCACACTTGTAATCCCAGCACTTTGGGAGGCCGAGGCGGGTGGATCACCTGAGGTCAGGAGTTTGAGACCAGCCTGGCCAACATGGCAAAACCCCATCTCTACTAAAAATACAAAAATTAGCTGGGCATGGAGGCATGCACCTGTAATCCAGCTACTCAGGAGGCTGAGGCAGGAGAATTGCTTGAATCCAGGAGGCGGAGGTTGCAGTAAGCTGAGATTGCACCACTACACTCCAGCCTTGGCAACAGAGTGAGACTCTGTCTCAAAAACAAAAAAACAAACAAAAAAAGAAAATGGGAGCCACAGAAGTCCACAGGAAGGACACTGTGAAGTGCTGGCCTGGTGTCCATGAGACTCCTCTCACTGATGCAATAACCTTACCTGGCCTTCATCCTGCTGTTCCTCTGGACGTCCCACCCTTCCTCCCTCTTGACCCGTCACTTCATCTCCTGAGCAGAGCACATCTCCTCCCTCAGCTGTGGCGCTTACGGCCCAGCCTCAGGGTAGCTGACCACTGGGTGGACTGCAGGACCTTCCTCTCTTGACCTTCCTTCTCAGGCAGTTCCAGCAGGAGCTCTGGGGCTCTCAGGCCCCTCCACTCAGATCCTGTCCCCTGGCTGTTGGGATGCCAGCTCCTCCCTTCCTCCCTTTGTCCCTGTTGGAGACCTGCAGTTCACCCAGCCCCATGGCTCCTGATACCAAGGCAAAGTCTCCCAGAAGGACATTTCTCTCTCTTGGCTCAGTGATAGGAATGGGAATGGGCACATTCTAAAGCCCCCACCTCCTCCTGCTCTCATTCGTGGTGTTTCCTCCCCTGGCACCTGGCTAATATAAGGGTATTTGTCTAAACCCCACGCCCCCACCAGCCCCTTTTTCCAGGATGGAATATCCCGTTTTTCAGATTCCCTTGAGCAGTCCTCAGCCACAGCTGCACCTGCCACAGCCCCTCCTGAGCTCACTCTCAGACATCCTCTCAAGAGTGCAAACCCCAGCTCCATGTATGGCCCCTCCTGGGGAAGCCCCTGGCCCCGCCTCTGCAGCCTCCTGCTGCTCCTCAACCCGTTTCCACAGCTTGGTTCATGCCAAATGGGAGAGCAGCTTAGGGGCCGGGGACACATGGCACCATTTCCTCATGGAAGGGTGGATGGCTCAGGCTTAAAGAGATGTTGATCTGTCCCATTGCTAAAGGGCAACTGATGAGGAGCTTGGGGCCTGCATCCTCTGTTTCAATGTGTTTCAGTGGCCCTGCCAGTCTTCTTCCTTGTGGGTCCTTAGAGTCAATGGTTTGCCTGCTGGGATACAGGGAACCACTGTCACAAACCAGGTAGTGGCTTGAGCAAGCATTTTTTTTGTGTGTGTGCGTGCCTGTGTGTGTGTATGTGCGTGTTTCTTGGAGACGGAGTCTCGCTCTGTCGCCCAGGTGGAGTGTGGTGACATGATTTCAGCTCACTGCAGCCTCTGCCTCCTGGGTTCAAGCAATTCTCCTGCCCCAGCCTCCCGACTAGCTGGGACTACAGGTGTACGCCGCTATGCCTGGCTAGTTTTTTGTATTTTAGTAGAGACGGGGTTTCACCGTGTTGCCTAGGCTGGTCTCGAACTCCTGAGCTCAGGCAATCTGCCTACCTCGGCCTCCCAAAGTGCTGAGATTACAGGCGTGAGCCACCACACCCGGCCTTGTGTGTGTTTATTTAGCCCACATGACTACCCTAAGAAATAAACACTGCTGCTATTCCCATTTTGCAGGTGAGGAAACTGTTTAACTCAGAAGTTAACTTTTCTGAAGTCACAGCTAAATGGGGGAGCCATGGCTACACAGCCAGCACATTTGACCTGCACCCCAGACTCTTCCCCGAGGGGCATACACCCTCCACCTTCCTTGCTTGGGGAGTAGAGGGGTGGACTGTGTTGACCACTGCACCCCGTGACAGCATTTCCCACTTGACATTTGTAAAATTGTGGTTTAAAAAAATGAGTAAATAGACATGATCCCTGCTTTCCCAGGCCATGCCCCGATGCAGGAGGGTCATCTGCATAGTGTGGATGGAGGGACTCCATCCTTTCCCCCGATAACTCAGTTGGCCTGAGGCGGGTCCTGGAATAGCAGCCTTGGGAAATGAGCCTGGGCTGTAATATCACACAGCCCTGCTCTAAACTCCAGGTCCTTGCCATACCAGTTACATGGCCTTGGGCAGGTTTCTTAACCTCTCTGAACTTGTTTCCTCATTTGTAAAATCGGATATTATACAGTACCTACCTCATAGGGTTTTAACATTTTATTTCTAAGAATTAAATAAGGCAAAGCATGCGAAGGGTGTGACACATGCTCCTTGTGAACCCTAAGTGCCCCCAAAGGCCTCTAGTTCTTGGGGACGATACCCTCCAGTCCTTACTCCTGTCCCAGGATCTCGCAGGGTAGGATGCTCCACTTAGCAGAGACACCAGTGCTTCCCTTTTTTAATGGCTCCACTCCCACCCCCAGGGCTCTGGACCCAGTTCAGAAGTATGTTGGGGTGGGAGTTGGGGGGTGGAGGAGGCTTTAGGGACAGGTGCTCCTGTGGCGGTCCCTGCACTGTCCCTGAAGCCAGCTTTTTCAGAGGCACCCATCACATGTGGTGTGTACCCAACCCACTCCCTCCTTCCCCCTTCCATGAATACTTGAAATAAATAAAATATTAAGAGGAAATTAATCATGTATCTAACCAAGCTATTGGTATGAAATACTTGCTGAAGAAAATTATATGAAGCAGAACAGAAAAGACCAAAACAGTTATATAAAACAAAAGGAATTTAGTAATTTGAAAGGTAAGAGGATCAAAATCAGAGATAATATACATATTAGGTTAATGGGAAGAAAAATAGTCAAATTAGGTACCTAGTATTAACTCAATATTTAGTTGTAAAGGAATCAAGTAGAATTGTTTCTATTTAAGACTAGCTATTAAAGCAGCACTTAAACAGGGGGAAGGGGGTGGAATAAATGAAAGATACAAGCAGCAGTAGCTTAGAATGCAAGGGTTCACCCTTCCTCTCCCCCACCAGCAAAAAGGGCTCTTCAGGTTGAAGGAAGCCGGTCTGGCTGCCCAGTACTGAGTGTTTGCCCCTAGGGGGCGCCCAAGAACAGAGGCTCTCGCCAAGGGATCCAAGTGTTCCAGAAGTACCCCAGTGACCTGCCCCAGCTGCTCCCCTGCTTTCCCTGCCTGCATAGGGATTTAGAGCAGAACTTTTCCCTTGGGCAGAAATGGCCCCACGAGGCACAGGCGACTTCACAGGTCATGTCCAAACCCACACAATCATCAGCAGGAAATCATTTTTATCCAACCACTCATTCAGTCAACATATACCGACTGCCCCTCCTTGCCAGGCATGGCAACCCACACTTATAACAGAGGATGTGGAAACAGATTTAGGTTACAAGCCGAATAAACAGTTCAGAGCAGGGAGCAGGAATAAAGGGAACAAGCTCCTCACCGCAGACACCCTACCTTTCAGGGTGGGCAGGTGTTCCTAAGAGCTGCCCCTCCATCCAATGGGACATGGCCTGTGGCTCTCCAGTGTCCACAAAATGAACAAAGTGCAGCCGAGCTTGAGGTCCTGCGGTCCTTGAGGATGATCTGAACCCACGCAGCTGATGGAGCCTTCGGAGGACACAGGTGCTGTCCCCGTACTGCCCTCAGAGCACAGCCCTGGTCTCCAGTTCACAGCGCCTCCCACAGGGAGAGGAGAAAACCTTCCTTTCTCTGAAGAAATGGAAGGAAGTCTAGCTGAGCCTCTTCTATGGGTCTGGGATGAGGTTGAGTGCTTTATAGACACGAGGCAGGATAAGCTTGTTAGGTAGTAATTTGTGTTTTTTTCCCAGAGCCCTAGGCGGGAGTAGGACCTCAGAGAGGAGCAGCCATGTGGGGGTCCCAGATTCTCAGAACATCCTCCGTCACTGGGGTGGCTCATCCATGGCAGAGCTGGCTGACCTCAAGTCACCCTAAGGACTGGAAACGGGTGTCTCAGTGGTGAGCAGTGCAGACAGGCCCAAGGCAAGACCCAGTCTCTTGTTCTTTCTCTACAGCCTGTGAGTATGTGTGCAAGAGAGTGTGTGTTGGGGGAACAGCCCTGAAAAAAGAGGGGCTCTAATTTCTTCCTTGCTTGGCAGGGTGAGCGCTCAGAGTGAAAGCTAAGTTGCTTTACTGGTTATCAAGGCAGCAGAATAACTGGGATTATCATACATTGGGGTAGGAGTAGAAAATGAGACACCCACTCTAGAAAAGAAAGTGTTTCCTGCACACTGGAATTTGTAAAGTGCATCATATTCATGACAAGGAATCCTCATGATACCGTAATGCCATTGTCAAATAGCTATGTTGACTCTCATCTTGTAGATGAAGAATCAAGGCTCAGAGAAAATCTCTCAAGCTGGCCGCAGGGCTGTTTCCACTGTGCCTGCTCCGATGGTTGGCAGGGGTACTGCGGCCACGGCACACAACTTTAGCAAAAGCACTGTGGGAAACGCAGCTCCCACATTGGGAATGCAGATCTGGTGGTTCTGGGAGAAAAGGTGTGGATTGTAGGAAAGTGAAAGTTGTCTGTCTATAAAGAAGGGTTCTTTAAGCCTGGGTAAAAATGGCATTCCCGTGTTCGGGGATAGGAAAAGAGTGGCTGGGAGTTTCCCTGAACCATTTGGCTTCCTGTAGCTCATGCAAACCAAGTGTTTGTTCCTGGGCCACTTAGGAAGCCTGCTCCTCCCTCACTCTTGGTTCCTTTGACCCTTGCCTAGATTTCCTGGCACAGCCACCAATGTAACTCACACACTGGGTGCCAAGGCTGTCCTCCCCCGCCTTCACCATCGGCCCTCTGTGTCTTGTTCAAGCCATCTCCTTCATTCATGTATTTAAGGTCTCTATGTACCAGGCAGAGCACTGCGTAGAAGCTGCAATCTAAAGAGAATAATAATAGCAAATGCTACTGTATTAGTCAGGGTTCTCTAGAGGGACAGAACTAACAGGATAGATGTATATATAAAGGGGAGTTTATTTTATTTATTTATTTATTTATTTATTTTCGAGACGGAGTCTTGCTCTGACCCCCAGGCTGGAGTGCAGAGGCGCGATATCGGCTCACTGCAAGCTCCGCCTCCCAGGTTCACGCCATTCTCCTGCCTCAGCCTCCTGAGTAGCTGGAACTACAGGCGCCCACCACCACACCCGGCTAATTTTTTGTATTTTTAGTAGAGACGGGGTTTCACTGTGTTAGCCAGGATGGTCTCGATCTCCTGACCCTGTGATCCGCCCATCTCGGCCTCCCAAAGTGCTGGGATTACAGGCGTGAGCCACCACGCCCGGCATAAAGGGGAGTTTATTACGGAGTATGGACTCACATGATCACAAGGTGAGGTCCAACAATAGGCCATCTGCAAGCTGAGGAAAAAGGAGGCCAGTCCAAATCCCAAAGCTGAAGAACTCGGAGTCCGATGTTCAAGGGCAGGAAGCATCGAGCACGGGAGAACGATGTATGTTGAGGCCAAGCCAGTCTAGTTTTTCCGTGTTCTTCTGCCTGCTTTTATTCTGGCCGCGATGGCAGCTGATTAGATTCTGCCTACCCAGATTGAGGGTGTGTCTTGCCTTTCCCAGTTCAGCTGACTCAAATGTTAATCTCCTCTGGCAACACCCTCACAGACACACCCAGGATCAATACTTTGTATCCTTCAATCCAATCAAGTCGACACTCGATATTAACCATCACAGCTACTAATGATAAACATAATGCTTGCCATTTATTGAAAGGTTTTGTTGGGCTTGTGAGAAGCGAGTGCTTTGTGACTTTGGCACAGTCCGTGCTCTCAAGGAGCTCACAGTCAGGAAGGCACGTGGAATTTCAGCCTGGAGTTCCAAGTGCTGCCCTCAGGGAGTGCTGGGCCTGAGCTGGGGTGAGGCTGCAGGGCCCTTCCTGGAAAGACTTGAGGGAGACGACTGGGGGAGTGGCCAAATGAAAAGGTGGCTGGCAGGGCAGCATCTTCCAGGTCAGGATTGTCAGGTTCTCTTCTGTCCCCAGAGAGTGGTCCTGGGAGGCCCTGACACAAGCAGGACCTGCTTCTGGGAGGAAGTTATCCGAGGCCATTGCTGCACGAGAGAATACTGTGGCAGGACATTTTTGTGGCTGCATTAACAAATTTTCCCCTCTTTCTCTTTTGCCCATTCAGAGGGGCCGTTTGCCCTTCCATCAGGGAAGGGTGAGAAGGGGTAGGGGGTAGGAAAAAAGAGAGCCTTCCAGACTGTGTTCCTGAAAGTCTTCGCCCTTAGGCCAACAGAGAGGGCTCTGGGCCTAAACAGCATGTTTGATGTTGTGTAGAGAGAGAGAGAACACAAGCAAGCTGTTTTTGGTTCCCCAGAGAAAGTGCCTTGGCCTCCAGTCCTGCACTTTATTTTTGTTTTACTTGTTTATTTATTTATTTTAGAGACAGGGTCTCGCCCTGTCTCCCAGGCTGGAGTACAGTGGTACAATCACAACTCACTGCAGCCTTAACCTCCCATGCTCAAGCAATCCTCCTGTCTCAGCCTACTGAGTAGCTGGGACTACAGACATGCACCACCAAGCCTGGCTAATTTATAATTTTTGTAGAGATGGAGTCTCACTATGTTGCCTAGGCTGGTCTCAAATTCCTGGGCACAAACAACCCTCCTGCCTCGGTTTCTCAAAGTCCTGGGGCTATAGGTGCATGCCACTGTGCCCAGCCCAGTCCTGTGCTTAATTTTGGAGTCAGAGCCTAGACTGGGCCTGGGGGTCTCTGACCGTGCGGAAGCAGAACTTGTCGGGGCCATCACCTCCCAACCTCATGCTTTTCAGTGTATTCACTGAAAAGCTTTTAGTATTCAACCTAAGCTTGAATACTGTCTCACCTCTGCCTGCGGTGTAGTCCTGAGCATGCTGTTTCACTTCTCTGAGCCACAGTTTCTCCCCTGTGAGCCAGTGAAAATGACAGCCCTCTCCCTCACGTCATGTGGTTGCTGTGAGGAGGGGTAGGGGGTGAGTCTAGCAAAGCCTGCCTGGTCCACAATTTCCAGCTCCTTCTCCCTCCTCACCCGCTTCTTCCCCATCCTTCCTTTCTGCCCCTTGCTCCTCTGACCCTGAGGACCCAAGGGGTCTAGCCTCACCCTGCCCTCTGCTACCCTACTCTCTTTCTCCCCCAGCAGCCAGCCCCAAGGATGGGTTCCTTCCCTCCCCGATCTGCTTATTAATTACCAGATCCATGTTGCCTTCCTCCTAAGTTGCAGGAGGACCTCTGAAGATGCTCTGAAAAATCAACTTGCAAAAGGCAGATTAATTGGAGGAAAGGCATACACATTTATTTAACATGTGTATGTGTCCCCGGGAGCCTTCAGAATGAAGACCCAATGATAGAGGGAGACATTGTTCGTTTTTATGCTTAGGTTCAACAAAGTGTGGGCAGCTGTGTAGAAATATGATTGGACAGAAGGGTCTGATCTAATGTGAATAGACTGAGTGGGGAAACCCAGCCAGGCCTGTGGGTCTGGATTCTTCTTGGCCCCTCTGAGCATGAAGTCCTTCCTTCTGGGCGTGGAGCAGGGCCCTCTCTGGAATGGGGGATTCTCATGACCTACAGTCAAACGATGATCCCTTCAGATCATTTCTTTACAGCCAGTTTCTACACAGCCAGGCAAGGGCAAGTTAGAGTAATATTTTTAGGTTTTATGGCTGGCTTTGGCGAAAAGGGGTTCTAGTTCCTACGGCTGGCCTTGGGGAGAGTGGGGCTGAGAGACAGGAAGGCAGGAGAAGGTAAGAGAAAAACTTGTGCTTCTGGGGCCTTCATTTTGGGACACTGTTTTCTGAACCCCCACACAGGGATCTCTTCCGCATCCTCCAGGCCGCATCTCCAGCACCTCACACCCTGCTGGCAGCGACAGACACTGGGTAAGTATTTGTTTAGTAAAATCCAGCAGTTTGGGTGGCAAAGAGGAAGAGAGGAAACAGCAAGGAATGAAAGGCCAGAAGGTCAGACGCAGCCTCTTCTACAGTCCCCGCCAGCTCCGGGGTCTTGTCCCGTGCCCAGCCAGCACCCAGCCATCGCCCAGCCAGTGCCCAGCCATGCTGCCCCGGGCGCTGCTGCTCTCCTTCTGCGCAGCAGGTGAGGCCCCCCAACCTGGAGGAGGGTGCCTGGCTCCATGCTCCCCCGGGCTAGAGGCTGAGGGAAGGGGGCGCACCCCTGAAGTTCCCAGATTTCCAGGTTGGAGGGAGGCAAGGTGGAAAGAAATGAATGCTTTTCAACCCTCAGAACAGGGTTGGGAAGGGAGCTTCGCCCTCATCGCCCCTAACCAGACAGTACTCAGCCAGCGTCCAGAAGGCAGCAGTCAGAAACAGTGCGGCTCCAGCAGCTTTCTTTCTAGCGGGGCTAAGACATTCCTCAAAGAGACGGCCGCGCAGGTCACTTCAGAAGCATGTGCAATGCAGGGAAGGACATCACCGGGGTGTGGACAGGGACGGGCGTTGTGGGGGTCTGTGGACCAGGGGGCGGCAAGGGTTCTCGGAGAAAGGGAGCCGTGGGTGAGCCTGAGGGGGAGAAGGAGCCACCAAGAAAGCCAGGAAAAGCCCTGGCTTGGAGGGTGGCGGCTGCTGATGCAGGTGGGAGGGGAGGGCGCAGGGCCCCATGGCTGCGACCCACATGGCGGTGGGTGGTCAGGTTTTAGGCCCTCTGGCTGCAGAGTCGGGGCGTGTGGGGACTGCCGAGGGTAGAGGGGTCTTGGGCCCAGGTGTCGGCAGGCAGGCAGAGAAGGGCTAAGTTCAAGGCCATGGAACTGACTAGAGGCTCCCGGGTAGGGCTGGAGAGGCCGGCGGGAGGGGCGCCCTGCATGGGGCTGGGGTGCCAGGGGTGGACACCGTCCTAAAATCAATTATGCGGGCCACAGCCAGTCATTAAAAAAATAAGCAGAATGCTTTTCTCAGTGACAGGAAGCATCCTCCCCTACGGTGGGTGTGAGGAGCTTGTTCTCCTTGGCAAGTGCCTCCTCAGCCCTGGCCCCTGGCTTCCATGCCACGGCCTGTGCCCAGCTCTCCAGTCTCATTCTCCTCTCCTGGGGCATTTAGCTTGAAGGGTTCCTTGTGGCCCAGACCCCCAAGGTCCCAGCACCAAGCCCTTCATTCTTCTCTGCCTCCCTCCATAGGCAGGGCCTGGGCAGACAGAGCAGCCCTGGACCAACCACATTTACTGGGACCAAGAGGGTGGAGTCAAGGAAGGAAGGAACACAGATCTTGGGGCTTGGGTTGGCTTCCTGGGAGACGTTTGATTTGCTCATTAGTTCCTCCCTCTCTTTCCTTCCTCCCTCCCTCCCTTCCTTCCTTCCTTCTTTCCTTCCCTTCTCTTCCTTCCTTTTCAATACATTGAGCCCTTGTGATGTGGCTGGCATCATGCTGGGCCCTGGGAATATAATGAATGAGGCTCGTTCTTTGCTCCTAAGTTGCCTATACCAGGTGATACAGACAGACAAGCAAAAAGGTCTCTTCCCTAAAAGCTTTTAAAAAATCCTGATGCTAGTCCCAGCAGCAGATCTTTGCTTTAGGGTGGGCCTGGAAATTGGTATATTTGAAAAGCTTCCTAGGTGACTCCAGCTTGCAGCTCTGGTTATGAGCCCCAGATGGAGGGGCAGTGCCCTGCCATGGATATGGGCCTGGAGCTGAGAGCCTGCCCAGGGTACTTGAGTCTGGGCTGTATTCCTTCCCACTGAGTGACCTTGGCTGTGCCTCTTTAACTCTCTGTGACTTGGTTCCTTCATTTGTAAAACAGAGTGCTATCTTAGGCAGCTGGAAGAATTCCTTGAGCTGATGGCACATGGCGGGTGCTCAGCAAGCATTGTCTATTGTTATCAAGCACTAACAAAGGTGCACTGCAGCATGTAGGAAAGGCACCTCACCTTTTCTGTAGAAAGGATGGGGCAGAAGAGTGAGGAGTTAGCTGGGCAAAGGGACTGGGGAGATGAGGGAATGGGAGAATAGGAATCGTGGATTGAGGGAGCTGGAGGAGGTGGCCGGCTCTTCAAGAACAAGAGAACAGCTTGTGCCAAGGCTGGGAGGTAGAGCTGGATATGACTGGTGGGCCAGCGGCGAAGTGCAGAGTGGGCGGGAAGAGGCTGGGGAGGCCCACCCGAGTGTGGCTGAAAGCTCTTTGAGGACTAGGGGCTGGGGTGGGGACAGCCATGCTATGACAGCCTCTCCTGTTCCAGCCCTGCAGCTGGTGAGCAGTAAGAGGGACTTGGTTCTGGTGAAGGAGGCGCTGAGCTGGTACGACGCCCAGCAGCACTGCCGGCTGCACTACACAGACCTCGCTGACCTGCAGCCAAGTGGCCTGTGGAAGCTCTACTCCCTCATGACCAGCACCCCGGCTTGGATTGGCCTCTTCTTCGACGCAAGCACTTCTGGCCTGAGATGGTCCAGCGGCTCCACCTTCACAGCCCTGGAGTGGGGCCAGAAGCTACCTGAATTTGGGGTGGGCTTCTGTGCCACGCTGTACACTTGGCTGAAATTACCCAGCATAGGGGCTGCCTCCTGCACAGCCCAGAAGCCCTTCCTCTGCTACTGTGGTGTGTTCACATTCATATTTCAGGCTTGGTCTTTCCCCCAGGGGCCTCACTCTGTTGCCCAGGCTGGAGTGCAGTGGTGTGATCATAGCTCACTGTAACCTCCAACTCCTGGGCTCAGGTGATTCTCCTGCCTCAGCCTCCTGAGCAGCTGGGACTACAGGTGCATGCCACCATACCTGGCTAATTAAAAAACAAAACAAAACAAACAAAAAACCAACCTTAATAGAGACAGGGTCTCGCTATGTTGCCCAGGCTGGTCTCAAATTCTTGCCTTCAAATGATCCTCCTGCCTCAAGTCTCCCAAAGTGCTGGGATTATAGGCATGAGCCATTGGGCCTGGCCCAGGGTTGGTTTTCAATAGCAAATGACGGGGCAGGGAGAGACAGAGAGAGAAGCACCCTTTCAGAGGATAACTGGTCATGACTTTACTCTTTTTGCCACATCACTTTCTCTCTGTGGCCTCTATTTCTATCTCCTCTGCACCCCTATTCGAAGACCTCAATAGAAAAAATGGGTGTAAGTCAGGATAGAATACAAATAAAATTTGGAAATTTCCTTTCTTTCCAATTAGGGATTTGGGGGAAGGAGAAAAAGAAAGGGAGCCAAGAGGGAAAGACAGGCTGGGGTTGGGGGGATGCATGTGTACCTATGCAGAAGCAAGAGCAGAATTCACTGTCTTCTTCTCATGAAGCACAGGTGGATGGTTAGGGTCTCAGAACTGGGCAGGAGGGGAGCGGCCACCCTCTGGGAGATCCCCTGCTTCCCGCTAAGTGGGCAGTGGGAGCCAACTCTTCGGGCATCTTTGCGGGAAATCCACCATCGGTACGCCATGCGCAAGGCTCCAGCTGTTGGAGAACAGCAGCCCCCTCCTTGTGCTCCACCGGGCCCCTCTCTGTCCTGGCTGCCGGTGCCTCCGACTCCTGTCTCGTTGCTGTTGGGAAGATCATACGTGGGCTGGTTGTGGCGTGCACAGCACTTGCCCGGTAAGAGTGTCACTTCCTGCTTCTCCCTCTGTCAGCCAAGGCTCAGTCCAACTCTGTGCCATCCTCACCTCTCAAATAGGGTTATGGAGGACCAACCTCAACATGTGCCCAACATGGCCACGTGGTGCCTGCCCCGGGACCTTGAGAAGTAGCAGGTGGTGGCTGCCTAGATTTAAATGCTGGGTTCCCAAGGGAGTAAGGAGATTCCCAGGGGTGGTGAGTGTGCCTGGGACCAGGAGGCCTGCAAAGGGAGGGGTGTGCGTATGGCGTTGTCTCCCGCTCCCCACACTGTCCCCACACTCCACCAAGATGGGTCCTGACCTCTCTCCAGCTCTGCACCTCTGCTGCTAGCATGTGGGGTCAAGTCAGCGCTGTCTCTCCTCTGGGTCTGCCCTTGACCCCTAAAATCTGTTCTCTACACAGAGTGAGCTTTTAAAAAGGTAAATCAGGTCACTTCCCTGTAAACAAAAGAATCAGGAGGACCTGGCAGCACTTAGAATCCTGTCCTCCTTTAGCCATCAGGCCTCGCCTCCCCTCTTCGGCCTCATCTCCTACTCCTGTCCCAGCCACATGAATTCCTTTGGCTCCTTCTCACTGCAGAACCTTTGTCGTGGCTGTGCTTGGGCAGCTCCTCCCAGCTCTCTACAAGATTTGCTCCTTCTCATATTCTCTTCAAGAGCAAGGACTCCGCTTGTCTTATTTCTGCCATTTTTTCCCAGGGTGTAGAATAGCATCTGCGACACAATAGGTGCCCAGTATTTATTGAATGGATTGAATCGATGTGGAAAGGGATGGACCAGCCTGTCTGCCCCTGAGCTAGGTTTTCCCGGCTATAACCGGACAGCTCCTGCCTGCAGAGGATCCTGGGCCTCCCCATAACTCGTGGTCTGTTTCTGTTTTACAGACCCTGACGTCGGGCACCTCATCTCCACGAAGCCCTCTCTCAGCCTGACCACCTCTCCAAAGCCAGGTACATACCTGCTCCCCATTCCCTTTTCTGGGAATTTGGCTTGTTTTGCCTTGGATCTCTCCACCAAGACCAGCCAGCAGGATCTCCACCCCCGCGTCCCCTCTGTTCCCCTGATTTCTGCCTGGCTGTCCGGGAGGGATTTCCAGAATTTGCTGCCCCCTGGCTGAACCCCATGGGGAGAATCAATGTCCTTATTTTTATTTTTTATTTTTTATTTTTTTAAGACACGGATGGTCTCACTCTGTCTCCCAGGCTGGAGTACAGTGGCACACTCACAGCTCACCCGACATTCCCGGTGGCTGATCCTCCTGCCTCAGCCTCCTGAGTAGCTGGTACTACAGGCACATGCCACCATGCCCAGCTAATTTTTTGTATTTTTAGTAGAGATGGGGTTTTGCCATGTTGCTCAGGCTGGTCTCGAACTCCTGGGCTCTAGTGATCCACCTGCCTGGGCCTCCCAAAGTGCTGGGATTACAGGTATGAGCCACCGAGCCGGCCATTGTCTTTATTATTCTGATGGGCCCAGAGGGGAGGGTGACTGGCTCAAGGTCTCCAATCACAGACTAGAATCAGACAGTGGATGGGCCCTTGGCTGCAGCCCAGCTCTCACTCTGGGGTTGGGGACAGGGTGGTTCCTTTTCACAGCCCAAGTACCTGCTCATCCATCTAGGGGTGGGGCGGCTTCTCTGAAATAGTCCCCTCTGGTATTACTGCATTGGTGTCTTTTAAAAAGTTTCTTCCTATCTGATATGGAGAAGATCTATGACAGAGGCAATATACTCACTCAATCTGCTCTGTAGAGTGGGTTTTCTGCATGGTATGGAGTACAGAGTTGTAGAGTGAAGATGGCGTGGGCTTCCCATGTTCGAATCTCTAGTATGGCCTGAGTTCGGGCAGGTTGTTGCCTCCCTGAGCCTCCTTTTCCTCATCTGTGAACTGAGGCTAATGACACCAACTTCTCAGGATGGTAGTGGGGTTTTCAAAGATGACACAGGCCACATGCATAGCTCAGGGCTGGCACATACTAGGGGTTTAATCAAGAGTAACTTTAAAAAATCTGTTTAGATAGGGAAAATGTTAGGGAAATTGGAGGCAAATCTTGATGGGCTTAGGTGAAAGGCTCATGTCCGAGTTTGGGAGGCTCCATTTGAATCTGAGGATGTGACTCCCGACTCAGCAAACAGGAGTGTTTCATCTTCCGGGCCTCCGGAATCAATGCCTCAGGTCAAGTCCCAGCCACTCACGTCGTTGGCAATCTTCCATTGTCTGGAATCTCAGATGTGTGGGCTTATGAGCTGCACCGGCGATGGGCAGGGTAGGCTGGGCCTGTCCTACCTCAGGACCTGGCCCAGTCCAGCCTCAGGCAGGGACTGGCAGTGGTGGTTGTGGGAGGATAGCATCTCAGTCTGTCTGGGCTCCCCAGAAGGCAAGGCCACTGAGCCTGCTCTGCCTCCTGTCCACCAGGCCCATCCCTCCAGGCTGGCCTCTTCTCCCTGGCTCTCCAGGCACGGTGAGTCTAGGAACATCGCACAGTTCATCTATTCTGCTCAGCCCTGGATTCGCCCGAGAGCCAGTGGGGGCAGGCACCGCCCCTAGAAATCACACTGGAGGGTGGCCCCAAACCAAGATTGTTCTGTCTTCCTCATAATCTCCCCCGAAATGGTCACTACCATCTTGCCAAGTGCTTACTATTAATATATCACTGTGCTAAACCATTTGCATATGTGATTTCATGTAATCCTGACCTTAGGTACTATTATTTTCCCATTGTATAGATGAAGAAATTAGGACTTAAACTGAACTTGTGAGGCCATATAGCTACAAGAACTCTTAAGCTCTGCTTTCCCTAATGTTTCCCCCACCTGCTGCTATACTATCTCATCCATTCTTCCATCCTGGTATTTAGTCTACCTATAAAACTGTTGTTTTGATCAAATCTAATACTCAAGGACCAGGGACAAGGGCCCATGTCAGACCAAAATTCTATCCCCAAGGGTGATGAAGGCTGGGCTGTCAGAGACCCAGGCCCTCAGGCCAGTGATCTCCACATTCTTTGACCCCAGCTGTGGTCCAGATCAGTGGTCAGACCTTCATGCGATTTGACCAAGTGATGACATGGTCCTCGGCCCTGCTGTACTGCCGCAGCCACCACACGGATCTGGCCGACCTGCAGATGGTGACGGATGAGACAGGCAAGGAGGCCTTGAGATCCATCATGAGTGAGACTGAAGCCTGGATTGGCCTCTACCTCAATGCAAACTCCGGATCTCTGAGCTGGTCCAGTGACCTGGGGGCCAGCATCCCCTCCTGGCTGCAGGTGCCGATGATGGTGAGAGGACTGTGCACAGCTCTTGGCATCTATATGACCTACTCCCCAAAAGTGTACTCAGTGAACTGCTCTTCCCTGCTGCCCTTCTTCTGCTTCTATGGTGAGTGAGAGTCTGCTCTTGCTGGCCCTCGGCCCATTGAGGATAGAATGAGATGGGAAATGGGTTTACTTGGCAGCAGATGACATTGAGGATAGACCCAAGGAAGCACTTCCAGACTCTGAGGGGTAACTGAGTTCTGGAGCAGGCTCCTGAGATCCTTGCACTATAAACTTGTGAGGAAGTTGTATTATTTTAATTCTGGGAATCTTTAAATAATGGAACGGATTCCATCCAGCCTTAGGGCAGTGGCAATTAGCAAGAGCAATGCGTTATTGGACAATGAAGTTAAGAGTCTGGGCTTTGGAATCAGACTTTACAGAAATAAGGTGGGCAGCATCTCGGAGCCTCCTTTTCCTCATCTCTGAAATACACTGAACAAAATGAATTGGTGGCACCCATCTCATAGGATGTCTTTGAGAGCTGAATGAGAAAGTGAATGTAAGGGGCAGAGTAGAAACTCTGGCACAGAGTGGGCCCCGGTGGACGGGAGCCATTGTCCTTGTTCTGTCCCTGTGAATGCATGGGATCCCAAACCTGCCTGGTGCCCACATCCTGTGTGATGGGCGTCCTTCTGCCTTGCCCTTTCCTTCTCTCCTTCCTCCCTTCCTCATTCCCCACCTCTCTCTTTTTTGTAAGTTTTGTTGAGATATAATTCCCATCTTAAAATTTACCTTATTTTTTATTTAGTTAAATTAATTAATTAATTAATTTTTGAGACAGAGTCTTGCTCTGTCGCCCAGGCTGGAGTGCAGTGGTCCTCAGCTCACTGCAGCCTCCACCTCCTGGGTTCAAGCAATTCTCACGCTTCAGCCTCCCAAGTAGCTGGGGTTACAGGTGCCCACTACCACGCCTGACTAATTTTTGTATTTTTGGTAGAGACGGGGTTTTGCCATGTTAGCCAGGCTGGTCTTGAACTCCTGACCTCAAGTGATCCACCCGCCTTGGCCTCCCAAGGTGTTGGAATTACAGGCATGAGCCACCGCACCCAGCCAAAATTTACCTTTTTAAAGGGTACAACGCAGTGGCTTTTAGAATATTCACAAGGTTGTCCAACTATCATCACTAATCTGATTTTAGGACATTTTCATCACCGCCCCCCCCACCTCAAAGAAACCCCTTACCCGGTAGAAGTCACTCCCTCTCCGCCCCACCGGCAACCACAAACCTATTTTCTGTTTCTGTGGATTTGCTTGTCCTTGGCTGTTTCTTTTTGTGTTTTGGATTTGATGAGACGCATGATCCTTATCCTTAAAGATGCTCTTCCTCCCTGAGGAGCTGCTTGCTGTGAGGATTAGAGATGGTGAATGTGTCTCCTGCAGGGATTGGCACACGGTAGATGTACAATAACTGCGCCCTCCTGAGTTTGGCTACCATGATGGGCAACCAAATGCGGGGCCATCAGAGCCTGGGGTGGCCACTCACCTGCTGGGTGTTGCAGACCCTGCCCTCACACTCACTCTGTTTTCTTGCAGACTCCTCCACTGGACACCGGGCATCAGCAGAGTTGCCTCCACTCTTCCACACTTCCCCCACAGAAATGACAGAGGAAACAACTCCCAGGCCAGGCAGAGGTGCTTTGAGCCTGCCCTTGGCTGGATCTGGGTCTTCAGGGTCTGGGGAAGTGGCAAGGCTGGCTTGCAGGCCCCATAAGCCCCTCTTAGAAGGGCCAGTGTATGCCTAGAAAAGGGGTGAGCTAAGGGGGTGGCAGTCAAGGGCCACTTACGCAGAGGGGAGTTTCCCTCCGCTCCCCACCCTGCTGGTCCAGCCAGGGCTGGGGAAGGAGGACTGGGCCACATCAAACTCCCTTTTCCTGGAATTGGGCCACTGAACTTGCAGCTCCAGGGCCAGGAGACCCAGGAGAGGCCGTACGGTCTCTCAGGTGAGAGGCTGAGGCCCTGGGGGAGGTGGAGGGGAAGATGCCTGAGCAGTGTTCCTGAGGAAGAATCATCAGAGAGGTCCTGAGGCTCAGCATCCAGAGGGAAGCACCGCAAAGTCCCTCGGAATTGCAGGCTCCTCTGCAGGGAGAGGATGAGGGATGATGAGCTGTTGGCATTATGTATGGGGAGGTGGCTGGGAAGGACAGTGACAGCATTCCTATAGCATTTTAAAATTTCTGAAACATCTTCACAGCTGTTACCTCATTTTACTTCCCAAGAGTTCTGAGGCTAACTAGAGTAATTGAGGGCAAAATCACCGTTTTCCTGGCCTCCTTACAGATTCCTATATCACACAAAGGGATTATTGTCTTTTTTTGAGGACACAGAAAAGTGAGGGCACTTGATCAAGGTCGAGCAGAGCCTCGTTCATTCACTCATTAGAAAGTGTGGATGGAGTCCTGTGCTAGCCCAGGCACAGCCACCAGGCAAGATTTTGGGGACACAACGAAAAGGGAAGGTTTGTTCTGAAGGCGCTCACAGCCAGTTGGGAAGAGGCTGGTGCTTGGTATAGGCACAGGCGTGGTGGGGACGCTGAGAAGGGGAGCATCCCCCCCTGTAATTGTCCAGGGGATTTCGCAGAGGAGGTGACTTTATAACTATTGGAAGGATGAGAAGGATTTAGCTTGCAAAGTGGAGTGGGGGTGCGTGGCTGGGTGAGGACTGCAGATGGAAGGAGCTGCAGGTGGGGTGGGGACAGTCAGCGCTGGAGAGTGTGGGAGCCCAGATCCTGCCGGCCGGGCCCCCTGTGAGTCACTAAGGGACCTCACCCTGAAGGCGACAGAGCCCAGGCTGGTAGCTGTGATCAGATTTGGGTCAGAAGCTGGGTAACAGCCTGTCTTCTCATCTAAGGTCTATCCTGGCACCTGCCTGGCTGCCCCAGGCTCGCTGGCCACCTGGGCCGCGCTATTGGGTTCAGGAGGCCCTCCCTGCTCGCCCCTGTCTGCACTGGGTGGGCAAGGCCAGGCGTGGAAGAGGCACAGGCCCGGGGAGCCAGCGCGCGAAGCCACTCCTTCTTGCCCTCGGCTTTGGGAGGGGTCCCGGGCGCAGCGGACCCCACAGAAGTCTTCTCTCTGGCCCTAGGGACCAGCACCGGCCCCGTGGGCGCCTCGCAGGGCCCGGCTTCAGCAGCGCGGCTCACTCAGAGGGGCAGCCCGGAGCCCCGCGAGCCCGACCTCCGCACCTCCTACTCGCGCGCTTCCGCCTCCGCGGGCCCAGCGGCCCTCCAGCCCCAAGGGGCGGTAACACCCGGCCCTTCGGCCAACCTCGCGGCCCCGGGGGGCACCTTGGTTCCCGCGGAAGGACCCAGGATGCCGCCGGTCACTGCCCAGAGTGCGTCTTCCCACCCTGCGCCCTCGGCGTCCCAGCCCTCCAGCCCTGCTGCGGCCTCTCGGGGGAGCCTCTCTGTCCCCCAGGAAGTAACTGCGACTCTTCTGGCCTCCGCTTCGAGCCCCACACTCGATGCCACCCGCGATGCCCCAGCTACTCCCAGGATAGCAGCACCCCCTGGGTCTGCCACATCCAGCCGGGGCCTCGGCTCCCAGGCTCAAGGGAGCTCTCTGGGGACCAAAGAAAGCATCTCGGACTCATTTGGCTTAGGGAGCCCAGCCGTGACCCAGAGGACAACTGCACCCCCTGACTCTGCAGCCCTGAGCCAAGACACCCGCCCAGAGGCAGCTGGGAGCTGGCCAGGGCCCCAAACAGGTGCCTGTCTGCGTCGCTGGAAATTAGGACCTCCACCCCAGGCAGGCCCAAGCATCTTGGGGAGTTCCTCTCTTGGGGCGACCAGGCCTGGCTTCCATGAGTAGGGTGCAGGCCAGGGAGTTGAGGATGAGAGGTGGGGTGTGGTGTGGGCGCGTTGTGTGCTGGGCCACAGTCTCCCCACTCCGGCTGCATTCCAGCGCATCCTACAGGGGTCCTGTCTGGCCAGAGCCAGCTCACTGTCTCGTCCTCCCTGGGTAATTTAGGATGGAAATGGAGGTGAAGTGGGGTGATCTGGGGGAGAAATAATCCATTTTGGTTCTAAAAGCAAGAGTCTGACAGTCAAGAGTTGGAATATTGGCTCCAGTACCTACTGTGTGGCCTTATGCAAGTTTCCTAACTTCTCTGAACCTTATTTTTCTCATCTCTCAGTGCCTGGCATCTGGCAGACACTCAATAAATGGTAGTTATTACCATTTTAATCTCAGTTCTCTAGTGAAATGTTTAGTGACTCACTCCTTCTCCCACCTCTCTCCTTAATAGATGGAGCTGGCCTCATTCTCATTTTATTAATCATAAATGATTACAATTATGAATTATTGAGATTGCAGAATCTCACAGGGCAGGGGCTGTTCTGTACTTCTTTGTATCTCTCTGGGGACTAGGATAGTGCACATTGGTAGATGATTTAATTGGACGATAATTTCCTGAGTACTTGTTTTGAAGAAGGCATTGAACTGTGGATACCAAGATGAGCAGGGCTGTTTCCTGTTTTTAGAAGCACATGGTCTCATAGGAACTAACGGAGACAGTCAGGACGGTTTGGAAAATGCTGCACCAGAAGTGTGAACCAAGAGCTGTGGCAGGAAAGCAATTCATTTCCTTCTGCCTGGAAGGTGGTAATAGGATAGAAGGTGTAACAATGGAGGATTTCATCTGGCAGAAAAGTACAGAAAGTTCTTCCTGGCAGAAGGAATAGCATGGGTAAAGACAGATGTCAAACTGTATGGTTTGCTTGGGAATGACAAGCAGTTTGATGCGACTGGTGTAGGCCACATAGTGGGGAAGGGAGTGGCAGGGGATGAGGAGAAAGGGGTACACTGGGGGCAAAATCTGAAGGACTTGATCCCCCAGCCAATGGAGCCATCAGAGGTTTACAGCAGGTGAGCAAAATGCTCAGATCTGTAGTTTCCAGAAGCAAGGTGGTTAGGATGATGTAGGACAATGCTTGTATTAGGGTGCTAAATGAAAAAAGCATTATCAATGTTATGTACATAATACAGTCACAACAAGGCTGAAAGGAAATAGCAATGCTTAGGAATCAAGTCTGGAAGGAGATGTGTGACAATGTTAACAGTGACTATATTCAGGGGATGAAAATACAGATGTTTCCTCCTCTTCTGTGTTTCTGAATTTTACACATTTATCCACTTTATTAAAGAAATTTATGATGCTTTGGGTGGGGAAAGAGGCCTTTGAAGGGGTGGCCAATCAGAAAAGGAGAGACAGGAAACGTGTGTGTGGGGAAAGAATATTGCACAGTCTGGGTGGGTGGAACCCAGGCCTGTTCTGGAGCACTGGAGTGGGAAGGGACATGACAGCGAATTGATTTTACATTGTTCACAAGTGACGTTAACTGAAGTACCAATACAAATACATTTTAAAAAATGCTCAGCTTTGTTCACTGAATCACACAAATGCAAAGTTTATAAAGATGCTTACTTTTTTTTGCTTTTTGTTTTGTTTTTGTTTTCAGAGACAAGGTCTCACTCTGTTGCCCAGGCTGGAGAGCAGTGGTATGATCATAGCTCACTGCAGCCTTGAACTCCTGGGTTCAAGCGATTCTCCCACCTCACCCTCCCAAGTAGCTAGAACTATATGCATACACCACCACGCCTGGCTAATTTTTTTTTTTTAAAGACAGGATCTCGTCATGTTGCACAGCCGGCCTTGAACTCCTGGCCTCAAGTGATCCTCCTGCCTCACCCTCCCAGTGTTGAGATTACAGGTGTGAGCCATCACACCTAGCCAAAAGATGCAGTTTTAAAATGTATTTTTGTACTTAACAGTGTGGCAAAGATTTGAAAGGTAATAATGCTGAGAATGTGGGAAAAACAGTGATCTTGGCACAGTAGGTATGCCGACTGGGGCTACCACTCTGGTATCAGAATTTGTGTCAGTTTTAACATGTGCATAATCTTTCGTACAGAAATTCTACCCTTAGAAATTGATTAAGGAAATAGTAATATGAGGTACACACATATATATGCACCTTCCACACACACGGTTGTTTGTTGCGGCATTGTTTATTACAGTGAAAAGGTGGAAACAACGTAATGTCCACTGAAAGCAGATCGGTTAAATAAGTTATGGTACATTCAGTGAAATACTACTATGCAGCCTTTAAAGAGAACAAGGGAGATCTTTACACATTCAAATTAACAAATTCGAGAGTGTGAAGGACCTTCTACAGCAAAGTGTTAATCATGGGTGTCCCTGGGTTGGGGAGGGGACAAATTTGCTTACATATTTTACAATAATATATTCCAAATAAAAGGATTATTTCCATATTTGAAAAAATAAGACATCTGCAAGGCACTGACAGGACTTTGGTGACTGAACATGAGAGCAGGTGAGATGGAGCAAGGGAGCCGCTGAGGACACCAGGGTCTCTGGCTGGAGCGCCTCCGGGCATGGCCAGCCATACAGGAAGAGAGGGGGTGCTGGGGGAGAGCCTGAACTTGGTTTGGGATGGAGATGGCGATATTGAGGGTCCCTGGGTGCCATGGTGGGGGCTTTGTGTAGCTGGCAGACAAAATAAGGACATTAGGCCCTTTGGAGCACAGGCTACTGAACAAAAAAAATTTGATGAGGAAAAACCTCCTAACATTGCCCAAGCCCCACAGGTCCTGCTGCCAGGGGGGCTTTCTGAAAGATGATGGTGTAGCAACTCAAGTGCTGGGTTAAAAGAGCCTGTAGGGGTGAGTCAGGGATTGGCAGGAATTGAGCTTCCCACATCGCTGGCTTCTGCAGCAACTGTGTGCCTAGCAGTGGCTGTCCTTGCCTGTCTTTTAGCTCAGGGGCAGTCACCAATATCAGGCCACCTTACTCCTGGTTGTATTTGCAATAAATCTTTTATTTTCCCCTCCTGTAGCTGTGGCCAGTGTAGGGAGTGGCACTGATAGAAGAGATACAGCTGCTGCCACGGAGGCCCAACATCTGAGTTCAGAATCTAAAGAAAAAACATCAGCACAAAAATCAGGTAACTGCTTCTGTCTACCAAGTTCCTACTCTTACCAGTGGAGCAGTTAAATCTGGACAGTCACTCCTTGGCACAGGGCCCTTGAGACCTTTTCATGAAAGACAGCATGAAATGTTGGGAATAGGGATAGTAATAAAGAGGTGGATTCTAGTTTATGCTCCATGACTATTATGAAAACTTAGGGGACAAGTTTCTGAATTTCTATTTCTCTTCTGTGAAGGGGATGTGGTAAAAACTACCCTGCCTATATCACAGCGTTGTTGTGAGCACCCAATGAGATAACTATAAACTTTATAAACAATAAAATGCAATGCAAATATAGTCTTATTATGAGATTGTAGTTCCTGTAATGATTATGGATGGCTCACGGGCAAAGGCTGGATTTATTTAAAAAGTCAGAGAACTTCTTTAGAATTTTCTGTGGTGGGGAGCTCAAGGAGAGATGAGTATTTCCGGCATGGTGTGGAGTATCTACTTACTGGATTAAAAGTAAGGAGAAAAATACAGAAGAAACAAAAAAGAAAATAATTGCCTGATGGGTAGCCAGGCTGTGGAAGACTTCGCATTACCCAAAGCATGGGACTCTTTTTTTCAGCCACTAATTGGTTAACCCTAATTGTGGCTGAGCATTCTTCTGCTCAGCAGTTTCTTTCTTCTTCTTGAAATCCCAAATCAACATGTAGCATCTATGGTGTCCACCGGGTGCTCCTGACTGCTAAGAACTTGAAATGGAAATAGGATAATATCCCCCTGAACAGGTAGCACTTTCTTTTTCAGGGCACCCTTTTGGAATCTTGAAAGCAGACTTTACCATCTCAACTCTGATGGACCCAGAAGAGATGAAAGACCAATTTCTGAGACAGGTGAGACTTCTGCACACTCTTCTAATTCTGATCAGATGATTGGACATTGCAAGACAATCTTATAAAAACCAATATATTAAGGTGGAAAACCTGTGGAATATGACCTCATCTTGTTCCACTGCCATCACTTTGGCTCATGGTGACAAGTTGGTTATGTGGCAAGATCTTTTTGGATCTTTTCTTACCCTCTCCAATGTCTTTCCTAAGTTTTTTTTTTTGTTGTTTTTTTGTTTTTTTGTTTTTTTTTGGTCAAGACAGCACGGTCAGAGGGATCTGAGCGTGGGTCTTAGTTTTGCCCTTATCCATTGTGTAGCTTTGGGCAAGTAACTTAGTCTTTCTGAGCCTCAGTTTCCTCCTGAAATAAGAATGATAATAATAATGCCTAACTCACATGGTTGGTGTTATGATTAAATGATATATTCCATATAAAGTGCTTAGCAAATAATCTGACACATAGTTGGTGCTCAATAAACATTAGCTATTATTTTTGAGTCAGGGTCTTGCTTTGTCCACCTTGGCTGGAGTGCAATGGTGTGATTATAGCTCACTGCAACCTCCAATTCTTGGGCTCAAGCAATACTCCTGCCTCAGCCTCCCAAAGGGCTGGGATTATAAGCGTGAGCCACTACGCCTGGCCAGCTATTATTATTATCAACATTATCACTGTAGTGTTCTGAATATACATTTGTTCCAGACTTTATTTTTTTTGGTTCTTAAAAACTACTGTGCCATGGGAGACTGTGGAGGAAGAATTGTTCCTAAATACTGAGAGAAAAGCTTCAAGCCGATTTTTGAACATAGTCTAAGGACACATTTCTCAATTATATCAGATAATAACCACAGAATGTCAGTGCTAGAGAGTACCCTATACACCATTTAGCCACAATCTTAATTTTACAGACAAGGAAACATTGGCATTTACCTGTTAGTTCATTGCAATTTATTCATAGGCCAAACAAATATCACCCTGGGAATTCATTCTAGAATTTCACAAAATCAAGTTTCTAGAAAGACCAGTAATATGTGTGTGTGAGTATATAATGTATATGTGTTTACTATAAATTTTACTGATATAAAGAATGTATAGCACACAATTTACAAATTATAATAAAATATATAATACTCTTTATTGTAATTTCATATAACCAACTGAATCTTACAAAATGCTCATGATTTTGGAAAATTCACACGAGCACGTGACTGCATGCTTGCCAGGAGTGGAGGGGGGACTGGAGAGCTTTCAGTACATTTTGCTATTGAAAGAACAATAAGTATGAATGGTGTAATTTAGCATCTGATAAGTTTCAAGTAATAAGACTTCAGTGCTGAATATTAGGTCAAGAAAAGTTAAGAACCTTTTCTTTTTTTTTGGGTGGGGAGAGACAAAGGAATTCTGAGTTCTCTTATGTTTATTCCTTAAAGTCAAATGTAGTTAAGGGCCTTTTTTTTTGGTGGGGGGTGGTGGAGGTAGACAAAGGAACTTTTGAGTTCTCTATGTTGTTTACTTTTTTTTTTAATTTTTATTTTTTTAAGACGGAGTCTTGCTCTGTCGCCCAGGCTGGAGTGCAGTGGCGTGATCGCGGCTCACTGCAAGCTCCACCTCCTGAGTTCACCCCATGCTCCTGCCTCAGCCTCCCGAGTAGCTGGGACTACAGGTGCCCGCCACCACGCCTGGCTAATTTTTTGTATTTTCAGTAGAGATGGGGTTTCACCATGTTAGCCAGGATGGTCTCGATCTCCTGACCTTGTGATCCACCTGCCTTGGCCTCCCAAAGTGCTGGGATTACAGGCGTGAGCCACTGTTGTTTACTCTTTAAAGTCAAATGTAGCATATTTGATTCTGGCCTGGGCCCTTCAGCACTCCTCAAGGGGTGTACTCATTGAAGCTTCTGACTCCAAACCAGAAGCCACCTACCTTCTGCTTTAAATTGAAGCCAGTGGGGAAACTGAGGTCGAAATAGGGAATTCCATCTTCTGGTCAGCTTTGTCAGAATGTATCTATTCCATAAATGGGATGACCATGTTAATGGAGAGAATTTCTACCTCACAGACTTAAAGGACAGATTGGTGGGGACAAGGTGTATGTGGGGGAAGGCTGAGTATATATTGTCAGTTTTAGTAGAATTTTAAATTCCAAATAGAAGGGAAGGAAACACCTGTAACCAACTTACCCCAGTTTCAGGATTGGGGACAGAAAACATTTTAAGACAGCTACGCACAGTGCTCACAGCTTGATTTGGACTAGTGTTTCTTACCCCCTGGCTCTTCGGAATCCCCTGGCAAGGTTAAAAAGAAAAAAAAAAAAAAAAAAGCCTGGCCAGGCCCAATCCTTAGAGAGATTCTATTTAATTGTTCAATGGTGGAGCTCAAGAGGTACTCCTCTGTTTTTTTTCTTTTTTTTTTTTTTTAAACAACTCTCCAGTGATTCTGATGAACAATCAGGATTGAAAACCACTGATTTAGTCATCTGTTTTAGTGTTCTTTGTCATTAAATTTTTTTTTTTGCTAACAAAATTAATTTATGTATTTTCCTACTGGTAAAATGCTAATAAAAAAAGTCAGGCAGCTGGAGGGAGGCTAAAAACAATTACAGGGTATGGATATGCATAAAGGGTATACGGATGGATAGTTTAGGGCTAAGAGGACCATGAAGTAAAAAGACCGCATCAACACTTTCTCTCTTTTTGATGTTTCAGATCCAGGAAGTCTTAAAGCTTACATTAGGTCACGAACAATTTAGACTGAAATGGGTCAGCTTCGAAGTGAACAAAAAATAGCACAATTCTTGGATATGCAGTTTCTGTTTCATGCAATCTTCTCTGGATTTTGAGTAAATTTTAATTTTTTAATCCCTAGTAGAACAAGATTAGGAAGAACTCGACATGTGCCAAAAAGCACAGACCTACAACTAACACAAAACAAGACTACACATGAAACCTGCATCCCTGGATTTTACAGAATGAAACAGGGATGCAGGAGAAGATGGGTGTATTTGGGAACAATCATGTTGGGAATGACAAATGAACTTCTATTAAGAAATTAAAATAAAAAACCTGAACCAAACATCAAAAATCCTGAAAACAAACCCCATTAATCTAACTGGAAAATTACAAGAGGATGGTAGTGGTCTAGGAAGCTAAGTGGGGCTACATTTCCTAATAAACCAGATGAAACTTTCTTTACCTGTCACAAGTTATTAAAGAGATTTCAAATTCTGCAGAATTCGAAAGTAACAGTTTTATCACAATACATGCTAATGCTAGTTATTTTTCCTAAATTGAAATCTTATTACATGGAAGTTGGGAAATTCTAGGACAGACTGTTCTTAATGTTAAAATATATTTTTAGAAGAATATTCCGGCATACATTTCCTTTCTTGTTTCTCTTCAAGTGTCCTAGTCACCCAGGTGCATGCTAGAAGACAGCAATATGTCAAATATAGTAGCAACTTTAGTCTGAAATGTTTAAAGTTAAAGTTTATTTGTATTCTTTGTAGGAATATCAATAAAAGACCTCAAACGTATCTATATCTGTACATGTACAAGAACTGTCAAAAATTATTCACAGAACAAAAATAAATCTTCTTTAGAACAAACCCAGGTAATGAAATGCTGATACGGATCTCACATACGGAATAATCTAAATGCTACTAGCACAAAAATATGGCTTTAAAAATAAAATAAAATCTTGGGTTTTGTTTTTCTAAGGTGTATTTCTCTTTCTTGAAATAAAAAATAAATTATTTAGAGCTATCATTGTAAAATAGTCGTGTGTTAACACACTCTTATTAAGGCCCTGGAGATGAAAAACAAAATCAAATTTAGAAGGTCATTTCCTCACAGGTGTAACTCAGGTTAATGTGCTGCTGTCTGCTTAAGTTAATATAACTAGGAAATGTCTAAGCACCAGTCAAAATTTAACCTAATTTACTATTTAACTTTCCTGAAGGTGGTCATTGAGTCAATTAGTATTTAACCTTTTGTTGAACTGGGAATTGAAATGTTTCCCTCGAAAATTTGGAAATCACATAAAATGATATTTACACATAAATATCTGTACCCCCACAAAGATGATGGAGGTCCCTAAAACACAACTTCTGTGGAAATCTCTCTACAACAACAAATAAATCTGGTTTTAAGTCTCAAACTAAAAAAAAAAACAAAAAACTTCCTAGGGTCAAATGAGGGTATTTAAGTGGAAGATAGCAACTGAGTAGGAAAGGAAAATGCATGCTGAAATGCAGGCAAAGACTACCACTTTCCTTTCCTCGGGTGCTCACTGCATTTCCCAAGTCTTGCTGTGTTGGTTACTCAAACACTTGAGGCTTAACTGATCAGGAACTGAAACTACTTATTTCTGGATCCTACTCTCAGATCAATGATATTCAACTTTATTTCTATGATTCCCCATGGTATCAATAATGATATCTAGGGTTCTTGAGACAATGCCAAACCAAGTCAATTTCAAGTTGCTTTAACTTATATATACATATAACACATATAGTACATTTTTTAGGATGATAGAATGTCATAAAATCTAACAGACGAGAGCATAAAATCTGAAAATCTCAAAGTTTGGGAATCACTGCTCGATAAAATGGATTAACATTCAGAAAAAGGAAGCCCCAGGAATTATGTTTTGTGTGGGTGTGTGCATGTGTTGTCTACAGAGACTGCCTTTTTATGTATCTATGTATTTTAAGAGTGGGCAAGGGATATAAATATTCCTGTTTCCTGGAAACTCTGGGCTACTGAGAAGACTGCTTATGCATTCATTCCCTTAGGGTCGTGTCTCTTCCTCAGGTTCTTTCACTCCTCCTAAGATATTTATTCTATCTCATGCAAATTTCATCACTTTTGTCCTTCCTAAACCCAAGAGTATACATAATCGGGTCATGACAAAGAGAATGCTTCTAGAACTAATAACAATCATTCAAACATGAAAAGAGATTCTATTTAAAAATTCAACACTCCAACATTTCTTGCTTTTAAGAAACTAAATCCTTCAACTGACGCATTGAAAAAACAAAGTATCTCAAATTATCGGCCCCCAGGTAAGGGGTAGGAAGGCAACTATTTACTGCTGGGGTAAGCAGGAGATTTCACTATTAGACTTGAAAAAGGGAAGGAGAATGGAGAAGGGAGCCCTTCTGGCTTTCCACAGTTGATAGGAGAAGGTGGCCTCCAAAGGTGTAGCTGAAAATGCAGTGAAGCTATGGCATGTGGCTGTTGGGTTTGGCCCTGTGACAAGTCTAGTCTGGTGTCAAGCGTGTGTGTTGGGCTCAATGTCACAATGGGGTAGACTGATGGGACTGAGGTAATCCTGAAGAGGGTTCCTTTCCCACGCTCAGTCCTATAACCAGCCTTCTCAGGAACTCCAAGCTAGAGGTAACTAAAACTAACCCTCTATGGAAGGGGAAACAAATACGAATGCAAACTCACTTGATGGCAGTTATTTTGCTCTGGGACTTCCAAAGAAGAACTCTGCTCTCAATCTGGTGTACCTCTGAGAACACAGTGAAAGCCAGGGGTCTACAGAACCACAGACCCATCAACAAAGGCCCCGGGTAGACTAAGATCTGAAAAGCTTTACTTCCAAAGTCAAGCTCATTCTTAAGGGCATATAGTTAACACTTGTAGCAGTCTTAGGTAATCTTCTTTTTCTTTCATAATCTTAACACCATCACAGAGAAACACGGAAGCAGACCAGTCAGAGAAAGCTAATTCTGACCAACTTGATACTATATGAAAAAAAGCAAAAAGCTATAGCAGCATGATTACCTCATTTTACCACATTTTTCTTACCGTTAGACTGCCATAAACCCCAACAGTACCTTGGTGATAGTGCTTGGAACATGGTAAGTGCTCAAGTGCTTGTTATAGTTACCTAGTTATAATCTCCCCTCTGACATGGCTTTTGCTGCAGAGACTCAGGGAATATGATGACCTGATGGAAATGTGACTCTTTTTGCTGCTTCAGCTCAGATTGCTTATTGCTTCAGTAATATAAAAGGGGAATATGAAGCTCTTTTCTGACTCCTACCAACACTGTCCTCATTAATGGTCAAGTCTGTTGTCAGCTAGACATGCACTTTACAAGCACTTCACCTGAATTCCAAATTCCACTCAACCCTGATCTATCCTGCGCCCCACAATGTGGTGTTGTTTTGAGGGAAACAGGAAGTGCAAGACATTGCTATCTTAATCTATTTGCCTCTCTTCAGCCATGTACCTCCTCCCAGCAAACAAAGTTATTTACCTACTTGAACTGAGGGAAAGCCAATTAAGAAACATCTCCATAAAAATTATCACCTGTTGGTGGCTTCTCTTCTTAAAAAATCCTTCAGAGTAACTTATACAGATTGCAGCATTCTCTAAAGAAATACTGAGAAAAAAGGTTGGACAGGAGTAGGCTCACAGGATAACTTAACATTTAACATCTATCAGCAACTCTGAACTTTTAGCTTATTGGTAATGCTCTATTATTATTATTTTTTACTATTTCTTCTTCATTCAAGATAACCTGGTAGTAGAAGGCTGCATAATCTGTCCAAATGTTTTGGGCATTAAATCTTTCAGTGAAGACAGCCCTCTAAGGAGCTCCCATAATGCTAATAAGATACACTCTATCCATCAAAAGCACATTTGATTTTTTGGGGCTTCTCTCAATTCCCAATATAAGTAATTTTATCAGCCCTCTGTAATCCATAATCGGCACTTAAGAGCTTCCAAACCTCAATGGCAAGACATCACCCACATTACATACTTATGGCCAATGAAACTGACAATTCTCTTACCAGGTTTTCTGTGGCACAATTGAAGGCTTTTACAAAGAATGAATTAAACATGGCTTGAGCTGAGAATAGCCAGAAACAAGAACAAATCTATGCTTACATCCCTCCTCCTTCAACAAAGGACACTACACTTTGGAACAGTTACCTCTTTTTCCTAATAAAATAAGTGATTTTGACCACAGTGTGCCCTCCGCTTGGAGAGAAGGTGTAAGAATTTGCAAACCAAAACCAAAGGTGAAGAAAACGTAAAAGTGCCAAAACAGCTGGATATAAAGTGTGCAGATCAGATAAACACAGTGAGAAACTCCCATTTTAGATCTGTCTGGCAGAAACAGGGATTGCTATGAAAGAAACTGTTTTAAAAGGTTGTGGGTTATGTGGCCATGGTGAGGTTGCTGAAACGTAAGGTCCAACACAAAGATCCACCTGAGAGAGGGCAGAGCTCAAGAGGCTGGAATGCAAGCCTGGGACTTGGTGAAAAGGAGGGCTTGGTGTCTGTCGGCATCACTCAAAAGAGGGCACTATACATGTTCTCTTATAAATATTCTGTTATGGAGAAACACTCACTTGATGCATATGGCTCCCTCAGGTCCTTTTTTTTCCATCCCCTTTTTCTAGAAAAAAAATTCTTTAAAGCTTATAATTTAAAATCAACATCAACTTATTCGAGAAACATTGTTGCTTTCTCAATATAAAACAACTACTTAGATCTTGCTTAAAGAGGTTTGAGACCCTTTTAACATTATATCTGAACAGCATAGAAGGCATGAACTTTTCCTATTTGTGCAGTTATATGTACATATGTGTGAATATATATTATATATATATTTGTATATATAATGTCTGTTTAACATGTAACCTTCCATACTTCTGGTAATCAAGGTTGCATTCAAGATGACATTGCACACCTCTGGAAAAAAGGAAATGAATTCGTTTCCATGACTTTTTCTGTTCTATAATAATAAGGCTATGGATGACAAGTGTTGAAATTGGGTCATTATTGTCAGATCTACGAGCATTGGAATAATAACTGGAATGTGCCATCCTGACACTTTCCATTATTTTCTTTTTCTTTTAAGAGAGTGATGCTTCAAATTTGGATTTCCTTTCTTTATTGAGGGGATAAGGGGAAGAAGTACTTTAAAAGTTAAAGATGGAGATAAAATTACCCCCCATAGATTTGCTAGTACAATGGATAGAGTCTTTATCCCAAACAAAAATTATAACAACACATAGAAAAAATTTTTAATAGGAAATATTCAGAGATTCCAGCTGTGGTATGGTTAGCCCTTTTCTGTATGGAAGAAAGGGTGTTGATCTGGATGGCTTATGGACAGCTATTTAAATAACCTCTCCAGGGGAGAGTAAACCCTGTTGGTGATGACAGCTCCCACTATGGGGAGGAAAGCACAGTGAATGTGTGAAGATGAAGATGGTATGTGGAGACACAAATATTTATAGTTTTGTAAACTCTAAAGAGGAAAAAGAACACCCTTTATTACAATTGGGGTTAAAAACAAAAAGCCCCTGTCTAAAAGAGAAGACTCCCATCTGCTGTAGACAGAGGAAATAAACATATTGACAGGAGTTCAATAGAAATTACTCCTAAAGTCCAGTTTTGATGCAACAGCTTTTGTCTGTGTCCTCTGAAACAGTGAATCCCCAAATCAGATTAGCTGTCCAACCAGAACCAGTCTTGGTTGATCAGTGGAATAAATTATTGTTTTGTATGGATCTTGGTATTTGCATGTTTTCTGAAAGGACAAGAGGGCCAGAGTGGGGTTTTTAAACTAGTAGATGAATCCCTGAAAAATTCCTTCTCACAATGTCCTATTGCACTCCATGTGCTTCTATCAGATAGATGCTTGGTCTCTACCTACTGAACCTACAGGCTCATGTCTCGCTCACACAACAGTTCCTACTTTACTTCCTGTAACAACTGCAGTGCTTTCAACAAGAGGAAAACAATAATAAAAATAGCAATAATCAAAAAGGTAATCTACATTATTAACTTCCTTTTGGTATATTACAGTGATATTTTCTGTACATGGCCCAGAACTAAGTTCCCTATGTACATAGAGATGTGGGGGAAAAGCATTGACCTTGGAAGTCGCCGCCTTATGCCCTGAAAGACAAGGTTCCTTTCTTCATTCAGGAGTTTCTCACCACATCGCCATTGTGAAGTAGCAACATTCTGTAAACCTGGAGGGGCTAGGTAAAGGTCTGGAGATAGGAGAGTGGGTCAATTTCCTTCTGTCTCCTTCCACAGACAAAGCCCGTCAGCAGCTGCTGTTTTTGAATTCACCATTCTCCGTGATGGAAAGCTTGGTGGGGTTGGTGGGGGAGATGCCATTGCGGACCTGCATGCTGTACCGCTCCTTCACTTGGGTCAGCGCGCTCATCAGTCTGGTGTTGGCTGAATCCAGGGACACGATCCGTTTTTCCTACAACACACCAATCATGGCTTTATTCAGGCTACAGGCAGGAGGTAACACGCTTTCTTTACTGAATGACTAGTCCAGTGCTTTCTCTCAAACAGTTGTATGCATGGTGCTTCCCAGACAAATGGAACGTCTCTGCCTCTTTCTGCACACTGGTCAGGTTCAGCTTCCCCTGAGCCCAGTGGATCTGTGTTTATTTTTTTCTCTCTCTCTTTTTCTTTCAGCATAGCAGGACTTTTTATTAACAATCTCTTGGGACATTAGACTGTCATGTAAAAGTGATACCATGTGTTACCTCAGACTATGCAACACAGGTATCAAGCTGCCTTATTATACTAAGTGCTTTAGGTCAAAATTGAAACATGGAAATTAGGTGGCAAAGAAAGAAGCACCAGAGGTTTCATTTCACAGAGGAGAAGAGCATGTGATCTATGGGTTCTTAGCCCCAAAAGAGGGCATATCAGTCACATTTGGAAGGAATTCACATTGTGCTCAAAATTAAAACAATACATGGTGGCAGTGTAGAGTCACCAACAAGGTGAGGTTGCAACAGCAAGAGGGGAAAAAAGCAGCCAAAAAGCTCAGACCAAGGAGTTACTTGAATATGGGGAGGGAGATGTGCCGAAAAGGGAATGCCATCAACATAACACATGAGAACAAACAGAGAACACAGGCTCCTAGACCCATTCCAGCTCAAAGTTACTCCAGGAGGGCTGCCCAATACGGAGATTGCTTTCATTTTACTTTTGAGTCTCTGAAAAAAAATGCTTTAGAAACAATATTTGGAAACCAAGCATTGGTGAATACACACACACAAAAACCAAGGGGGAAGAAAAGAGGAAAAAAAATAGGCAGTCTAACTAAAGGAAAGTAGGACTATCTAAAATTTTTTTAATAAAATCATTTTATCAAAACATTATCAGTCTCCTAAGGATTAGGTTAGAAGAGATACCCTAATCTTAGCTTCAGCAGCTCAGTAAATCATTCTAGAACCTTTCTAACATGAAGTCTATAGTTTTCAGAAAACAACGCAGGAAACAGTCTTTACCTATGCCTGTAAAATTAAAAAGAAAATAACACATAGGGAATACCTCCAAAGCCAAAAGGAGTTTTACTACCTTAGGGGTTTTTAAAATTGACCCTGAGAAAAGCATGGTAAAGTTTAGTCATGGTAAAGTTCAGAGAGGAAGTAGCAGGGCTCAGGGCTGGTGCTGCTCCTTGCTATTAAAACAGCAGCTACCCAGGGCTGTCATGTAGTGCTACACTTTGGGACACATGCTACTGGGAGCATGCAGAGTGAAGACCACGGCCCTGGGGGAAAAATCTAGGTAAAATCACATACCACCATGGCATCAAGTAATACTTCCCTTTACTCTCCTGCTTTCTGGGGGCAGGAGGGTAGGATCCGTAAGGCAGCAGTGCTGGTGGTCACAGTTTCAAAAGTATATTAAAAAAAAAGAAACAACAACAAACTAGCTCTTGCTTGTCATTATCATTTAAAAAAAAATCCTTCTTTCCCTGATGGAGAACTCATGTGGTAAGATATACAAAATCAGCACTATTAATGACCCATGCATCTGGTATAAAATGCTTTTTATTTTAGGAAAGTAATTCATTTTAAGGATAGACAAAACTAAAGGAAAGAGCTGCAAGGCTTTTAAAAAATAATTATTATTAAAAAAATTTTAACCAATGAAGTTTACTGGGATAACAAATATAGATCTTTGAAAAGCCAATAGGTAAGAACTGGCCAGTGAATACTAGAAAACAAGAGGTAAGAGCTAAGTATGATATTCCCCCCTCCCTACTCGCATTATTAGGAATGATCTCTAAACTGAGTAACTGATAATTTCTTGAACGATTAAAGAAAAGATATTTCAGAACTGGGATAAATTATAAGGCCTCATAAGGAAATTAGGATTCTCCAGGGTTCATCCAAAAATAAATAATTCATAAAAAATTTGATTTTTAAAGGGTCAAAAAGCCTAAGAATGACTGTAATTACTTACTGCCTAAAAAGGTAACAACTGAAGACAAACAGCCCCCCTACTAAACAGCTGAAAGTTTCCACATAAAGAAACTCCCTTTGTATTTCCCCCTATTGCCAACCTCTCAAAATAAAACAAAAAAGTTAAAAAAAATCAAATAGAGACTTATGAAAGTCAAGTTCAGTTGACAAAAGATGCTCGGACATTTCAATTCTGCCTGGATTGTAAGGGAAAGCAATCTAGTCCACACCTGACAGGAAGGATTCCCATGTGGGGAGTGGCAGGAGCTGGAATGTGTAGGAGGCCAGTGCACTGGGCCAGGGCTGGGAACTGCTCAGCTAGAGAACGGACGCGGGGTTTACTTGCCTGTTTGAATAATCTCATCTCCATTTATGACCTGTAATTTAACACAGCGGAGATATCACTTGCAACAGTAACTAGGCAGCTGCTTTTGCTTCTCATAGGAGGAAGCCCTTCTCTGTTCTCCACCTGAGTCACATAGAGAGATCCTGGGAGCCACAGTGTCTCCTCATGCTCAGGGGTGAAAGGTGGCACATTCTCTGGTCTGATATTTAAGAAATGGATCCTTATGATCACCACTAGGATCCCTATGGCCCCTAAGCTACAAGGTCCAGGATAGGTGCTTCTGCCACTCACCAAAGGAGTGCTCATCCTTTTGCAGTTCCTGTTAGAAAGTGGCTGATGCAGGCCTGTGCCTTGTAGCATGAAATGACTCAAAAAGAGGCAGAGGCTGAATTCAGGGACAAGATTTTCCTGGGAGCACAGGGCTGCTGAGAGACATGAAAACCAGTTTACTGGGCACCTGGCTGGTAGTGTTTTGGGAAGTGTTGACATAAGAGTCACTTCTCTGGGAAGCTTTCACCCCAAACACGTCTTCATTCTATTAAATGATGCCAGAAGGGCTGCTCTGCTCCATCATTCACTTAAGAGAGAAGATTTATCCTTACAAAAGAAAGGATCTGATACAAAAGTCATTCATTACAAAGAATGCCAAAGGATGTTTAAAGTCATTTGCTATAATAAGATTTTAATGTATCAGTAAGCCAACAGCTGGAATTAAGAAACCTTCCTTTTAAGGACACTATAATTTTTTAAAATTTAACTATAGTGTTTAGGATTTGTGCTATGCATGGTGCAGAGGTTTTCCAAATATAGTTTAGTGGATTCTCCCAACTATTCTTTAGGGATCCACAGTGGGTCTCTGGTAGAATAATTTATTATATAGTAATATTTGTGTTTGGGTAGGTAATTTATTATATTTAACCAATCCCAGTATGATTTGATTCATTAGTTGAGAGTGTGGTCCTTGCTGTTGAGTGGTCAGTGGAAGGAGCTGGATATTCATTTATGAAAGGTGCCTGGATTCTACCAAAATAGTCCAGAGAACCAAACCATTTCAAAACCACTGTCTTGAAGTATGGACTGAAAACATTAACTAGCTTAGCAGACCACCAGTCTGACAGTGACTTACGGTTTGAGGATAGCATTTCTCCCATTCCTACACATGACACCCTCCTGGTTAACTGAGAGAAAGTCCTTACTTTCCAGAGCATTTGAGTCCTAATAAATCAGATTCCCTCCCTGGCTTTTACCTCCTATGCCTAGCAGGTGACTTCTGCTTTATACCCAGTCACCTAGCCCTAATATAAAATTAGGGGGTGGGGTAGAAATCTTCAGGAGCTAATCATGAGGCTGTCCTGTCAGCCTGTGTACAGAACCACAACTGTGGCACACCCAAGCTCCCTCTGCTTAAGACTATTACATTTTTTTTCAAGACAGGGTCTCACTTTGTCGCTCAGGCTATAGTGCACTGGCGCAAATATGGCTCACCACAGCCTTGACCTCCTGGGCTCAAGCTATCCTCCCACCTCAGCCCCCCAAGCAGCTGGGACTACAGGCATGAGCCACCATGTCTGACTAATTTTTGCATTTTTTGTAGAGGTGGGTCTCACCATGTTACCCAGGCTGGTCTTGAAATCCTGAGCTCAAGCAATCCGCCTGCCTCAGCCTCCCAAAGTGCTGGGATTACAGGCATCAGCCACCTTGCCTGGCCAAGACTGATACTTTTAAACCAGCTGAAATTATTTAAAAAGTCTGTTTTATCTCTTAGTACTAACATCTCTCCTTGTGTGGTTATTAATAGAACTCTTCTTGCTTTATATTGTTATATTGAAATTTCCAAAGTGAAAACCTACTAACATTAGTTTTCCTGACTCAATTGCCTTATTTATCCAGGCTGTTTTTCTTAAGTCTCTGGGATGATTTTTTATAGTGTGAATAGTGAGATGGCCTAGTCTCCACTACCCTTACCTCACCTACCCTGGGGGCATCTAGAAAGATTTCTTTCAAAGGACCAAGTAAGATAATTACTACAGACCTTTCTTCTGATTCTCCGCATGTCTAAGTATCCAGAAACTATAGAGTTCAAGAATCCAAAATATTTTAAGGAGCAGTGCTGATTGCATCCTCACAACTCTCACCTGACTTCCAAGTCTAGTGTGTTTAAAGGAGTGTGAGGCCCATGAAGCATTCTTTCCACGACCGTGCTTTCAGCCTCACTCTCAATTTTGTTGAAAAATAAACCCATTCCACATGGACTCTGTAAGGAAACTAGACTGTTAAGTACATGTTTAAGAATACTGGGGGCTCTAAAATATGTTGATTACTAGCTGATACCTAGAGAAGGGAGGAGGCTATCTATGCATAAAATCCTTGCTCTCATTTTTTATTTCACAGCTTAGGGATATGATATGTCATTTAAGGTTGAAAAATGCAAACCTGGATCGGCTATCTTCAGGGAAGCAACACATTCAGTGGCTAGATCAGCCACTATCAAAACTATAAAAACTGTAACTGCTTTTTGTTATTTGTTTCACCCTAAGAAATACAACCATATTTTGCAATGATAAAATAAAAAGGAGTTAGAAACACTTCTTGCCTCCTGGATTTTGCTCTAATCATTGACATGTCCCTATGAGGTGCTCTTGGCAGCCTTTATGTCATTGGTGTCACAGGTGTGAGCTACAGTGAGCAGAAGCCTAGGTTCTGATTTCAACAACCTTTTCTTTTTTTAAAGTTTTATCAAAAGATGCTCTCTAAGCACAGCACCAACAAAGAAGAGCAGCCAAGCACATTCCAAGCAGCAATGCCAAACCCTAAACCAAAAGAACAACAAGGAAAGGTACCTTTTTACAACCTTGTCTTTCCCTGGCAATTCCATTACTGTCTGGGGCAAAAGGTTGATGGCAGTGGACGTGACTGACAAGACCATGAACAGCACAGCCAAGCAATGGTCAGTGGAGGTCACAAGCCAGGCACATGCAGTGCACTTTTCACAATTACGCCCTTAGAAAATGCCCTCCTTTCCATAGGGAAAGAAGCAAACCCCATCATGCACTAGGTTGAGATTTGTCAAGCAACTGCACTAAACACGCTAATACTTTGCTGAGTAAACAGACTTCTCACCAGTGAAAGAAAGGAAAATAATGGAGGTCACACAGACACTCATTTAATCTTCAAAATGTAGCGTCTAGAACTTTTCAATGACACATTTTTGGGTACCTGCCTTGGCATTTGCAAGGGTGTGAAGTCAGGAAATAATCGTTACTATAAACAAGTGCCTTCTATTAGATTCAAAGCCTGCTTACCTGTGCATCAATTATTTTCTGCTTTGCATCAATAACTGCTTGCATCTCAGCATGATCCTTCTTCAGTTCCTCTTCCACAGCCATTAGCCTAGAATGTGGCAGGAAGGAAATATCAACATCTTCAAAGAAAGGGCTAGCTAGTGTAGAGAACAGGAAAACTCAATATCCTCTGCCCTTTTTAATAAGACACCTGCAACCATCTTTTCTTTCTTCTCTACTACCTTGGAATAAGACATCTAAGGTTGATTTTTCTCCTTGTGCCTGGATCCCACACATTTTCATCTCCCTTGGAATAGTAACCCCATAATCATTTCCTCCCTCTTCTCTCTCAGATTCCTTCCTGAGCACAACTTATTTCATCTTAAAATATCAAATCAACCAACAAAAAACAAACAACCCTCTCTTAATCTCAAGTTACCCTAAACCTGGCCCACTTTCTCTTCCCTTGCACAGCTAAGTTTCCTCAATGAGTACTCTATACCTAGTATGTTTAGCTTGTTTTCTGTCCGCCATTCACATCTTAACTCATTGATGTTTAATTCTGCCAGTCTACCCAAACACCTCTCAGTAAGACTGTCAATTACCTCCACACTATTAAAACAACAAACAGTTCTGTTTACTTGACCTGTCCATAGCATTTTACAAATATTGAGGCATAGAGGTTATGAGCATGGAATCTGGAGTCCGGGATTCAAATCCTGGTGCATCACTATGTGACCTTGGGCAAGTGACTTAATGAATTTGTTGCCTGTTTATTTGTAAAATGAGAATAATAATGCGTAGGTGGAGGCTGTGATAAAGATTAAACAAACTATTATGTGTAAAGTGCTTAGAAAGGTGTGTGTCCCATGTCGAGTGCTATACAAGTGTTTGGTAAAACTGACCCTCCCTTTTTCTCCCTTGGCATCTGCAGCACTCTCAAAAGAGGTCCTCTGGCCCTAAAGATATTCCATAAAATTCCTTTCCATGTTTCTGGACTTATTTTGAAAGATTAATTTAGTCTTGGGCATTGGATATTTACATTTTTAAAACCGAGTTCTCCTCTAAGATTTCTCAAGTAAACCACCAAGTTTTAATTTTTTCTAATTGTTATGGTTAAAGAAAAACAGATTATCTTCATAGGAAGTGCCCAAGGTCTCATATTTAGGATATTTTAAGAGATACAGTCAATTATCACATTTGTACTCAGTACCACAAGGATAAAAATGGCTTTTGCTGCCATTCCTTCAGGGTTCTGTGGATCATCTCAATTCTTTGTCTTGCTAACTAGCCCACATCTGCTGCCAGGTGATGTCTAACCTGCTGATGATGCTTTTCATCTGGCTATCTTTTTCTTCCTGCTGTCTTCGGAGCCGCTCCTCGCTGTCCTCCAGTCGGGCCTTGTATTCCAGCAGCAGCTTCTGCATCTGCTGCTCCTGCACCAGCAAGCGGCGTTCATATTCCTCCAGTCGCCGGCTGGAAACTCTCAGGCGCTCCTTCAGTTTAGTAATTTCTTGTTCATACTAGGGCAGAGGAGGCAAGGAGACAAAAACTAGAGTCACATTGCTTTTAGAAATCAGTGATTTACTTTTCTTTCTTTCTCTTTCTTTCTTTTTTTCTTTTTCTTTTTTCTTTTTTTTAACAAAAGAAACCCTAAGCAGTGTAGCTAGATGCTGGCTGTGCTGTCATTCCCTATACTGTTCTTAATATTCTTTATAATTATCAACTGGCATAAATGTTAATGGAGCATTGCCTTCCTTACTAAAATTACATTTTAAATCTTAACTTGGCATTCCAAATTCTACATATATATGTATCTCTCTCTACACTAGGCTACCATTGCTATAAGCCACATCCAATCTGTGATGGTATCAAATGAAAGGGGGAAAAAAAAACCAGATGAAGTACTTAAAAGTCTGACAAATCACTTAAAATAAGCCAAAAGTCAGTTGTCTATAAGAGAAAAAGATTCTGTGTCATCATCTGCACTGTAGGATCTCTGATGTGTCTTAGCTCATCAGACTGCCATTCCTTTGTTCTACTAGAATCAGCCCTACAGAGAACAAGCAACATTTCTATAATGTTAAGCCCATGAATCAATAAGACTTTCATGGCAGAGGTTATTGCTGCTTTTTCCCCAACTATAAAAGTGTAAAGTATTCCAGTCACAAGCACTAAACAAAGGCCTACATGTTCTCTAGGGCCAATTAATATTGCTTCTTTGCCCATTTTTGTAATATGACTCACCTGCCCAATTTTGTACTGCTTGCTGGAACATACATGTTTGTGTTCTAAGGAGCTTTACATAAATTCAGTGACTCAATTAGTTACATGGCCCTTTCCTGTACTGTAGTTGCTGTGGCTGGGGTTTGAGTACACTGGAATATCATGCTGATAAAAAGAAGCTAATTGTCTGGTTGTCAATTAAATAATATAATGCTATATATGATGACAAGGTTCTTGTTTGATAACCCTTTTACCCCTTGTCAACTTTTCCTTAAAAAACAAAAAAACAAAATCTAAACAATAGATAATATCCTTTTAACAGTCATTTATAGAGCTATACATTCTTTATCCAGAAAAGGCAAAAAAAAAAAAAAAAAAAAAAAAACAACTAAAACCAAAACCTAATTGTTACCAAGATAAACAAAAAGTCTTGCCCTAGGGTAATTTTGTCCTTGGGTGAAGACCAACAAGTTTATGGAAACACAGAAACATGAAATATTTACCTAAAATGACTAGAAATGAATAGTAGAGTGTCCTCTAGATTAAGGCATCTACATTAAAAAAAATAGTAGCTAACTGCCACCCCCTAGCAAGATGAACATTTTCCATGTATATTCACACACACACACACACACACACACACACACACCACTGACCTATTTTACATAGATATGTATAGGATGATTAACATAAGGGGTAGAGGTGAAGATGGGGGTGGGATGAGTTTATGTTCTTAGCTAGATAACCTTTTTAGTGGCCTGTCATTTTGGGATCAGAAAGTTGATGAAGCAGACTAGGTTCTACCTTCTCAGCATGCTTGGCTTCATCTAGATTTTGCTCAGTTTCTTCCACATCCTCTTCATACTGCCCATTGTTCAGAACCCAGGCTGCTGTCCTCTCTACTGGGGACATTGTGGCAGAGTCCACAGGTGACTGAACCTGCATCAGAAACAGTTATTAGCATTTCCCCTAACAGCTCACCCGTGTGCTATGTTTCACAAACAGCTATTCTTGGAAGACATTAACTGTGATCTCTCAGTTTTCTAATAAATGCTCTTAGCTTTAAGTATTATTTTACTAATGCCAAGGCTAGGGGTGGGGAAAGAGAATATACATTTGTATAAGTGCAAACTATTCTGAATAGAAAGTTGCATATATCATATCCAAGAGGCATCCTTATTCTCCCTCTAAAGAAAGTCAAAGCCTTAAAATTGTTAATTTGCCCAGTGGTCCAAATACTGGTAGGTAACAAATTGCCTGCTGAAATTAATAAATGACCTCTGCCATAAAAGTCTTTTATGCCATAAAAGTCTATTTGATGATTAAATAAGAGAAAGAAAGCATAACCTGATGGTCAAAATATCTGTTTAGCCCAGACACAATCAGAAACCAAAAAACTGATTAGTGCTAAACAAACTCACAAAGTGCCCATTTATATATCAGAATGGCAAATACTAGGTTGGTGCAAAAGTAATTGTGGGTTAAATGGCAAAACCTGCAATTACTTTTGCACCAGTCTATTTAGTTTTCATATTATTGATTTAGAGAAAAAGAAGGACAAGTGATGCTGGTTATCTTTACAGAACACTGACTTCATGATGGATTAAGATCACTCAAGGGTCCTTATACTGGAAAATTTCTTGAATACAGGATCAAAATGATGGATACTGGGTAGTCTATTTTCCTAATCTACTGAATAGACATACCAACACTGTCACCACCACCTATCTTGATCATCTCATAGGGAGCTGTGAGGATAAGACAATATATTTGAAAATTCTTTGGAAACTTCAGAGTGCTACAGAGAGGTTAGGTGTCAGTCATTACAATATTTATGTTTCAAAAACTAGCATTAGATATTACAATTTATATTAGGCTATTGAACATTAGTGCTTTCTCCACAAACAATGATGGAAACACACAATTTTTTTCCCCTCTGTCCTGCCTCAGAGAGAGAGAGTAAGCTAAAGAGAGAGTACAAAACTTGGCATGTGAGTTAGCCTTTTATAATTAAATAGAGGGATTTGTATTTTAAGGACCAGAATTCCATAATTTCATAATTGAAGGGCATTTTCTCCCCTATCACAGCCATTACATCTTAAGGATCTTTATACCATTCTGAAATAGAACTCAGTTAAACTCTAAATAAATATTTTAAAAGAAGGGGTATTTTGATGAACTGGAGAGTGAGGAAGACCAGATTAAAAAACTGATTGCAGAGACTAAAAGGCTATCAGAGATGGGTTGGGAGAGACTTTAAAACTTACACATGCAAAAGTAACATAGGGACATTTCTTAAAGGTGTGAAGAAAGATCTGGTTTAGTCGATTTACAGATTATAGTTATATATCAATAAAAATAGCTTCATGCCTGAGGATGGATGTGCATAGTTTATATAAATAGACCCGTACACACTAAGCAATTGTGAATGAACTTCTAGAAATTTCTACTATTTTGTTGGTCAAATCTTATTTTCAGCCACTTCCTAATATATCCTAGCACTTTGCTTGGCATACAGTAGGTGGTCAAAATAATAAAAATAAAAGTGACAAAATAGATCAATCCTAACTATTCCTTCTATTAATGATAAAGCCTTCACAAAATTGTAAAAAGGCTAGAAATATAGAATAAATAAAAAATAGTTATTGTGCTAGATTGAAAGGAAACAGAGGTGATTTTTGTTTCATGAATTTTTTTGTTGTAGTATGTTCTTCAAATGAAAAAACTATATACTATCTTTTATATATTCTTGGTCTTATAAGCGTTGCTCTTATTTTCCAATTAGTCAATCTAATGGGCATCATATCATACAGTTCTTTTAAATGATACTGACTAGTTAAATACACAACAGATGCTCAATAAAATATTATTCATTTATTATTCTGGATTATCTTTAGAATTCATTACTAAAATATAATTTATTACTTAGAGAATATTCTATGTTTTTCCCCTAATCCTTTGGAAGGGCACCAAAGGCTTCTTTTCAATGATTGTTCCATCTCCTTATAAGCTGGATAAATAGCAAAAAATATCTCTAGTTTATAGTCCAAAAAATTGAGGGAGGAGGTTAGTAAGTGGTTCAGATTCCATCTTGCTTAGGAATGGCCTTAGAAAGAGAATTTATATCCACTGACTTTCAACATGATCATCAAAGATAATGAAAAAGACAAAAAGAAAAAGGAGCAGGAATTCCCATTAGGAATATCTTCCCTTTGAGATAAAGCTGTATAGGGTTTCCCTGGAAAAACAGTAACGCTTTAGGGCAAAAGAGCCTGATGCAGCAGTTTCACTGATACTACAATTAATCATAGCCTGGCTATGCTGAGGCCAGTTCCTCGTTCCTTGCTAGTATTTACTAGACATAAACAAGACCAATTGGTTTCAGCTTCATAGTGTGAAATAGTCGGATTCCCATAAATGAATAACCCTTCTGCTATCAACACCAAAGAAAGGGCCGAATAAATTAATCCACAAACTTTGGGAGTTCTTGAAGAGGTTGGTTAAGAGACAGTTCAACAAATCTAAATGTGAAAACTGCAGCATCATATTAACAGGCTTGTCAATTATCTATTTTAAAAGGTCTCTTCAAATTCAAATTTCTAAGATTAGAGTACATGATAAATCTGAACAACTCATATATATAAAGTCTACTGTTTGTACGAAGTAGATGATACATGAAAAACAAAATAGAGAGGAAAATAAGAAAAAAGCAATACAAACAGAGGCTGAAATGGGTTAAAAAATTAAGAGAGTTTCTTGAAAAAAAATTTATCTGTGAATTTTTTCACCAGGATTTTATTTCCTTCCTACTCATTAGACGTAGAAGACTGAAGCCAGTTACTCTGCAGACAATGGCCACTACTTTGTGCTAAGATATAAATGGAATTTGCATGGGACAAAGCTACTGATAATTACAGCCGCCTACAGAACAATCCCCACAAAGAAATCCTCTAGTTTCTGGGAGAGAATTCCCCAACACAATTTGCAATTAAAATATGTAAAGGAATTTGCCTTAAAAATGTGCTGATTATATAGAACTTCAGAGGCTTCATGGGAGTGAGATGAACAAAGCAAGCAAGAAACAGATAAGAAATAAAAAACTAGGCCAGGCACGGTGGCTCACTCCTGTAATCAAAGCACTTTGGGAGGCCGAGGCAGGTGGATCACTTGAGGTCAGGAGTTCAAGACCAACCTGGCCAACATGATGAAACCCCACCTCTACTAAAAATACAAAAATTAGCCAGGCGTGGTGGTGGGCATCTGTAATCCCAGCTACTCAGGAGGCTGAGACAGGAGAACTGCTTGAACCTGGGAGGCGGAAGTTACAGTGAGCCGAGATCGTGCCACTGCACTCCAGCCTAGGCGACAGAGCAAGACTCTGTTTCAAAAAAATAAAAATAAAAATAAAAAACTAACAATGTAAGTTCAAAACAATGAACCAAAAGCCAGTGTAGGAAAAAAAAAAGAAACTTGAGCAATCAAAATACGGTGATTTATGCTTCAACTGATAGGACAGTGGCAGTACCAGCAAAAGTATAAACAAAGATTAATATTCAAAGCTGTACCTGGACATCTCACTGTGCCTGTACCCCACTTCATGCCAAAAAATATATTTGGTGACTCATTAATGGCTGTGACACAAAAACTAATTTTTATATTGGTTGTTTGGAGACTGTATGCATTTCCTACCTCCCATCCATCCAGGCAGCCCTCTAATCATAACCCACAGAAACATGTATTATGTGCTTATGCGATAGGTATTGTATTTTCCTAAAGAAAAAATGTTATAAATGACAACTGGTTCCAGATGAGCACAAAAAAGGCTATTTAATTTATAATATTAATAAACAACCAGCCTGAGTCATAGGCCCTCCATGATACAGAAGGAAAGGGTAAGCAAAAGAAAAAAAAAAGAATCTTTATTTTCCTTTTCTGTACAGGGCTGGGCCTAAGTACACTTTTGAAAAGCAGGTGGAGGACACTTTCCCTGTCCTGTCCCTCTCTGCCAGATCTCATGCTCTTCGCTAATCCTATTTTATCTTCAGTGCCCTTGTGCTGCCCTAAGTCCCTGAGTAGATATTTGCTTCTACACAGTATTCTGATTTCTAAAATTATGTATTTTTTCCTTTCTCCTCCCAATAAACATCTTAATTCTCTGAAAGTAGTTGATCGCAACTAGAATCTAGCACAAAAGTGATGTGAGGAAACTACTTCACAATAAGGTAGGAATGACTGATAGCCTTCTAACACATACATTTTATGCTTATATACACATACACATTTATATATAAAAAATACATATGATACATATAAAAGATATCTATTTTTCCTTTTCTTCAAATAAAAATGCTTACTAAATCAAATGATTTGGTAAAATTTTGGGAAATATAACAAAATAAAAATGAAAAATTTAAGACTGTAGAAAAACTTTATTACTCAGTAAAAAATGACCAACTAGGAGGTTTAGCCCAGGAAGTCTGCTTCCAGAAACAGCTTAAGTTAGTCATGCTTTTCATCCCTTCTTCTATTTCTGTATCCAAGGATTCTATAAATAATCCAATTAAAAAATCAAAGTAGGTGCAAGGGGCTCTGATCATAGCAGACTGGAGGCAGAGGCAGCCATATAGGTAAGTGCCTAAACTGTAAAAATGCAAATATATAACAGATACAAACTAGGATTTTATTGCAGTCTCCCTGCCCAGTTATTTTGCTGCATAAAAGGATTTGTCATAGAACTCTTTTAATCTCAAGTTTTTTAGTACTATCATTAGGTTTCAAAAAAAATTCAACTAATACAATGCTTTTTTAGGAGAAAAATCTTTTTAGATGAAAGATATATAAAGATATATATTATATACATGAAAAATTATATGAATGTGTATATTATATATTTAACAGTAGTTTGTTTCAAAGGGAAAAATATGTATTGATGCTTCAAAATGTAATATTTAAGGAAGAAATGATTAGTTTCTTGGCAAAGCTTTTTATTTGTCAATAAAAAAATTAGAAAAACTTATATTAAGATTGGATGTGATGTTAGCTGGGCTTGTCCATGTAAATAGAAATGTAAGGGATTTGCAGATGTTTAGAATACTTCCTTTTCCACCTGTGCTTCTATCTTTTTACTCTCTCCTTTACCTTGACTCTACAGGTGTTCAAGTGTTTATTTTTCTAGCTATTTCCAGGAAAAGCCACATGGGACTTTGTATTTCCAGAAGGAGTTGAGGGATGGAATGGAGAGCAGTCATATTAAACTCTTGGCTCGGAATGCAAACCTTTATTCTGGAAGCTTAAGAAAAAAAATTAAGAAGGATTAATTTTCAGATTTCCAAAATAATAGCTGGTTTTGCCTACAGATTTTAAGTATCTAATTATTCATTCAACATCATAGATTTGCTCTAAGTGCAAACTGAGGTAGCAGCTCTGCTGCTTGAAGAGAAGGAAGGGGGCCTCTGCGTGTTTGTTAGACTCTTAAGGGTAATGAGTCAAACTACATTCTGTAGTCACACCTGGGCAGAAGCCTCCCAAATTTTTCCTTTCCTCTTTCCATTTAAAGGTTGCTTTTAAGAGGAAATCTTGTTAACAATAGGATTTCCCAATGATTTATGTATAAAGAACCAAGGAAACAGATGGACCAAGTAGAAGCCAGGCCCCTTCAGCACTCACACCTACCTGCTGTGTCTGTTGTCTCTGGATTGCTCTAACTTTGGGAACAGGGCTCTCTCTGGAGGAAGAGGACTGCTGCCGGGACCGGCTCCCATTCTGCACAGGTTCGGCCACCAGGGCTGCGGACACCACTGACATGCTCCCGGTGCTACGTAAAGAAGCACTGTGTGGCAGGGATGGTGGGGCTTTGGCTCGGGCACCTAACCCACCCTGGTCCACTTTTCGGATCTGGGCCTGCCCAGTACTATTTTGTCGTGGCAAAGCAAGAGGTATGTGTCTATCTGGCACCGTGTGCCGCCTGGAGAAGTCCTCACTCTGAGTGCTACGTTTAGTGAAATCTTCCATGCTGCTATTGCTGGGTCCACTGAGCTTGAAGTCTTCACTGTTACTTTGGCTTCTGGAACTGGCAGTGCTTAGGTTCTCCAAACTGGAATCTATAGAGGCCTTTGGCATTGCTGGAATTGGGTTATTGAGGTGATAGACAGGGTTCTGGAACGACAAGGGCTGAAGGCCACCTGGCTGGTTCAAGGCTGGGTGCAGGGGCCTTCTCACTTGGGGTGCACTTTGGGGAGTGCTCTGGGTTTCCCGCAGCTGTTTGATGCTGGCCACCTGGGTTATGGAAAGCTGGCTTCCGGTCAAGCGTATAGGCACATCAAGCATGACAGATGCATGCTCCACTTGAGCAGCATGAGTGTCCTGGAGGTCCATGAGGGAGACGCTCCGACCATTAGGAAGGCTACTTTCCCTTTCATCCTTTTCAGAATAAGTCATGCTCTGAGAGGAGGCTTGCTGAACCAGCAATAATGTTTTCCCTCTGAAGTAGCTGTCTGTGTTGTCCTGGCTTGGAGATTTTAGTTTATGCAAATCACTGTGGAAAAGGAAAGGACACTTAATTTCTCTTGAGACAACTTCAACATGGCTAAGATGCCTCAATTCAGGCATATGAACTCCTCCGAAGGTTCTTATGTGGATACGTACATTTCTTTGGAAACTCAGATTTTATCTAATTAGGGAATTATTACAATGCTTAGAATAAAATCCAGCATTTTTACTTTTTCCCCAAAGGTACAGAATAACACTGTAGATACCAACCCATCACTGTCTTCAGTTTTAACCAGGATTCCAATAATTTCCTAGTTAGGTTTTAAACCTTCCCCAAATATTCCAATTCATACTTACTTGTCTAAACCTTCAAGAGAAGAAGTTCTAAGCACACAACTGAAAGGTCCCTGCAAAAGGCACAAGTCTTGCCAATCCCTAAAACAGTCTAAGCATCGACATTGTATCTACCTGTCCAGTTGACATAGCCAGCTATAAAATGGTTTTAACCGAGGTTCTCCAAGATTTTGAATGCTATAACGTACAGAAACATGAATTTCATAAAGCCTTTAGTCTTCCACTAAGCAAGACAGAAATTTTAAAAATATGCTTGTGGAATATATTGTAACTCTCTATACTACCATTCTAGAAAATAAGTCATCCCAGATCTTGTGCATTATTATGACAAATAATTGGACTGCTCTCAGGTCAGATGAGTCTTCAGTTGCTCATGATTTTAAACTTGTAAATTCAACAAATAGGTTGAATATACTTCTGCTAAATCTAAACATTATGTTTCTCCGAGATAGTGGTCAAATTCTCTCTTTCATACCTGTCAGTGGGGTCTTCAAATATTTTCTGCAGCCCAGAGGAGAGGCTTCCACTGACATTTGGACTGGAGTTATGTTCAGTGAAGCGTCTCAGTTGCTGTTGTATTGGCGTAGGATTAGTCAATGACTTGGTAATATCAGCAAGAACACGAGGGAGAGGCCCCAATTTTGCCACGGTCGCCTGTAGGAAGGAATTTTCACCCTAATTGGATAATAAGCATTGCGACATCCACCACAGATTGTTTTTGGCACAACGATGGCCATTGATGGAGGGGTGTAGGTTGGAGGGAAGGGTAAGTGTTTGCATATGGGAGTGGCAGGTTCATAATGCATTGTTATGGAGCAGCAGAACCATGGCGTCGAGATGAATGGAGGAGGCGAAACAAGGTGCGGCAGACATCGAGGAAAGAAAGGAAATCGAAATCAGGATTATGCAAGTAAAAATTAAAAGACATGCTCAAAACTACCAAACTAATGCCATTCCAACTAAAATAGGCATGCGAAGCAAACTAAATCTTTGGGAGGCTAGTAGATCAAGGTGGGGGAGGGTGGAGGCAGAACCAAATTCCTTCTAACCAAAAGAACTTCAAGATCAGAGGATCAACTAGTATGATAAACTTTCAAAGAAAAGGGATCATGTGAGAAAAGAAATGCATGCCAACATATAAGAAGGTGCTCATTCAGGAATCCAGAGTACTGCAGGGCACACAGATGATACTGCCATCCACTATCCCAGTCAATCTTGGGAACCCTGACCCACTGCCAACTGAGTTTCCATCAGTAAGACAATTTTTATTGTTAATTTAACAGCAAAATCAGGTAAACTTCCTCTATGAGATATGTCTAGATGTATTCCTGGTTCCCAGGACCAAACACAGATTAAAAAGGAGAAAGTGTGTTTACATAGCAAAGCCCGTTAAAAAGACTTTGATCCTGAATAAACCAGGCCCATTTCACAGGAAAACTGAATCTGCATTCCACTGAGATGCAGTTATTCAACAAAGACGAACTCTTTAATACTTGCTTTATCCATTTCAATCATTTTTTTATTTAGGGAATTCTTATTCTCATGGGGTCTTAGGGGTCCCCTTCAACTGTCAGTCAGTTTGGCATAGCTGCCTTTGGGTCTTTGCCTTCTCAACAATCAACAGACTCTTCTACCCTACTCAAACAGGGATAGATGCCACCAAGGCCTTTACTTGCTCAATAATGTTGGGCTACGATTCACATGAAAAGGGTTTATCTTTGGCATAGCTGCAACTTAAAAATCTAGCTAGCATTTCTAAAAGTGAAGAAAAGGTCCTCGAGAATAAGGAACAGTTTATTGTTTTACAAATATTTTAAGCACTGGAGGACACATTACCACATATGTTTCCTCAGCAAAGTGGTCTTTGTTAATAGGTTTTATTCCCCTTCAAATTTTACTGATATAGCATTTTTATTGATAGGAAAATAGAGGAAAATAAGTAGATCATTATCATAGAAAAATGACTGTCTTTTGAAGTTATTCTAACATACCACCACACATATTTATAAAGTGCCTGTAGCAAACAAAAACATCAATAAATAATTATTGTAATAAGCCTAGCCAACGTCTTTTAGACTATTTTTTACTACCAAATCTATTCCTTTTTGTTAAATTCCAGAAGGAAGAAAATGATTGGCATGGTGTATATTTACTTATTAATACGGTATATAATAAAATTCTTAGCAAACGATTAAAAATAATTGCTTTCTGTATTCTTAATTCACATCTGTAAAGAAAGAAAACAATGACTGTTAGCACTAATAATTATATGAAACTCTATGACTTGTATAGTAAAAAAATTTGTTTCATGGGTAGTTACTTAAAACATGATAAACCTAGTATTTTCTTAGCTAAATCTATACTTTTATTAGAAATTACTATATGAGGTTTCATCTTATCCTATTAGACATGCATAAGGCTGTATATACCAATATATTAGTTTCTAGTCAAGTTTTCAGATATGCACTCTGTATATATAAATTTAGAGAAATATACTCCATTAATTCAGATAATTATTAAAAACATATATTAATAATGTCATGGTTTTCTAGAGTTTCATGGTTGTCGATCTCATATTTTACTCAGAAATGATGACCATTTACTCTCAGATTTCTAGGGTAAACAGTTGCTTTCAATTAGCAGAAAGAGTGAGTGCTATCACTCTATAGTTACTTTCCAGAATTCAGGTACATTAAAGTTCTCTATCTTCCACCAACCTACTTTACCTTATCAAGTTGGGAAACTACTTCCCACAGTAAGGAATGCAAAACTGAAAGCTCTCGGCCCAGATCAATGTAACCATCAAAGCCTGGGGTGTTTGAGATGGTGTCTGGATTAGAGATCTCCAAAAGAAAGCGCTTCATTCCACCCCATTCATGTTCTAAAAAATCATTCATGAATGCCATGTATTCCTCTTTGTTACCAAACCTGAAGTAGAGGATGAGAAAATGAGAAAGAACATATTCAAGAGAGATATGATCATTTTGATTTGACATTACACAGAACTATTACTTTTTTTTATTTTGTGGAGGGAATGACTAATTTTGTTTATTATCTATAAGTGATAAATGTTATAACATACTTTCTTAATATCACTTTAATATTCTAATGCTTTGAGAATAGCTTTCTATTCTCTCTAAAGGGTAAAGCCAAAACTCCTTTTTTTTTTTTTTTTTTTAGTTCTGGGATTTAAATTTCTCTGCAATATAGCCCTCACTTACCTACCAAAAGCTCACCAGTACAAACCTTCAATACTGCTAGCTTCTACAAAGTCTCCCAAATATATTACACATTTTTTTCTTCTCCAAGCTTTTGCCCATGCTATTTACTTGCACTAGAGAAAAACTTCTCTCCTTTGCCTATCTAGATTCTAGCTATCTGCAGGGCCTAGTTTAAGTCCATAAAACCTGTTCCAAAATAAAATATAAATATTTTTAGCTCAAATATCGATAAATATGTATATTTCTGCATTGGCTTATATATAAATTATACAAAATTAAAATAGTACACCTCTAAAAAGCCACCACTTATACTAGAAAACAATCTGTTCACTGAAGTTCCAATTTTTTTCTTCAATACATTGCTAACAGAAACTTGTCTTTAAGCATCAATACTGAGTAAATCTGTGGTCAGTTCTGTAAATGTGAATTCCTTCCCAGCCATTTCTTAAATTTATTTTCTATAAATTATAAAAATATCATAAACTTACTGAAAAAAGTTTGAAACAATGAAAAGTAGAAAGAAAAAAGTGTGGATGTATCATTCAAGCTACCCAAATATATCTGCTGTTTATATTTTAGTACATTTCCTTCCCAACTGTTTTCTCCTAATTTTCTTTTGAAAAATTTTAAACCTACAGAAAAGTTGAAAGAATATACAATGAATACCCATATGCCTTTCATCTACAATAACCAACTGTTATATTTGCCAAGTTTGCTTTCACACCCTCTCTTTCTAGACAGATTTTTTTTTTTTTCTTTCTGGAACCATTTTAAACTAAGTTGCAGACATCACCTCTAAATAGTTTAGCGTCCATTTCTTCAGAATAAGGAATATCTCTTACATAAACCAATGCTATTATCACACTAAAACTTTTAAAAACATTATTCACGAATTATCTTATCTATATATTTAAATTCCACCCATTGCCCCCAAAAGGACATATATATATATTTTTCCAACTTAAGATCCAAATAAGTTTCAAGTATTGCATTTAATCTCTTTTAATCTAGAACAGCCCCCCTCCATCTTTTGCATTTTTCATAAAATTGTCTTTTTTGAAGTGGCCAGGATAATTGTCTTAGACATTGTAACCGCAGAATTTGTCTTTTCTTCCCAACTTTTTTTATACTTAGATTTTTGTGTTTTCATATTGCTGGGATAACAGTATACATACCACTTTTTATTCTGCCCTTTTTTTCCCACTAAAGTATTTTTATCAGCACTTTTAATATAATTTTATCTTCATGCTCTATATTATTAGATAGTTTTTGTAAACAGTTTGTAGTGCCTGCAAATATTCCATTGAATGCATGTATCATAGGTTACTTAACCATTCCTCTATGAAGTGATTAAGTTGTTTCCATTTTTTTGCTATATTTATTAATAACACAGTGAAAATCTGGTAACATGAGTGATGAGGCTCCCAACCCTCATCCAAATTTTAGGCCTCAAGTATTTTTTAAACTGTGTTTTTAAAGTGGTTACAACAGTATCACCTACTTGGCAAAGTTGGCCAGGTTCTGAATGACCTTGGCAATAAGAGTTAGAGTCCGAGATGTGCGGTCATCAGGATACTCCTGCATAAGGTTGAAAAGACTGGGAGACATAATGGCTGGACACAGAAAACGGAGAAATAATGAGGCACTGATGAGCCTCTCGCTGATGTCTTGCTTGCCACGGTTCAGGCACTGCTGCTTCCATGATGCAAACACTTCTTTCAACTCACGAGGGAAAACACTAGGGAAGGAAAGAAGTACCAAAACCTCTAAACACAGAAGTACCAGTACAAGCACAAGTGATTCCACCCTGACCCAATATACTTTTGCTTAAGAGTCAGGCTGTGAGGAGGACCTAGTAGAAATTCCGGGATGAGGTTTTACCTGATTCATGGCTGAGAGGCGGTGGAAAATTCACAGAGGCCAGATGGAGACTGGAAACCCAAGGCTACAGAACTCTGGATTAGTTTAAATTTAGTTTTGCAAAGTGGGAAAATGGCATGAGGCTCCTGACTAAACCATCTGGTTTAGTATAACTCACCATAATCTCTCTAAAGACTGTTTATCAAAAATCTTCCAAAATTTCGCCAATTGCTGGAGTTAGAGCAATGATCAAAATTCATGAACACATCTGTTCAACACTAGTAAATATTTTAGAAAGCAAAAGAAATACTTTTGATATTAGAGGCTATAGTACTAATATTCTATTAGAGAGATTATATTTATGTAGATAGCCAGTTCAAAAGTACTTCTGCTTACAATAGAGATTTCAATTTTAGACGGGACTGTATTAGGGAAACTTTCAATTTTTCTCCAAGACCCTCCCCTTTGGTTGTAAAATAATTGTTAACATTGTGATGACTTTTACATGAAAAAATGTAAGTTCCACTGTGATGACCTTTACATGAAAAAATGTAAGGCAGAGGATAAGATAAGCTCACCAGTAAGAGTTGATGATCTTGCAGAAAGCCAGCTCACAGCACATTTTCAGGTTGCTCTGATGGTCTATCAGTTCACTAGATGAACATTTGCTGGGATCCACTTCACAGTTCTCATCGGACTCATACAAAGCTTTGATAAACTCCCCTATTTGAAGAGAGAAGATAACGGTATAGCTATAAACAGTGTCTTCCTGAATAGAATAAAAGGACTTATGATTTCTGTCCTAAAACGTATAATGGGGAATTCTTTTCTAGATCTGACAGGGAGGGCACAAAAGATGGCCCATGAAGCCTCATTGCTTTGGAACCCAAGAGTTGCCACATCCTACATATCATGTTTATTTTTCTTATCCTGGAAGTGGAATAACAGCAATCACTAACATCATCATCACAGTATTTATAAAAGTGGTAATGATACTACTCAAAAAATGTATTAAACTAAATATATGTTTAATTAGTACAAACTTGTTATGTTTTAAGGCTCGCTCTACTTAGGTGACTATTATTGTTATTCTAGAAGAACAAATGACCCAAGCTTGATTGAATAGTCCAGTGAAGGTTTTAAGTGCTAATGTTGGTGCCAAACACGGATGCAAGTAAGGATCTATCTTCTATGTTTACCTCTTGTAACGGAGACAGTCATTCAACATTGCACAATAATATAGCAGATCTCCTTACATAATCTGTATATGCTTTTCCATATAAATTTAGTTTAGAAGCCGTGTTCATACGGCCTATGCTCTATGAAGATACACCCACTATTCCCTGAAAGAACAAATTCCTACCTTACCTGTTTATCCTCTAGTATACACCATACCTTGTATATCTTCGACTACTTCATATTTCTCATTATTTGTGTTTGTTTCATTCCTAGGATGAATACCTTCAGAGGTTAGGTACTAGGTTTTATTCATGTTCAAATCTTGACTCTTCTGAATAGCTCCCAAAATGTTACAGGTGCTCAATAAATATTTATCAGAGATGGCAGTATGTATTCTTGGTTTTTTATAGGTCTTTATGAAAGAGGAGTGGATCTTTCAAAGATCCTCCTAAATATGTGTTTATTACTTGAGGTTCAGGCTAGTTATAACAGACTTCATGAAAGTGAACAATAATGCCTGCAAAACTAAGTAGCAGCATCAGCAGCAGAAAGAGCATTTCTATCAAAGTGGTTAGTATTTGGATAAATGAAAGCTTTTAAAAATACCCGTGACAGGAGATGAGAAGCGATAATTTTGAGGAAAAATGCTTAGAGAACAGGAAACAATGTGGTATACAGAAAGGAAAGTGGTGCACAGAAAAATTAAAGGCATTGAGGTCAGAGATCTAGGCTCAAATCCGGATCCATCATTTAACTGACTGTGGGGCCTGGAAAAGTCACTTAATTCGTCTGAGTTTCAGCTGTCTTGTTTGTAAAACAGTGTTAATAGCAATCATCCTGTAGAGTTGTGGTGAGGAACAGACATAATGCATGAAAAGCATCTAATATGGTACCTGGCTCTTAGTAGGTGCACCATACAAAAAGTATTTTAATTTAAAAATCATGCAACTTTTGAATAATTTTTTGTCAGGTGAAATGGCCAAAACTAGTAAAAGACTGTTTTAAAATGTTATCAATTCTCCCAAGATATGTAGTCAATATGTTCTCTATGTCTCCTGTGCTATGTGTTTCCACAATTAAACTTCATTTAAAGAGTACCTAAATTTAAAACTAAGAAATCAATGTCAAATATCCCATGTAAAAACTGGCCAAACTCTACACCTGTATCCTAAATATTCTGTTTAGTGACTTCTTTTAGGTTATATGTATTCAAGGGAAAAAATACTAATATTAATAAAAAACATGAATATTAACCATATTTTTCTTTAATTCTTCAAGAAAAGTGCCAGATAAATAACTCCAGGGCCCAGAAGTAAATTAATTGTCTATAGTACCAGCTTAAAAAGTTTTTGTCCCTGATTATCACATATTTAAAATGCTCCAAAATAGAAAAATAATACTTTAACTGTTGAAACAATAACCAATGTTTGAGCATGCAGAATGTACCATATTGAAAGGAGAGGCTTTTATTGATTTGTAACTAGAAGGTGCTTAATTACCAACACAGATTAAAAAACCCACTTAAGTTTGCCTTCTTGCATTTGAAAAAAAAACCAGAGCCAAAGGGGGTGCTTGTTATGTTGTTTACATGTTAAGTTTGTGCCCAGAATGTTCTATGATGTATTTTCTATGTAAATCATTAACTCATTACTATCTGGCATAAAAATTTCACATGTAGGAATAAGTCAACAAGGATGGACATATTACTGCCGAAAGAAACCTGCCTCCACTGCTACAAGTGGAAATCAGGTCTTTTCATCAGGGCTTTCTTTAGTGTATCTCACAGATAGTATTTCCTGTGTGTCACAGGATACCAAGGTGCAATCTGATTTCAATTGGAAAGGTAAAATGGGATAATAGATGGAAGATTCAAGTCTAAACAATGCAGAGTCTGTGCAGAAAGAGTGACGCTTTAATTAAGATAAGGACTGGCTAAGAAGCAGACAGATATCGTACACTATTACTGGCAACTTTTAAAATCAATTCTCTCTGAAAATTCTTCAAGCAGTCTGGAAACAGCATCTATTTCCTGCCCAAAGTATATGAAATATAGCAAAACTTTAACGAGAAGAAGACAATACAGCCCCTGTCCTGAAGAAGCTTACCAATTAATTCTGCTTATGCTCTTAGAAGCAGCAGCCATTTTTACTACTCTGGCCCTTGCTCTTGGATTATAAATATTATTACAGAGATTTCTGAGGGGTTAATTGAATTTCTTTCCATGTCCACTGAATTAATTTTCATGCCTCATTGAGCCCATCGGCCATTTAATCATTCACTGTTATAAAAAGACTAGTATCCACTTTTCATTTTGGAAATTATTTCATTCAGAAATCCTGTTTAGCACACTGAATTTCAAATATGAATAATTGATTTCAAAGAAGCAGATAGTCAATAAATACTCACTCCTATCTCCATAGAATGGAGAATACGGTTTGAGATGCTTTTTTTTTTTGGTGGACTTTTTTAACAAAACACAAATCATTAAAGCAAATCATGAGATATAATTTATGGCTGTAATAAGCTCTTTATGTAAATGACACTATAAACCTCTTTGTACTTTTCTTAAGCTCTTTGTACCATTCTTAATGTCTATATGATTAGAGAAAAAAATATGAAGATAAGCAGGAAGACAAAAAATCTGCTTCAGAGCAGAAACTAATTGTAGTAGCTACTATAATGTGTCTGCTTCATGTAAACACAGTGATCCTGTTTCTTGAATGGCGACTCACTCTATTCCTTACAGCCTGCCTCCTTTCCTCCTGAAACCAGTGTGAGCCATCACTAGTGATATTTAAGGTGCCAAATGCAATATCCATTCTTTTTCTTTACCTTCCATAATTTCTGACTCTACTGATGCTCTCTTCTCTATTGGTATCTAGGACTCAGTATTTTCCTGGTTTTCTTTCTTTTTTGGATGCTCTCTCTTTCTCTGATCACTTCTCTGATTCCTCTTCTTCATTCTATACCATAAACCCAGGTGCACTCTAAGATCTATCCTTGGCCCTGTTCTCTTCCTGCTCTGGTAATCTTACAGCTTCATTTAACCTCTCCACAAGCATAAATTAGTCTCAAATTTCCAACAGCCAGCTAGACAGGTATCTTAGATTGCCTATCTAAAACCCCTGAGATTTCCTACTAGAACTTCAAATTGAATATATATGTAATTTCCACTGTTTCACACCTACTACTTCTGTGGTTTCTATTCCTGTTAAGAATCTCATCATCCCCCTAGTCACTCACAACACCCCACAATTCTCTGTAATATTCGTTCCCTCCTTGCTTCCCACAAACTGAAAAATTTGCCAAGTTCTATCAGTTCAACCTTAATATTTCTCATATCCGTCTTCCTCTCTATTCTTACTTGCATGATTACAGTCATTCAGAGTCTCATTCTTTCTTATTACAATGGCTTTTTTTTTTTTTTTTTTTTTTTTTTTTAAGAGAAGGAGTTTTGCTCTTGTCTCCCAGGCTGGAGTGCAATGGTATAATCTTGGCTTACCGCAACTTCCACCTCTCTGGTTCAAGCAATTCTCCTGCCTCAGCCTCCTTAGCTGGGATTACAGGTGCCCGCCACCATGCCTGGCTAATTTTTGTATTTTTAGTAGAGATGGGGTTTCAGCATGTTGGCCAGGCTGGTCTCGAACTCCTGACCTTGGGTGGTGGGCCTGCCTCGGCCTCCTAAAGTGTTGGGATTACAAGTGTGAGCCACCGCGCCCAGCCTACAATGGCTTCTTAATTGATTGGCTTTCAGTAGGCTTTCTTCACCTTTATTTATTTATTTATTTTTTTTAAGACAAGGTCTTTCTCTGTCACCCAGGCTGGAGTGCAGTGATGTGACCATAGCTCACTGCTGCCTCGAACTCCTGGGCTCAAGCAGTTCTCTTACCTTGGCCTCCTGAGTAGCTGGAACTATAGATGTGAGCCACCATGCCTGGATACAACTCGTCTTAATCAGTCTGCTAAGTTAATTCCACTGAAAACACCTGCTCAAAACTTTCAGTGGCTCTCCAGTTATTACTGTAAACTTTAAATCTTCACCCAGGCATTTGAGGTTTTCACAAATTAGTTCTAATTATTGTTTAATCTTTTTGTTGTTGTTGTTCACATGTTTCTTTCATGTCTTTTTCCAGCTAAATAGTTTTATTCCACACATTCCTGGTTCTGTCCCACCTCTATGTCTTTTTGTTTATGGGTCCTTTCCCCCATGCTACTTCTTATCTTATCTGCTCTTGCTCAATGTCTGTTTTTAACCTTTCTATTCATCAAACTACATACAAAACATAAATGTATTTCACACAGAAAGTTTGACAATTCTATCAGCTGGATTCAATTTTTTTAAAATTATTTGAAAGAACACAGAATGTCTCTTTTTGGTATAGAGATATCCCTAATGTTATATCCTTACATTGCAAACTTCTCGAGGGTAAAAATCTCTCCAATCATTCAACATGTTTTTACTTTCTATTCTTGATAGTCACACGTGGCTGTTGAGCATTAGAAATGGCTTGTGCAAATTAAAATGTGTGATACATGTGAAATACACACTGATTTTCAAAAAGAATAAAAAAGTAAAACACCTAATTAATAACTTTTATTCTTCTAAACCATTAAATAGTATTTGGATATACTGGGTCAAATGAAATATGTTATCAATTTCACCTGTTTCTCTTCATCCTTTTTAATACTGTGACTACTAGAAAATTTACAATTACTCAAAAAATAAAAATAAATAAAAGTATTCACACATGGGTCATATTTCTATCGGACAGTGCTGCTCAACAGTGTGTGCAGGTAGTGGGGATATGGAGGTAAAACAAAGGGCTATTTCCTTCAAGGAACTCACATCTGCTCTATCATGATGTATATTAAAGTGACCAGCACAGTACCTTACTCTAGCGGTTAATGCCTCAATTTCATGACCAAATCTGGAACTGCAAGTGCGTAGCCTAGTCAGCAAGAACTACTGATTGGACAAAAATTAGTTATGTTAAAAATTCTAGAGAAAGGCAGAAATTTGTGGGGGAGTTGTGGGAAGTGGCAAGAGTTTCTTCACTTTTGATTAGAGTTTTGCATGCATGATAACAAATGTCAGGGTAACACTCTCAAGACTAGGTAATAATATCATCATATAAACACCCAAAACTTTGGGCAAAACAGACCACCTCAGATCTATCAGTGGACACTGCTGATATTACTGTGCATCCTGGAATCATGAAGCTGGGGACCTGGGGTAGCAGTGTATGCTGACAAGGTTTCTGTTTCTACATTTATTATTATTTCTCTACTGGTGAGTACTGCAGACTTCTTACAGCCATGATTCAAACCTTAACACCTGAGTCAGCTAGAACTAAATAACATGCAGAATTTGAGCTCAATTCGTCTCATGGGGGTGAAATAGCTTAAAACTGAAAAGTAAATAAAAGAAAATAGATGTTTTTCTCTTTCATACCCAGTGCGTCATGAAGATACTGTTGTCCCACCAACTTGAGGTATTCCTCAATGGATTTGGTGGCAATAGTGTTCTCTCTGAAGATCAAGACATCATGCTCTCCACAACGATCCACCTCAGACATCACCAAGTCAGTCAGAAAATCCTGGTAGAATAATGTTCAATCAGGCAGAAAGCAACTGAATAAATAATACACATTAGAAGAGACTTTTGAAATATCAGACATCCTGGAAATGCTGCTTTAAAACTAAAGCTATCAGATTCATCTGAAAGGAAAAAAAGCAATCAGGATAAAATGTTAGGTGTTCCTACCCCTACATTTAAAATTCCCTCAAAGATTTTCCATTGCACTTTTGATAAAGGCCATAATTCTGAATGCAGTCTACAAGTCCCTATATTTTCTGGTTTCTGTCTACCTTTCAAGCCTTGTACCTTTTCTTTTTAGGTCCTTTAATACACCAAGCCCTTTCTAACACACACAATGTTCTCTATTCACCACAAAGCCTTTTTTTTTTTTTTTCCAAATACTGTTCTCAGTTCTGCTCTGCTCCCACCCTTGCTTCCACTCCCACTGTCAGGTAGCTCATTCCTGGGATCCTTTGGATTTTAGTTCACACATCATTTCCTCAGTGAAGGTGTCCCTGACCAACATTGCCCCTGAACTCCATTAGTCAGCTCCCCTTGCTCCATTTCATAGTATCATCTCTCTTTTTATCCTCTGTAGTTCTCACTGTAATCATATTTATTTCTGTAATTACTTGATTAATATTTATTTTCCCCAGAAAACCAGTTTCTGTTTTTGTTTACCACCATATCTCCAGCACCTAACAGTTTCTGGCATATATTAGGTGTTCAATATATAATACTTACAAATCGGTCCACAGTGTCAATGTAGAATCTACTGAACTCATCACTTGAAGTCATTGTCTAGGCTATCTTTCTGTCTGCCCGCCCACCCATCCATCCGTCCATCCATCCATCAATCCAGAAGGATAGCATAAGGGGAAATAAAGGTGCAAAGAAACAGCTGCTTCATTCCTCAACAGTCTTAAAGAACTTCTAGTAAAGCTCAATGTTGGTTGTTCAGTTTGAATGTGATAACATCATATATTTTGAATGCTATATAATTATTGGATATTTCAAGGGCTGCAAATGCCAAAATAGGAGGAATATGCTGATTTACTTTTACTTTAAAATTAAGCATTTTAAACATCAATGGGACTTACTCTGGGGCAGCTTAACAGTATAACAGAGTTGTAGACTTAGGAATCACTATTAAACTTAATGCTAAGAGACAGGAGGAAACTCTTGGGGGTAACGGTAACATTCTGTATCTTGATCATAGTGGTGGTTTCGATGGGTGCAAAATCGGTCAAAGCTTACTGAACTTTTCCACTTTAAATGGGTGTTTATTCTACCTAAAATGTACGTAAATCAGTATTAAGTCATTTAAAAAAGTCTTAATGTATATTCTGAACCTTGAGCAACTGAAAAGTAGAAATATATCCATACAATTCAAAATTTCAGTGACACCTCGCTCCAAACTCATAAGCTTTTTAATGACAGAATGCCCAAGATTATCATAAGTAAATTTAAACACAAAAGTTATAATCCATAGAAGCCAGATAAGAGACTAAATATTGAATATATTGATATATTCCGACATATCAAGAAATAGTAATAGTACTTTGTTTGGTTCTAAATACATTATTCTAGCTGTGAGTTTCTTTGGATCTGAGATGTAATTTTATCATGACCAGTTTGCATACAGTATAACGGTAACTCTTCCTAGTTAATATCCTTCATAGGTCAAAGACTCTCTCAACTAGTTTTTGTTCTTCCCACAACCAGCATATTTCTCCTTTAAATAAAAAATATTCCTGAGTTTTTACTTCTATCCAAGGTGAAATAAGTGTATCATGAAACAGCTACCAATTGTATCATATCCCTTGGATTTTTATTCTAAATATAGATTTTAATCCCACAAAGACTCTTGCTAATACTCAATATGCTTCTGGAATACTTCCTTCTGTGCCTAGAGGATACAGTCATCAGTTAAACTTAAATAAAATACAGTGAGGAAGAAAACCACCATACAACACTCTAGAACTAAATTAAAGATAAGGAACCTTGAACATGCTGTAGGGTTATCGTGCCAATCCTACCATTTATTTTGTCAGACAAGAAAGAGCTGGCTGTGTTATCTATGTTTCATGCAAATTGGCTTTAAATATTTGCTGGTCTCTCCATTTTACTTGTTTAGTTTTATAATCTTCATCTTTTCTGGATCTAATAGGTTTTCTTCTTAATTCTTCTTGTTTTGACCAATAGTAAAGCACATTTCTCTAATTTGGATTTCTACAATATCCATATCTTGGTTTATGAAAGGTAGGGAAGAGACTTCAGGTACTGCAATCCCCCTTTTCCACTTACCTTGGCTCTGCCAGTACTTTGAAGAATGTGCACTAAGGCACAAGCCAACTCCTCTTTATTTCTCACACTAATTACTGGCTCAAGGACAGAACACAGCATGGTGTAGTTGCTGGTGACAAATTCTGCAAATTCTTTGTATTGCTCCATAGGCAGAATGGTGATAGTTTGGAAACGTGATTTAATCCGAATAGAAGGTCCTCCTGTCTTTCCTTTGTTGGGTGTAGGTGTACTCACTGGATACCACTTTTCTACAAATTGGCGACCAGTCACACTGGCAGTGGGGATGTTGACTAGCCCTACATAATTATTCTTGTCCTTTTTTTTCTTTTTTTCCACATCCTTGTAAATGTGAACTGTGATACTATGAAGAGGTGGAAGGCTGAAGAATTCAAAATGTTCGCCCCAGAAAATATTGTCTGCTTTGGTCTTGCTGGTTGTACGAGCAAAGAGGGTATCATCAAGGCACAGTTCGCAGAAATATTTCTTTTTAGGGGCAAGGTCCTTGGCTTCAATGATCCATAAACGAAGAACATTTTCAGCTCGCCTGCAATTGTCCTATAAAGAGGCAACAAAGCTGAATTTCAGAGCTGACATTGCAGAAAAAAAAACATTTTTTTCTTAAGTTGGCAATGTTCATTAGGTACTCTATTAAGGGGAGTCAACAAATAATGAAAGGGATTGCTATCTCATTGCTTAGGTTAACAGCAAGCTCTAAACAAGCATGCATTAGAATCTTGAAGAATTATATATAGTTCATTATATATATTATATATAGTTCATTCTATTTTATTTACTTGGGTTAAGAAAATATCATTTTGTAACGGTAAGTTTTCATATAACCAGTCTAATATCTGCAAATAAAAGAGATAAGCTGTTAAGAAGCTCGTATTCTAGTCCCTCTTCTATCATGTACTAGCTTCTGACATGGCCAATTCACCTAACTTTTCAGAGTCCTTTTATCCATGCTGGTAGAACCATGGCAATAATATCTGCAGTAAGACTGCTTTTAGCTTAAAATGATAATACAGTTTGGATAGTTGTCCCTGCCCAAATTTTATGTTGAATTGTAATCCCCAGTGCTAGAGGTGGGGCCTGGTGGGAGGTGTTTGGATCATGGGGGCAGATTCCTCATGCCTTGGTGCCATCTTCCTGATACTGAGTTCCTGTGAGATCTGGTGGTTTAAAAGTGTGTGGCACCTTCCCCCCAAGTCACTCACACACACACTCTCTCTCTCGCTTGCTCCTGCTTTCACCATGTGATGTGCCTGCTCCCCTTCTGCCTTCTGCCATGACTGTAAGTTTCCTGAGGCCTTACTAGAGGCTGAGCAGATAACAGCACCATGCTTCCTGTAAAGCCTGCAGAACCGTGAGCCAATTAAACTGCTTTTCTTGATAAATTACCCAGTCTCAGATACTTCTTTATGGTGATATAATAAGGGCTTACTACAAATGGCATAACATATAAATGTGCTTTAAAACTCTCAAGCTATAGACAAATTAAGGTATTACTACCACACTTACCTTCTATCAATTAACTGCTTACAAAGTTATACATTTTTTAGATACTTGAAGCTACTATTACCTTATTAGGTTGAACTGTCCTGCGAAGGTTTTCCATCCACTTGTCTCTCTCAGAAGCAGAATTACAGCTGAAGCATTTACTTCCACTTAAGTAGGTAACCTTCAACATAAAAATTAGACATAAGAAAAAGAAAACACTGGATTTCAGGGCTCTGTCATTAGGGTTCACAGCATACCTCTAACTCTTAAATGATAAGGTCGAAATGTCCTGGAATTAGGATGGATGGATGGATAGATAAGAAAAACATGGTCTCAGATCCCAAACTACTCATGCTGTGGTTACAAAAATAACCTAATGAGCGACATCCTTACCAATACTAAAAAATTAATATACTAATTTAGTGTTATTGTTAGTCTCATCCTCTGACGAAAATGTACTAAGAGTCCAATTTTATTGAAAGTAGACAAGGCCAAAAGGAATGCAAAGCTGTGAGTTAGACATATGCTATGAACCTAAATCATACCATAAGAAACTAAGATGATCTTTGCTAGTTTTCCGATACTTATATCTACATCTACATCTGCTTTTTGCTTAGGTAGCATCCACATCCATTTCCAGGTATGAGAACAAAGGCCATTTTAAATTCATCCAAGGAAATTAAAACTGGCCTATGGTTCAGAAAAATCAAAATTAAAGGCCTTTTAGGCAATAACTTAAATTACCTGCAAATAAATATGTTCAACTTTGAGTTAGTAAAAAATAGGTAATAAAGGATGAGAGTTTCTGAAACAGCTTATCAGATTTCTTGAGACTGTCCTCACTATATTATAGAAGGGTGCTAAATGAAATTGAAGAGTTACTAATATTGAATTACTATCTTTGGAACCCATTTTTCCTCCACTACGCAACCAGCCTGTTGATTTCTAGTCATTTATTAGGTTAGCCTGACCACTATTAACACAGTCCTTTAAAAATGAAATATGTTGTTATATACTTAGCACCTAACTCTGGGCTTGATATACAGCCTAATGAACTGAGTTCCGCAAATACAAGAAAGTTCAACTGATTTTTATAAAAAAGAACACCAATAAATGTCTTGCCCAAATTGCTGAAGTCTGCTCACTTATTAACTCAATCTCTGGTCACAACCTAATAAATCCGATCAGATTATATGCTCTGTCCAATACAGCAGCTACTAGCCTCACATGGCTATTCCAGATTGAGATGTGCTGCAAGTGTAAACACACATCAGATTTTGAAGACTTAGTTTTAAAAAAAAAGGAAACAATTTCTCTGATAGTGAACATGTTGAAATGATAATATTTTGGATATGCATGCAGATTGTACTATATTTCTTTTGGACAGTGCTGGTCCATAAGAAGAGGAACCAAACAAACATCTTTTGACTTCTACAACATCTAGTATAGGACTCATCTGTAGTCACTTAGTAAGCTCTTGTTAATTAATCAAATCTCAGCCCTAATAATTCTATGTATGTATAAATACATGTATATATAGTTTTTGAATTTTACTTGTAACTGGCTAGTAGTACATATTTGGAAGGGAGAAATTACCTTATGATAGTTGGCAATTTTGTTTATTCAAAAATCAGGCACCTGCAATGTGCTGGGGTCTGGGTTAGTTACAGGGGATTTCAAAAATAAATAAGACATTTAGGTCAAAATGTCCTGGAATTAGGATGGATGGATGGATGGATGGATGGATGGATGGATGGATGGATAAATAAGAAAAACATGGTCTCAGATCTTGAACCACTGATGCTGTGGTTAGAAAAATAACATGATGAGTGACATCCTTACCAATACTAAAAATTAACATAGTAATGTAATGTTATTGTTAGTCTTGTCCCCTGATGAAAATGTACTAAGAATCAAATTTTACTGAAAGGAGGCAAAGCCAAAAGGAATGCAAAGCTATCTTTAATAACTTTAACTGCAAATATGATTAGATGAAAAGATTTCTAACTTTTTCTCTGTAAGTAGATAATTTCTAGCAACTGAAAACCAGTTAATTAAATCATCAACTGTACAGCAATGAAATCGCAAAATTACTGGACATAAAATCCAATTGTTGTTTAACTACTCTTCCTTTTTTCTACACTTTATTTTTACCTCAAAGCAGAAGTCTTGTCCAAGGATGCTACTATGAAGTGGTTTCACTGATACAGGTTCCCCTCTACCAAGATCCAGACATTCCACTGTGCTGCATGGGCTCAGCAAGGATTCATGGGAACGTGACTCTTTTAGTTTAGGCAGCCCACGAGACCTAAAAGTAGAAAAAGATATTTAAGGTAGTGTAACTTGGCCAGCAAGGAAATGAAGGTCTAATGCAATGGAGGATAACAATAAATGTACAAATGCCTAAGGGAAGAAATAAATGAGGAACAAATTAATAGTTAATCTACAGTAACAATAATAGTAATCATATTTATGTGGCAAATATATTCTCTCTATATATCTATGTGAGTGCACACACACTTTTTTTCAATATGGCATAAAAATATACTATAATTTTACTAGTCTTGAGTGACCTTCAAATCCCATTACAGAAATTGTTTTTTATTCTTATTCCTATTTTGGAAGACGGAGAAATATATACTCTTTAAGGTTATCTTATATATTCTTTCTTATGCAAAGGTATTGCCAAAAGACAAATGATTTCTTTTTGTTTTTCATGTTATAGCTTTATCCTCTTATATGATTGACAGAATAGTAGTGGCTGAATCTTCATTTTGTTTCTTTCTACTTTGGCAAAACACACACACACACACACACACACACACACACACACACACACACACACACAGAGTCGAAGCTCAACTTTTTATCACAAGACCTTGTCTTTCAAAAGTCCTGATTTCCATCTCAATATAGAATTCTTTTCTGGCAGGCTTTTGGTTCAATACATGCTTTACTATATAAGCATGAATAAAGAATAAAATGCCTTGAAGAAACCTCCCAGCATGGAAAAAAAAGCCCAAACTCTCATCTAGAAGAGAGATCTTTGTCAACACCGTTCAGTCATCCTGGCTGATTTTGTTTCCTAGTTGCTTATAAGAAGAATGCTAGGAATCATGACTTGTCACTACAAGAGCCAGTACTTCACTGCCTTCCTCTTGAAAGAATTAAAGGAGTCAAACGTAAGTACAATATTCTTGAATCCCAAACTGGATGGCCATGCAGTTTGACTCAATAATTATAGTATCTATTGAAGTAAACACCCAGAGTTACACACATATATTTCAAGCAGAAGTACTTAGTAATAAGGATAAAAAGAAATGCCTTGTGTAAAGACAATTGTTTTTATAAAACACATTAAATAAGTAGCTTCATTTAATTCCTTGAAATAACCACATTAACACTAAAAGGAACTTAAATATTTAATGCCAGAGTAGCTTTTGGTTAAATTATAAAGTAAAAAGATATAAGAAACTAGCACTAAGGCTGCTTTCTCCTTTCTACCTTTATTCTAACACTGTTTAATCAAATTTCATAAAATAAGAAAAATCTTAAGCTTATAAGGATTTTAGTTCTTCTTCTTTCCACACACACACACACACACACACACACACACACACACACACAAGCCACCATTTAAAGTTTAGGCTGCAAAACATGTGTTCTGATATTTAGTAATTTTTAAAGTAAAAAAGTCAACATTTATATTTCTTGTTGACAGTACAAAGTATGCACAAAAGGGACAAATGCTACCTAATGTTTTGTATCTTAAAATGACAATGTTTATTTTTCTGATATTGGGCAAGAACAAAAAATTAAAATATTTAAAAATTAAAAAAACAAAAAAGAAAAATATAACAATGTAAGCTCCATATTTATTTCCTTCTGTTCTATGTATAAGACAATGACATGTTATGTACTGCAAATATAGTACATCAACTATAAATAATTAAATGTTAGAAAGATTGTACTTTAATTATCATATAATCTTTCCCAATATGCTACACGGGAAGCCTGATTAAGGAAACTGGACACTGTAATCTTTCTTAAACAAAACAACAATTCTAGCTCATTTTTCCCAGGAGGAGTTGCTGGGAGGAAAAATCCTCTCATGCTCTGGGGTGAGCTTCTCAACAGGAAAGATTAAGGCATGTTTAAAACAGAAGGAGGTATGACAAAGGCAACTTTTATTTTTTAAATTCTCTAGGAAAAATTTCTAAAGCATAAATTAATTTTATTTCAAACAAAATAAACGTCTACCTACATGAAGCAATGGTAGAGCCACCTGGCAGTGCAACCCCAAATCATAGCGGTGCCACATGTCCCGGTATAGCAAGTCACTTTCTGAACTATATGTCAGAAAACAACTCTCTGTTTAGAAGACGAGAACAAATAGAAGATGGCTTCTTTGTTGCCTTTGGTTACTGATAAAATCTTTGAATAAATGTTTTCCAGGTGTTATTTCAAGTCTTCCATAGAAGCAGAACAGAAACACAAACAACAGATCAAGACTTCATCTATCCAAACAATTTGTAGGATAGGTAATATTCCTTATTCTATTCCTTCAGGCTGCACCCAGCCCCTCAGGTAACAAACAAGGCACCTGGGCTCTAGGCTGGGTCTGTTGCCATGGTGCTACACCTATAAGGAGATTAGAGCTGGAAGGCAGCAAGAAGCTATGGCTTGAATAACGCAAGGGGCATGCTCTGCAAACATGGCAAAGTTGACTACTTTAAGACAGAAAGGAAGGAATGGTGAGGCTTCTATCCATTTCTATGAACAAGTTCTCAGTAAAAGGCAATAGAAAAGAGACGAGGCCAACTCTGGGAGTGGGAGATAATCTCTTATTAAAACCTCTACTAGGTGGCTCACACCTGTAATCCCAGCACTTCGGGAGGCTGAGGTGGGCAAACCACTTGAGTTTAGCAATTTGAGACCAGTCTGGGCAACATGGTAAAACTCCAACTCTACCAAAAATACAAAATAAATAAAAAATAAAAAGTAAAACCTCTACTAGGGACTAACTTGAGAAACTTTAGCTTGCTTCATATACAATTCCCATGCCCCTACTAGAAGCTATTTCCTATATCTCACCTTGCAAGTACAAAGCTTTCTCTCACATGTATTCTGTTTCCTTTACAGTGCCTACCGTGGTTTAATGTTTCTAGGTATTATTTTACTGAAACTTACCTGGCTTACATATATTTTCTTCTTTTACAGAAAGATGGTGAAAACTATTTTTTCACTGTATTTCCAGTGCTGAACAAGTTTCATTTTGATACTCAGGTCTAACTTCAAATGTAGCCATAAGAGAATTTAAAACTAAGCCACTTAGAATTATAACTCCAAACTCTTCCTAGTTACCGAAATTTTAATTAATACATAGTTCAGAATGTCATATCTTTTGGCATTTTTATGTGTGTGTGTACTGAATTGAAAACCAAAGTCACGAATATATTCAACATTATTATTGAATAAATAAGCAAGCCCTCCCTGTATTGGGAAGAAAGTATCTCTAAGAAGACAGAAGTAATTCCCAGAGAAGCAAGATTATAGTAAACAGGAAGATCAAACAGCCTGGGACTGGCTTGGGACAGGGGAGGCATTATTTGTACAAATATTTCAATGTAATAGCATTAGTAACCCCAAGTTTCCTCTAATTCATGTTTACCTCCTTCTGAATTGATTTTTCTTAGATCTACTAACTACAGAGTTTTAGTAGCCCTGTTTGGCACCAGAGTTTACTCCTCTAACAGAAAGCAGAATGTGGATTTATTGGGAGAATAATGAGTTTAAAATAATGATTCCCAGTCCAATCTGACAATGGCCTTCATCAAAAAATCTAACCCATCCTTGAAAGTGGACTTTGTGAATCCCTTGACTACTGGCCAGGTTCTCTCCCTGACTACTTCCCATACTGCCCCATCATCCTGAACACCATGTAAGAATAATTCAGGGCTCCAACAGACTATGTATTGATTTAAATAAAAAACTGCTTCCCAGAGGCAATTTTACTTCTAATTAAGGCACACCATATTCTTTATATTTTTATCTTAAGGTCAGCAGACAATCTTGATTTCTGTGTAAACTTCAAGACCTCTAGCAATGTGATAGGTAATGGTTAAAATCTAATTGCTTTGCTGATGAAAATTACCTGCTGCTTCTGACTTATTTAAGAAATAAACTACTAGCCAGGTGAGGCTTTCTATTACTCACTAAAGTGAATGAGTATTATATTGCTTGAATCCTCATCCCTATATGAAATCAGTCTTAAAAGATAAAAGTGAAGGGCTGGGAGATGGGGAGCCAACATTCACATAACAGCAGATACACTGGTGAAGAAAAAGAGGAATAAAATAACACTGATTAGTGCAATTTTAAGTAAAACACAGCTGGATTTTCTCAGCTTAACTGGCCAATTTTTCAGAATGCCACATTTCCCCCACAGCTCCAATGAGGCTTGGTGGTGCTAGCTCAATCTGCTACATGTTTACAGATTAAGTTCCAAATTTAGGAATTGGGAAACTTTTAATTAAAAATGCTTATTGCCACATAAAATCCTGGACTCCAGTGCAGGTGAGTTTCTGCTTGGCTTGGCAGTTGTGATTCCAGACTGCTTCAGTGAATTCCTGATGAGATAGCTCAGCCAGTAAGCTGGGTGCAGCAACATACTGTTGTATTCACCAGTATGCATTTCTAAGGCACTCACTTTGTTTAAAAATGTCCTAGGTAGTAATTAACAAAATTGGGTACCCTAATACTCTACCAGCAAGTTTATATAGTGTCTAATCAGTTTTTTAAAAATTGAATTTGAGCTTTCACTTTGGGAAAAATGTAGCTTTACTTGCTCCCTGGATTTTATTATTTTCCAATTAGGTATTTTGTGAAAATCTTCAACTGATGTTTGCCATTTGAAAGTGCACATCCTTTCTTGTATTATAATTTTAAAGGTTTTCCTCCCTGGATTAAAAAAAAAAAGAAATTAGAGCTCATTCGCCAGAGCTCTACTTATGTGCAAAGACTTGTTCAGCCTGAGGATCCTGACAGCACCAGCTGAGCTGGTTTACCTGCTGTAGTTAAAGCCAGTAGTCTCTACTGCTTATATTACTCACTGATTTTTATGTTAGCTTAAAAATATGTACCACACCACTCACATTAAAAAGCTATTTATGGAAACATAACATATAGGTCTTACTTCTCCCTGCTCTCAGCCTCTAGGACAGGATGGTCTAATGGGACCAGCTGGTAATGATGAAGAAGGATATTTGTCAGCCTGAGTTGTCACTCAAAATGAGAAACTCATGGTAAAGAAATGTATCAGCATAGACAAAAATATCCTTACCTACTTTGTACTTGGTACATATACATGTATACACACAGTGAAGGTGGATACAGAAGGAAGACTAGATTATAAACATTAAGACATATTCTAGGGAGTAGAAAATCCAACTTGCCTCCAATATGATAGACACTAGGGAACAATTCCTTTACAGAAACTGTACCATGTTATAACATATCTTTTTGTCCTTAAATTGCAAAGGTAATATAATCTACTAGCACCTATTAAACAAATTCAATATAAACACAACTACATTGAATTTTAAAAAACAGAAACTAAACCAAACCAAACCAAACTCGTAATCCAACTCAAGTAACATACCAGTAAGAGTGGACAGACTACAGCTTTTATTTCCTTATTTCTGATTTCAGTTGCTAGACTTTTAGTCTCATAATTGCCATAAAAGTAATGGGTAGAAGGATAAGAGAGGAAAAAAACTGGTGAAGTTCAATAACACTGACTTTTTTTTTTTTGAGACATAGTTTCTCTCTTGTTGCCCAGGCTGGAGTGCAGTGGTGCAATCTCAGCTCACTGAAACTTCCGCCTCCTGGGTTCAAGTGATTCTGGTGCCTCAACTTCCCAAGTAGTTGGGATTACAGATGTGTACCACCAACCACTCCCAGTTAATTTTTGTATTTTTAGTAGAGACGGGGTTTTACCATGTTGGCCAGGCTGGTCTTGAACTCCTGACCTCAGGTGATCCGCCCGCCTCAGCCTTCCAAAGTGCTAGGATTACAGGTGTGAGCCAACATGCTTGGCAACACTGACTTTTTAGTAATTCCTAAACTCATAACTGATTTGCTTTCCCATTAGTTTCTCGTTTGGTTGAATAAATGAATATATGTATGAATCCATCTATCTAACCAATAATTACCTGGTGTGCATTATGGGTCAGGCACTATACTAGAGGTAGATGCAAGGAATACAAAGGTGAAGAAGAAAAGCACGGTCTGTGTACTCACACACAATTTATAATCTAGTGAGTTAACAATCCATTATAATACAATGTGACAAGACTTACGAAAAAGGATGCCAAAAAAGGCTCTATGAGCACTAAGTAGAGGATTTTAAGGTGGGGGTGGTTCAGAGAAGACTTCTTGGAGAAAACAGTAACACAAAGTTGTAACCATCTTCATGGGGATGGGGTGGATTTCACTATATGCAGGTGTGGAGATCTACAGAAAATGGATAGCATGTGAAAAGGCCTGTATGACAGTATGCAAGGCTGTGGTGTTCAGACAGTGAAAGAAATTCAGCAGTGTGGCTCTACTATAGTATGGATGTTAGAAGGAGAAGAGGCTGGGGTGTTGGAGTGGGTGAGGCCTGGTGAATAATGACGTTTGAGAGAGATCACAGACTTGTAGTCATGTGTGGGTATTTGAATTTGATCACAATACCAGTAGATGTACATCGGAAGGCTTTAGGTGGTAGAAGGGGAATTACATGGTAAGATGTGTGTCTCAGTAAAACTACCTTGGCTAAGGAGTGGAAAAAGAAAGGAGTACACAGAGAGTGGAGAGAAAAGAAATGAAAGACCTAGAAACCAGTTCATTGATTATGGTAGTAATCTGAGTAAAGATAATGAATTAGACTAACAGATATGGGGAAGAAGTAGATGGCACTGAGAGATATTTAGGAGGTAAATAGGCTTTGATGACTGGAATGCTGGAGGAATTGGGGAGAGGGTAGAGTCCAGGACAACTGCTCATTTCTGGCTTGAAACACTGGGTGAAAGATGGTGATGTCCTTCACAGGGATAGGAAAGAGGAGGCAATGCTGGTTGAGGTGAGAGTACAAATAAAATCAAGTTTTATACAAGTTGAGTTTGAGGTTCCTGTCGGGGTAGATGTGAACAGTGAAACAGAACATACATATTGAGAAGACAACCTAAAAACATAACCTGAGGCATGTTAACATTTAAAGCTACAAAACTGACAAAAGACACTGAAGAATTTGAGAAAGAAGAAAAACCAGGTGAGTCAAGTATCACAGAAGGCCAGGAAAGAGGGATCTCAAGAAAGGTGGATTAATAGTAGCCACTGAATTTGGGAATTGAATTTAGAGGTAATTGGAGACTTTGGCAAGAGCAGTTTCAGAAAAGAGGACAAAAATAAGATTTCAATGGGTTGAGAAAATGAATGAAATATGAGGAAGTGAAGATTAATTCCACAAGTCTGATTGTGAAGGGGTGACAACAGTAAAATAGCTAGAGGGAGACATGGGTTTGAAACAGGTTTTTTAAAAAAATTAATCATCTTTTAATTTTTCTCCTGAAACAGTAAGTGATAAATACTCTTGGTAAAAAATTCCAGGAGTTCAGAAGGATAGAAGGTAAAGAATAAAAAAAGGGTACCTCCCACAACCTCCTATAGAAAGGAGGCCATTAACAGTTTTTGTGAACCCAGAAATATTTTATACGAAGGTACCCATATATGTATATAATTATATAAAGTATGTAATATATAGCATATTACATATATTTATATAACAATATATTTGCATGTATTTAACATAATATACATAATTTATTTAAATACAAACATATATGTCTATATATACATATTCATTTACATAAATGGGATGGTACAATACTGTTTTTAAGAGAATATTTTGGACTTCTATCCATATTGGAACCTACAGATATACTTTGTCTCTTTGTAATGACCACATAGTATTCCTTTACATGAGCCTGTAATAATTTACAGTCCTTGATGACCATCTAAGTTTCCTTTTTTTGTGATTAGCAACAAAATTCAGAATATCTTACTACATATATCTTCATGCACATGTGCATACATTCATACTTCAAATTCTCAGATGTGAAATTGCTAGATCCAAGGGCATATGCATTTAAATTTTTGATATGGCTCAATTACCCTCCATAAAGACAACATCAATTTAAGTGTCTATCAGCAGTGCATGTTTCTACCTGCTATCTTCAACATGAGATGTGGCTGAACTTCAAAATCTTTTGCCTGTTTAATTGGTAAAAAATGGTATTTCATTATGGCTTTAGTGTGCATTTCTTTAATTATGAGATTGAGGACATTTGTACATGTTTATTGGCAATCTCAGTTCCCTTTTCTGTGAATTATAAACTGCTATTCCATGTTCTTAAACCATTTTCCTAATTGTTAAAATTAACTGATATGTAAACACTCTTTGTATATTAAGTAAATTAGTTCTTTTTCTGTCATATTTATAATTATTTCCCCCCAGTTTATGTTTACAAAGGGTTTTTAAATTCCAAGATCATAAGAAATAAGCTACATTTTCTTTTAGTGCTTTTAAGTTTTCATTCAATCCATTTGGATTTTTTGGCAGAGGAGGAGAGATGAAAAGAGTACAGTACGGAGTCAGCTTTGTATTTTTCCAAATTGCAGAAATATTATGATCATAAATTGACTCAATTATTACCGTATAGTATTCTGCTGGTATAAGAGGGGTGTGTGTGTGTGTGTGTGTGTGTGTGTGTGTGTGTGTACTTTTTTGCCTTTGTTTTTCCCTTCTTTCTTATTTTGTCAGCAAGTTAGGATTCGTATCAACACACACAACAAAGAGTATAATGGAAAAAAACACTCAAACTGAAGCCAAAAGCCCTACATATTCACATCAGCTAGAACCACTTATTAGCCATGTGACATGCAGTAAATAATTTATTCTTTCTGAACCTCAGTTATCTCATTTAAGATATGTGTAGATAATGTGGATAATGATTTCTCTTCCTACATCTCACACAGTTGTGAGAATCAAATGCAGTAATCTATAATTTCACATCTATTTCATAAACTGCAGTACAATACAAATGTGAAGGAGTAAGATTGTAGACACACAGCTTTTTTTGCAGTGATATGACATGCATTAGTTCATTTTATGTAAATTATTCATCTGGTTGAGATCAGGAAAGCTATTCTTGAATACACTCTTCACTGGAAGAATACAAAGATGGAGTAAATGTGTAGAAATATTTTTTCTATTAAGATAAAGCATTTTAATGAATTTAAAATGTTATCATGATGCAATTAGATACTTCAATTGGGTTTTAGTTCATAAAACTAAGGGATCCTTAATTGGCCCATGGCTGTAAATCTGGAATAGGAAACTCTAATCGATAGCTAGACTGTATTGATTAATTAATGGCTTGGAGTCCAGTAATTTCTGAGAAGTTGTCATATCCACATAGACCATATTTTAAAAGATTGTAATTCTTTATTATCTGGAAGTCAGTTTTGACTCTCCTCTTCTGTTTCAGGCCAACAAATGTGTATTGAGTTCCTCAATAGGACAGTCATTGTGCTAGGGAATGAAGATACAAAGATTGTATCCTGGAGGAGCTTTCAATCTGCTGCAGTAAGCAGACATATGAAAAGATAAATTCAATAAAAAAGTTAGTCCTAGAATAAAGTATGCAGAGTTGGACTCAGGTAGTTGGGGGGTGGGGTAGGCACTTAGTCTAGGATGATATGTGGGAAGAATACCAAAAAGAAGGGAGGGAGCATGTAACTCCTGACTTGGGTACTGTTGCATGAGGATGAACTAGAAGTGAGCTTGACAAAAGACAGGGTATAGGAAAAGGAAATGGCATTTGGGTTAGAGGAGACAGTAAGATCAAAAGCAGAGAAATATGAAACAGTATGACAAGTATAATACTATAAAGAAGACTTTTGGCAGGAGTGACAGGAGGTAATATTGAGAGGGAAAGACTGGGCCATGTTGCCTTTTGTGCGGTAGCTAAAGATTACAGATTTATAGAAGTATTACATACATAGGCAATGAGATATGAAAATTGCAGTTTCAATTGAGACACCTAGATAAAACAGATTCTGTATACCAAAGTCATGTATCAGATCAACTGCAGCATTTACAAAGGAAATGTGTTAGAACCAGTTCCACTACCTTGATCCTCTCAGTTATGTCAAGACTATAAAAAGTGGTCAGAGAATGGAGAATGGGAAAGATTTTGTGAGAAACAATTTTTGAAAGAAGTTGTGAGGCTCATCCTCCTGCTACCTACAAGGGAGAAGGGTAAAAGATACATAGAGGGCAGGGTTTGATTCCATCTGGGAAATCTAGATGATGAGAAATGACCAACTAACTGTTGGTGGCAGAGCAAGAGCATTGATGCTTTTGGATAAGCCTGTAGTCCTAGAGGTTGTTAGGGCAAAAGATTTGTGGAGGTTTCCTGCGGACCATAAGACTGCATGATGAAGAAACCAAAGCATCAAGAACTCCTTTCTAGAAAGGATTCGCAAGTGAGCACTTGGAAGAGAAATGCATCTGTCAGAGTCAATGAAACCATAGGTGAGAGCTCCTCAGGGATGATAAATCTCTGAAAAAGTCCCCAAATCACCCCATGAGAGAAAAGTCAGCTTCAAATTTCTGTTAGGCTCAGTGAGCATTATGGAAGGCTAAGATAGACTTTGTTATCCTCTTTCTCATCTTTTTGTTGCTTCACCTTCCCCAAAACCTGGAGGGTGCCTAAAAACATGGTGAGTAGGCTACAGGGGAAGAGCAGATGAGGAGAGAAGTAAGTAGTCTATCATACTTTCTTCTCCAAAGGCAGGCAGACTGCCTGTAACTGGTTTGGCTGGGGCAAGTGTGTAGTTTTGATTAGAATTTTGTAATATCTTAAACTGGGCCTGGTGCCACAGCTCATGCCTATAATCCCAGCACTTTAGGAGGCTAAGGCAGGAGGATTACTTGAGCCCAGGAGTTCAAGGTTACAGTGAGCTATGATGGCACCACTGCACGCTAGCCTGAGCAACAGAGCAAGACCTTGTCTCTTAAAAATATATATATATTCAATATATATGTAGAATATATATATAGAGAGAACATCAATAAGTTCTGAATTAAGATCTTTTATTTAAAGCTATCACAGATGAACTCTAAATGGATCATAGACTTATATATAAAAGCTAAAATCATAAAACTTCTAAAAGAAAACATAAGTGAAAATCTCTTGGGACATAAAAAATTCCTCTGCAAACATTGCTTATCAGGATGTAAAATGGCACAGCCTCTTTGGAAAAGTTTGGTAGTTTCTTACAAACCTAAACATGTACATACCATAGAACCCAGCAATTATACTCTTGGGCATTTACCCCATAGAAGGGAAAACACGTTCACAAAAACCTGTATCTAACTGTTCACAGCAGCTTTATTCATATTAATGATAGCAAAAACTGGAAACAACCCAAACGTCTTTCAATGGCTGAATGGTTAAACAAACCGTAGTACATCCATACAATGAAATACTACTCAGCAACCGAAGAAACAAACTACTGATACATGTAACAATTTGGATGGACCTCAAGGGCATATGTTTAGTGTAAAAAAAAAAAAAAGCCAATCTCAACCAATTATATACTATATGATTCTGTGAAACACTATTCTTAAAATAATAAAGCGATAGAGACAGGAAACAAATTAGTAGTTCTTTAAGGGATGTGATAGGTGTGGGGAGGTGGGTATGACTATAAAGGGGTAGCATAGGGAGTTCTTTCTTGGTAATGAAACAGTTCTTTATCTTGATCATGGTAGTAGTTACACTAATCTATACATATGATTAAATTGGACAGAACTACACACACACACATGCACAAATGAATGCATGTAAAATTGGCGAAAACTGAATAAAGTCTGCAGTTTATTTAATATTACTATACCAATGTCCATTACCTGGTTTTGATATTATACTACAGTTATAAGACCTCACTATTGGGGAAAGCTGGGGGGAAGAGTCTACAGAACTGTATGTACTATTTTTGCAACTTTCTTTATATAATTTCAAGATAAAAAGTTAAAAAATTCTAATTAATAAGGAGAAACTCAAGAAGCTGAGAATATTGTTCCATAATTCCACCTACCAATGAACACCATACTTACTTTCAGGTATCTTTTGACAAAGAAAAAGTAGACTACTTAAAACCATACTTTGTTAGTGAGCCTTAGAATTGAGAACATTACTGTGAAGGTTTTTATTTGAGGGAAGTTTGGAGTGGGTGAGAATATTCTACTCCATATGCTCATCTTTACCTTTAGTCTTTGGTAAATTTAAGTAGCACTTCCAAAGCAAGGCTGGCAACAGGCATTTGGAATCTTGGAATGCCTGACAATACAGTACCACTGTTTTCAGTCATTTCCTAGTTTTAAGTGCATTTGAATGAAAGGCAGAAACATCACAGAGTCTTTTTGTGTCCCAACACCCTCCTATATGACATGGCTTTAATGTGAAAATGCTGCCAATATTGATTCTAGGAAATCGCTTTACTGGCTTTTATCTGATTAGATGGCTTTGGAACAATGATGACTTTGTGACATCCTATTGATTTTGCCTCTAAAACGTTCCTCCTATCTTGTCTCTGCCTCTCCATTTCCACTGCTACTATCCGCCTTGGAGCCCTCATTATATCTTCTTACAGCTTTTTGTTAACTGGTCTCTCAGACTTAGTATCTGCAAACTAAGTTACCTGAAATTCCACTGCTGGATTAATCCATCCATAGCAAAACTCTGATTAGGTCATTTTCTTGATCAAAAATGTTTAAAGGCTCCTTGTTTCTTATAGGCTAAAATCCAAACTCCTCAGTTTGACATTCGAGATCTGCTCTGGGTATGGAATATTGGGTTGAAAATAATTTCCGCTCAGAATTTTCAAGACATTGCTCCACTAACGTCTGGTTTTCATTGTTTCTACTGAGAATTCCAATGTCATCCCCCCACCCCCAACATTCCTTTGTATGCAACCTATTTTTTCTTTCTAGAAAATTTTAATTTTTTTTTAAACCTTAGCATTCAGATATGTCACGATGATATAAATTGATTTACCTATTCTTGGCATTTTCATTTCTTATACATGGAATCATCCAATATGTGGTACTTTGTGACTGACTGGCTTATTATTATTACTATTATTGAGACAGAGTCTCTCCTGTTTCCCAGGCTGGAGTGCAGTGGCACGATCACGGCTGACTGCAGCCTTGACGTCCTGGCCTAAAGTGATCCTCCCACTTCAGTGTTTTCAAGGTTGAAAACATGCATACACATTGCAACATGTACCAGTACTCTTTTTATTGCTGATGAATATTCTATTGTACGGGTATATCATGTTTTTGTATATCTATTGATCAGCTGATGGGCATTTGGGTTGTTATCACTTTTTGCCTATTATGAATAATGTTGTTATGAACATTCACATACAAGTTTTTATATGAATATATATTTTTATTTCTCTTGGATCTACCTAGGAATGAATTTATCAGCTGGGATTTTAATAGGCAAAAAAACCTACAGATATAAATGTAGCTATCTGTAGGTCTGTTTCTCCAGGGTGGTTCAATTTCTCAAACTGCTATGTGACAGGGGTAAGTCTGGCTGCTGACTTTCTAGAGCTGGGTGGAAGCTGAACCTTTCCAGAGTAGGTGGGTAAATCAACTTCCTATGCAGAGACTGCTAGCTGTTTTACCAATGTCCATCCCTCTCTCTTTCCTTAAGAACAGAGTCCTATATTATTGGGCCCACCAATATATCCAGGTATAAAGTTTCCCAGGTTCCCTTAGAAAAAGGTGGCAATGAGACAGAAGTCAAAGTCAACTAGGTATGGTTTCAGAGAGATTGCTTTAAAGGGAGATAACTCAGCTGGAAAGCATGTGTCTTTTTATGGGCCCATCTTTTCTGGTATCTAAAACAAATATGTTATGGTTGGAGCTCTAGTAGCTATCTTATGCCTATAAAGAGATTCTTGAAGATCCTGAAGAATGGCAGACTTGAACAGGACTGTCCACTTTCAGACAGAAGTGAAAAAAAAAATAATTCTACCTTGTTTCAGTCATTTCTATTTTGGGTATCTGTTAATTGGCAACTAAACTGAATCCTAAGTAGAGACTTCTTTTTAGAATTTCCTTTTGTAGGTAACTACATCTGTTTGTCATCTAAGTGAGAATTATAGATTAAGTAATCTATCTCTCATATTTTTCCTAGTTTCATTAAAGATGGAGTTCATATTTGTTTCTCATATTAATTTTTAAGACAAAAAAAAGCAGAACTGTTTTCACCCATTAAGTTAAAAACTGGAATTTTACCTTTCCAAACTTATTTCCTACCTTGCCCCTTTTCATGTTAATACCATGAACTATTCAGTAATTCTCTTCAAGCTCCATAATTTCCTACTTTCTACTTTTGCTCATTATTTCCATTCCAAGGAAAGTTCTGTGTGCGTGTCTATTTCTATGTTCAAATTACACCTGTAAGATCCAACTCACAGGCCATTGCCCTCTAAGGTCTCTCCTGATCCACTCAACAAGAAGTAATTTTATCTTCACCGATACCATTTCCTCCTTGACACTTACCTCTTTTACTGGACTCCTCGAGGTTGAGGGCTGTATCTTTGGTTCTCTATGCTATATTCTCTGTAGCATACAGCATAGTAGCTTGTACATAACTGTCACATATTGAGTGTGTTACTGTATATCAATACATTTGGATTTTAGAAACATTATTTGGTAAAACTATGGTATTTTTCACAGCTTGCTTTCTTTAGATAAAATTAACCATTTTAAAAATGTTTTTCTGCTATCTTAAAGTGGTAACTCAGACCTCCTGAGAATAATTTTATCTTTTAAAAATATGAGGGCTGTGCATGGTGGCTCACACTTGTAATTCCAGACTCTGGGAGGCCAGGGTGGGCAAATCACTTGAGCCCAGGAGTTTGAGACCAGCCTAGGGAACATGACAAAATCCCATCTCTACAAAAAGTATAAAAATAAGCCAGGGATGGTAGTGTGTGGCTGTAGTCCCAGCTACTCAGGAGGCTGAGGCAGGAGAATTAAGTAAGCTTGAGAAGTCAAGGCTGCAGTGAACCGTGATCGTGCCACTGCACTCCAGCCTGGGTGACAGAACAAGACACTGTCTCAAAAAATAAAAATAAAAGTGTAATGAGTGAAGATAAGGTTTGTGGTTTATCTCAAAAATTTTGAAGATTTCTGGCTGGAGGCAGTGGCTTATGTCTGCAATCCAAGCTACTCAGGAGGCTGAGGCAGGAGAATTGCTTGAACCCAGGAGGTGGAGGTTGCAATGAGCCGAGATTGTGCCACTACACTCCAGCCTGGGCGACAGAGTGAGACTCCGTATCCAAAAAACAAACAAACAAACAAAAAAAACCAAAAAAAAAAAACCACAACACTTTGAAGATTTCAAAATATCATGTCCACTATTTCATTATCCTCTGGATCGCTCCAGATAGAATATTTCTCCCTTTTGAAGAAGGGAAAAATAAAGTAATTTGCAGAGTATCATAAAGAAGAATTTAACAAGAAACAGGTCCCTCACCTCTTGAGTTCAATGTTCTGATCAAATTTGATCAGATAAGCCCCCCTTCCCACCCAAAAAGACTGACATATCAGAGAAAGGAAAATTGAAAACTTCCATGTAACTTGAAGACATGATTTTAAAACACAAGAAACAGATTGGGAGAAAAATTTTATTAACATGCATAGTAGTGGCTTACTATCCGTAGTAATAAAAAGTGCTATTCCAAATCATAAGAAATAGGACAAACAACTCAATAGAAAAATGGGCAAAGGAAATAGGTAAGTCACAGAAGAAGAAAACATACGACAGGATATTCAGTATACTAAGCATTAGCAAAATACAAATTAAAACAAAGAAATCCCCCCCCATCCCATCTTTTAGAGAGGCAATACACAGTAAAGATTACAAATACAGACTCTAAAGCCAATCTTCCTGGGTTTGAACCTCAGTTCTCTCATTTTCCAAGCTGTATAACCTCAGGCAACTTACGAATTTCTCTGCGTCTCAGTTTTCTCATCTTCAAAATAGGAGTAATGACAGTGACTATCTCTTAGGGTGGTTGTAATGATTAAATGAGTTAGTTTATATAAAGTACCTAGGATATATCTGTCACATAATAAATACTACATTTTACTATTTCTATTCTTTCAACATATTGATAAAATGGAAAAGGTTGTCTGAAGGATAAAAGTAATCTCAATTTGTTGGTGGGAAAGGTCCTTTTTTGAAGGAAAATTTGATAACATACATACTCTATACCAAGCAGTTCTACTTCTGAAATCCAACCCAGCCACCAGTACAAAAAGGCACATGTTCAAAAATGTTCATGACATCTCTATTTTGTACCAAAAAAGGGAAACAATGTAAATATCCATCAATAGAGAAGTGAGGTACATTATTATAAAAACACTGTAGCATACAAAGATTCAGTTGTTAAAAAGAATGATGTGGACTGACATTTACTGACACAGGGAGAGTACAAAATATTTATACTAAAAAGCAAGTCACAAAGTAATATGTGATCCCATTTATATGAAAACATGAAAACATATACTTGGGTTCCCTTTATGTATGGAGTTTTAAAGAGGTTTGAAAATATACAAATGGTTAATAAGGTTATTTATGTGGGGAGATAGGAAAGATAAAGAGGGTCTTTAGTTCTTTTTCTCTTTACTTATATACTGAAACTTTTCCCCCTCCAAAACAAAGACAAATGAGTATTTTACTTTATAATTTAAAAATGGAAAAAAAAGGAGCTGCTTACTACATTTAACTGGAAGTTCCACAGATTGGATAAAAGAACAGAAATGTTTTGCTACTTAGATTTAGACACTGTATAACATTTTGAAAGAAGTGGCTGACTTCAGCAGTTGATGTATCTGACCCAAGAAAATCAGGTCTTCAGAAAATACTTGGTCACACCTATAAGGGCACTAATTCAAAGAACTCAGCTGATCAATATCTTGTACCTTAGCTCTATTTATCTGACTGTTCATATGATCTGAAGGCAAGAGAGTCTTTTTTAAAAATGGTAACACATTCAAACTATATTGAGTACACCTCTATACAAGAAAAAGTTTTTTGAAAAATTTCTGTATAGGAAATCTCTACAATTCAAATGGAGTTGATAAATTAAAAGGGTTACTTAATATTTGAGATTTACTAGCACTTTTTTATTGTGCTGTACTTAAGAAAGAAAGACTTTGCTATTGATTAAAGCATTAACATTATAAAAGTCACAAATAATACATTTCAATCACTGGAAAGGCTAAAAATACAGTAACTATATAATAGAAATACAAGAGACTCTGGGAGAATATAATCTCTTGGTAATTCAATCAAACAATTCCCATGGGCAACCTAAAACAAAATGGAATAGGAGAGAGCCCTTTGTTTGAAATAAAGAAGGTAACATTTAGTGCAAGGTTAAAAAATAATGTAAACTTTAAAAAAAAAATCTTGTCTCCCAAGTTTCTATATGATGCTGCAGAGTTTAAGAAATTGCCTATTGAATTGGGAGTGTTTTATTTGCTGCACAACATTTTTGTTCTTAAGAATCGATAATCTGAAAAAAAATTGTTATTCTATTTTTTGAGACATTAATAAAATGCTTTGAATTCCTGGAATGATGAAAATTATAGAATAACAGGAAACTAAGAAAAATATTTTAAAAATCTTTTTTTATGATTACCTTAAAACAAAGAGGTATAAAAGAGATAATAATATAAATATAATGCAAATTGGGCTGACTTGCAAATTTCACAGAGCACCTTTAATGTGGTTCAAGAAGGGCTAATAAAGCAGTAGTCCCTCATCAAGTCCCTTCATTTACAAAATAAAGACAGTAATCATCTGCTTGGCAAATCTATAATTTTATTTCTGTTTTCTAGGTAGATAAGTGAAAAAAAGTCACTTACTGGAAAAAAAAAGTAAAACATAAATAAGAGTATCAAATATGAGAGGCAGACCTGAGTTCAAATCTTAGCTCTACTACTTATTAGCTGTGTGACCCTGGGCAAGTTTCTCAAACTTTTTATGCCTCAGTTCCTCATCTATAAAATGAGGATAATAATAGTATCTAGGGTTGTTGTATTACATGAGAGACTACATTTAACACGTATGGCACACAGTAGGTACTTAATAAATATAGGTGGTGGTGATGATGTGCTGATGCTGATACCACAAGCACTGTTTCCAAAATTTTGAACATTATCGAGACATGATGTGTCAAAAATGTGTTAGCACACATTCAATGATTTTTGAAGCATATTATCCTTAGGGAGCTGTACTCAAGCTAGTAGTCCTAATTATGGAAATCCACCCAGGCTTCCTTTTCAGCACGTCTTCTAGATGTAATTGCAAACCAACAAGGCCAATTTCATATGCTATACATACAGAACATAGCAGTAAAAAGCATGGACTCTGGAGCCAAACTGCCCAAGTTCAAATACCATTTTTGCTATTTACTAGCTGTATGACCCTGGGCAAGATTATTTAACCTCTCTGTACTTCAGATTCCTCATCTATAAAATGGTGATAATAATAGTATTTATCATATACGGTTATTATAAAGATGAAACAAGATAACATGTATGAAGCATCCTGCGACAGTGCTAAAATTGTTTAGCTATCATAATCATTATTCTTTATAGTCATTCTACCAAAAACCAAACAAAAGATACACCTCTGACCACTGTAACTTGATTCTACAGAAATAGCTTAACTGACTCTGAAATTAGTTTTTATGTATCCACAAACTCTCCAATATTATAACATTCTTAAACTGGTTGGGTATTTGAGTCAATATTTTGTATCTTGCCTTAATATGAACACGACATAAAAGTCAATTTTTTATTGTATTTTTCTATTTGTCATTGATTCAAATTCAGAATAGACCAAAATGCCTTAACAAAATTCACTCTCAAACTGCTTTTTTTGTTTTAAGAAAGTTAACTTCCTACCTGTCATCTGTACTGCGAAGGGATGGAAGCCGAAAGCTCGTGTTTCTGTCAAGCTTTGACTGGCTTTTGGTCCTCTTGATGGAGCCTTTCAGGCGCTTGCTGAAGAATCCCTAGAAGGAAAGGCAGAAGGTGATGGGAGAGAGAACCAAAAGGGAATGTTACTCGTCCACACTATCTCTGCAAAAGGTATTTAGACTTTTACAATAAAGACCAGAAATAGAAACTAGCTTTTAAGCTTTTTAATTTTGTAAATAATAGTCACTTGAAACCACCTGGCAATGTGATGAGAAAATTTTCTTCTGTGAGAATTGGGATAACTAAACTTTCTAGTAGCACCTAATTTATTATTTATTAATGTTTATATTAGTTATGGAAGAAAAACTTCTAATTTTACTGGTAGATTTCTAAAAAGCACAACAATATAACATACACAAATATATTCCTTTCTATGAAGATGGTACCAGCAATTTCAATACAAATGACATCTACTGATTTCCCAAACTAAGGGAAAACAGGCAAAGAAAATGGCATGTGCAAAGGCCCCCAGGTGAGAAGGTACTTGGCGCATTGGAGGAATTAAAAGATAACTGACAGAAGAGAAAAAGCTTTGTTCTAAGATATGTAAAAAGGAGTTAACTAAGTTGTAAAATATAATGTATTGGTGGTCTCAGAAGTGTTAAAACTCAGTCTATGTCACCTTGGATATGGCATTGTAAAATTAAGTATTGAATGTGGATAAACTATTTTAAAATGAAGTATAGATCATTTATGAAATCATTAAAGCTTCCAGACTGGAACAAAGTGCTTTACAGTCTATGGCCCCTGCCTGCCTCCTGCCAGTTTTACCAAACTATCTAGAGTTCCCTGAACATCCTCCTCGACTCTGCACCTGGCAAATAGTGAGCACTTAACAAAAGTTTGTTGAATAAAAGAATAAATGCAAAAATGAATGACGGTCACTACTTTCAAGAAATTTACAATTCTGTCATTGGCAGGTGAAAGGAATCTTATAGAAGCATATTAAAATTTCTCAGTCAGACACGGTAGCTCATGCCTGTAGTCCCAGCATTTTGAAAAGGCTGAGGTGACAGGATAGCTTGAGGCCAGGAATTTAAGACCAGCCTGGGCAAAATGGCGAGACCCCATCTCTACAAAAATAAAATAAAATAAAATAAAAAATTTAGCCAGCCATGGTAGCACATGCCTGTAGTCCCAGCTACTCAGGAGGATGATGTGGGAGGATTGCTTGAACTCAGGAGTTCGAGGCTGCAGTAAGTGATGACTGTACCACAGCACTCCAGCCGGGGCAATAGAATGAAACCCTAACCCAAAAACAAATAAATAAAATAAAACAAAATTTTTCAAGCAAAGATTCTAATTCAAAGAAAAATATTTTGACACATGGAGAATGACTCTTTCTTGAGATGAATATCATTTTATATAAGCTGTGTACAATAAACATTTCTATAATGAAGAAAAAGAAATACTAGGCCAATATTAGCACATCAAATCTTTTATATTCCTTTAGTAACTACCAAAGCCCACTGTTTTGGGGTGAAGGCTATATTTATCAGGATAAGCTAGGTTATGATTATCTAATCACCCCCCTAATCTTCGTGGCATAAAATATGTTACATGTCCATAAGCAGGTCAACTGAGGGGGTGGGATCCTGTCTATGCTGTCCTTACTCAGGAACTTAGGCTAAGGGAGGCTATCTGGGCTTCTACAGTTTTTGCAGCAGGATAAAGGTAAAATAGCAAATTATGTACATGTACTAGCTCTTAAAGCTTCATATCACTTCTGGTCTCATTTCACTGACAAAACAATCACGTGACCATATCTAACTTCAATGGAGGAAGGGATATATAGTACTACCAGGTACTCAGAAAGGGAACTGAAAATATTTGGTGAACAACAGTATAGACTGCCACAGTGTTTTACCAAGCCAAGTGATTTTTAAACATGCAGGCATTGCTCCTTTTATTAGAGAAAAATGAAAACAAACTTACTCAAATCAAAGTGGAACTATTTAGATTACTGAAAGAAAATACTTATAATGCTATATCTTATTGTTTTGGCCATCCAAGGAGTTAAGTGTAAAAACTCCTAGTATATATCACATAGACATAATACCCTAGGCTGTTTTTCACTCCAGCTTATTATAGGTATGTAGAGATTGACTAAAGGCAAGGGAAAAAGGCTCAATGTGAAGATGATGAGGATGAAGGTCTTTATGATTCACTTCCACCTAATGAATAGTAAATAGTATATTTTCTTTTCCTTATGATTTTCTCAATAACACTTTCTTTTCTCTAGTTTACAATTTTAAGAATGCAACATATAATACATATATCACACAAAAGATGTGTTAATTGACTGTATATGTTATTGGCAAGGCTTCCAGTCAACAGTAGGCTAATAGTAGTTAAGTTTTGGGTGAGTCAAAAGTTATATGAAATTTTTCAACTGCATAGCAGGGTGGTGTCTCTAACCCCCATGTTGTTCAAGGGTCAACTGTACAATTTTGGTGTCATTAGGGAGAGTCACTGTCATTAGTCACAGTCATTAGTACATAAAGGCAAAGGCTTTATGTACTATTTTCTATGACTCAATCAGAATGAGTCACCACATTTGCTAATAAATGTAGCTAGCAAACCAGGCTTAAGTTTATAGAATTGTAATAGGATTGCTAGGCCTAGGTTGAGATCCAGGCCGAGGAGTCGACCAAAAATCATACATATATTTCTAATGAAAATACAGTTAAGCATTTGACTGAGACAGTATTAGTAGACTGTCTACTAATTAAATCTAGTAATTTAATTCTACCTTTTTGTGGCACTTTTTTTTTTTTTTTTTTTTTTAGACGGAGTTTCACTCTTGTTGCCCAGGCTGGAGTGCAATGGTGCAATCTCGGCTCACCGCAACCTCCGCCTCCCAGGTTCAAGCTCTTCTCCTGCCTCAACCTCCCGAGTAGCTGGGATTACAGTTGGAATTACACACCTGGCTAATTTTGTATTTTTGGTAGAGATGGTGTTTTTCCATGTTGGTCAGGCTGGTCTTGAACTTCCGACCTCAGGTGATCCGCCCACCTCGGCCTCCCAAAGTGCTGGGATTACAGGCATGAGCCACTGCGTCCAGCCTTGTGGCACATATCATATCATACCTCATATGACATAATATGATACATTGTATTTAATAAAACTTATGCTTATTTGTTGTAGAGAACTCTACTAGGAGTTGTAAGGAAATCAAAGATAAACACAAACTCTGCCCTCAAGGAACTTGCCATTTAATACAGACTTTAGATACTAAATATAAATTTATGCACAGGCTTATTAGTAGACTGGACATGGCTGAGGAAAGAATCTCTAAGCATGAGGATATATCAATAGAAACATCCAAAACTGAAAAGCAAGCAGAACAAACAAAAATAACCCAGAAAAGAATATCCAAAGACTACAGGACAACTACGAAAGGCGTAACGTGTAATGGGAATACCAAAAGGAGAAAAGAGAAAGAAATAGAAAATCAGAAACAATAATGACTGAGAATTTCCCCAAATTAATATACCAAACCAAAGATCCAGGAAGCTCAGAGAATACTGAGAATACCAAGCAGCATAAATGCCAAAAAAAAAAACCCTAAAAGAAAAAAAATCCCAACCCCCAAAACTACACTGAGGCATATAATTTTCAAACTGCAGAAAAACAAAGAAAAAGAAAAAATCCTAAAGAAGCCAGAAGGAAAAAACACCTTATGTACAGAGGAACAAAAATAAGCATTACATCTGGCTTCTCCTCAGAAACCATACAAGCAAGAGAATGGAGTGAAATATTAAAGTGTTGAGAGGAAAAAAAAAGAACCCAAACTACCAACCTAGAATTCTATAACCTGCAAAACTATCATTCAAAAGTGAAGGTGAAATAAAGCTTTCTCACATACATGAAAAAATTGAGGAAAAATGTTGCCAGTAGACCAGCATTGCAAAAAATGTTTAAAGAAGTTCCTTAGAGAGAAAAGAAAACAATATAGGTCACAAATTGGACCTTCTTAAGAAAACAAAGAGTATAAAAGGAATAAGTGAAAATAAAACCACCTTTTATTTTTCTTCTTAATTGATTTAATATTGAAGTAATAACAACAATGTATTTAATTATGTATGCTTATGTATATATGCTTATGTCTATATGATATATATGCTTATGTATACTTATATATAAGGGAAATGAATAATAATGATACAAATGACAAGGTGGAAGAATTAAGATTATTTTATTATAAGGTACTCATACTATCTACGAAGTTGTATAGTGTTATGTGAAAGTGGACTTACATTAGTTATACATTTAAAAAACTGCAAATTCTAGGGAAACCACTAAATTTTTTAAAAAATAAGTATAACTGATATGCTAAGAAAGGAGAGAAAATGGAATCATATAAGTCATTCAATTACAATCACGAAAGGTTATAAACAGTGGAAGACAAAAATAAGGACACAGAACAAAGGCAACAAATAGAAAACAGTTAACAAATATGGTTAGAAACCCAACTATGTCAATAATCACTTCGAACGTCAATAGTCTAAATACCCCAATTAAAAGAGATTGTCAGTGTAGATCAGAAAACAAAACCCAACTATATATCATCTACCAGAAACTCACTTTAAATATAAAGGCACATAAAGATTAATAGTAAATGGATGGAAACAATATACTATGCCAACACTAATCAAAAGAAAGCAGGCATAGCTATATTAATTTCAGACAGAGCAGATATTACAGCAAGAAAACTTAACAAGGATAAAGAATGGCATTATATAATGATAAATGGGTCAATTTTCCAAGAATACAGCCTTAATGTGTATGTGCTTAATAACAGAGTGTCAAGAGACATGAGGCAAAACTGGTAAGAGTTGCTAGGAGAAACAGATAAATCTATATAGTTGAAGACTACACACCTATCTATCAGAAATGGACAGATCTAGCAGGCAGAAAATCAGTGAGGACATAGTTGAACTCCAAAACACCATTTAATCAACTGGATATAATTGACATCTATAGACTACTTTATCCAACAACAGCAGAATAGAGATTCCTCAAGCTCATATGGAACATTCACCAAGACAGATCAAATTCTGGGCATAAAACACATATTAATAAATTTAAAAGAATAGAGATCATACAATGTCTTCTTTTAGATCATAATGGAATTAAACTAGAAATCAGTAATAGAAAGATGACTAGAAAATCCCAAAATATGTGGGGATTAAACAACATACTTCTGAACAACACATGGATCAAAGAAGAAATCTCAAGAGAAATTAAAAAACACTTTGAACTGAATGAAATAAAAATGAAAACATAGCATCTAAATTTTGTGGTATGCAGTAAAAACAGTGCTTAGAGGAAAATTTATAGCATTGAATGCATATACTAGAAAAGAAGAAAGATCTAAACCCAATACTAAGTGTCTATCTTAGAAAACTAGAAAAAAAAGAGCAAATTAAATCCAAAGCAAACACAAGAAATAAAAATTAGTGCAGAATCGATTAAATTGAAAACAATAAATCAATAGATAAAAGCAATAAAATCAAAAGCTGGTTCCTTATGAAGATCAATAAAATTTGTAAGTCTGTAGCCAGACTAAGAAAAAAATAGAGATGACCCAAATGACTTATATTAGAAATAAAAGAGGGGTCATCACAACAGGTTCTATGGACCTTAAAATGGTAAAAAGGGATTTGATAATCTAGGTGAAACAGATCAATTCCTTGAAAGACACGATCTGCCAAACTTATACAGGAAGAAATAGACAATATGAATAGGGCTATATCTATTAAAGAAATTGAGTCAATAATTAATAACCTTACAAAACAGAAGCACCAGGCCCAGATGGGTTCCTCTGGTGAATTCCATGAAACATTAAAGGAAGAAATGATACCAATTCTCTACAATGTCTTTCAGAAGATAGAAGATAGAAGCAGAGACAATACTTCTTAACTTAGTTCTAGATTCACAGCAAAACTGAGTAGAAGATATAAAGATTTCCAATGTTCCTCCCCTTCCCTCTACACATGCATAGCCACTCCCACCAACATGCCCTACCAAACTGGAATATTTGTCACAACTGACGAATCTACATTGACATCATCATCACCCATATTCCATAGTTTACTTTAGGGTTTGTTATTGGTGTTGTGCATTCTATGGGTTTGGACAAATGCATGGTGATATGTATCCACAATTATAGTATTATGCAGAGTATATTTACTACTCAAAATCCTCTGTGCTCTGCCTATTCATCCCTCAGTACCTCCCACACTCCAACCCCTGGCAAACAGTGATCTTTTCACTGATTCCATAGTTTTACCTTTTCTAGAATGTCATACATTGATAGTCCCCCATTTAAGATGGTTTGAACAATTTTTTGATTTATGATAGGTTTATCAGGACGTTAAATACTTTTCAATTTAGGATATTTTTGACTTATGATGGGTTTATTTGGACATAACCCTATTGTAAGTCAAGGAGCATCTGTGGTTGGAATCATACTGCAGCCTTTTTAGACTGGCTTGTTTCACTTAGTAATATGTACCTAAGGTTCCTCTGGGTCTGTTCTGTTTTTGTTTTTTCTGCAGTCTTTTTTTTCTTTGCTTTTCAGTCTTGCCACTTTCTACTGAGGTGTCCTCAAGCTCAGAAATTCTTTCCTCAATTGTGTCCTGTCTACTAATATGCCCATAAAAGGCATTCTTCATTTCTGCTACAGTGTTTTTGATTTCCAGCATTCCCTTTTGGTTCTTTTTTATAATTTCTATCTCTCTTCTTACATTGTCCATCTGTTCTTGCATGCTATCTGCTTTATCCATTAGAGCCCTTAGTACATTTATCATAATTGTTTTAAGTTTCCGATCTGATAATTTCAATATTTTCTGAGGCTGGTTCTGATGCTTGCTCTGAGGATGGTTCTGATGCTTGCCCTGTCTCTTTAAACTGTGTTTTCTGCCTTTTAGTATGTTCTGTAATTATTTTCTTGCTAGCTGGATATGCTAAATACTAGGTGAGAGGATATGCTAAAACTAGGTACCAGGTGAGAGGAACTGCAGTAAACCAGCCTTTAGTCATGTAGTAGTAAGGTGGGGGAAAACATTCTGAAGTCCTATTAGATCTCAGTCTTTTAATGAGTCTGTGTTTCTGGACTGTGAACTTCATAAGTGCTGCTCAGTGCCCCTCACCCCACCCACCCCACTTAGGTGGAAGGGGATGGCTAGAGAGTGCTGGAATTGGGTATTTCCCTTCCTTCTGATCAGTTAGGCTCTGATTAGTTTCTTCTGAGAGCAGACCTTGTTAAGAAAAACAGAACGGGCCAGGTGTGGTGGCTCATGCCTGTAATCCCAGCACTTTGGGAGGCTGAGGCAGGCGGATCACCTGAGGTCAGGAGTTTGAGACCAGCCTGGCCAACATGGCAAAACCCCATCTCTACAAAACATACAAAAATTAGCCGGAGATCGTGCCACTGCCCTCCAGCCTGGGAGACAGAGCAAGACTCTGAAGAAAAGACAGACAGACGGATGGACAGACGGAAGGAAGGAAGGAAGGAAAGAAAGAGAAAAGAAAGAAAGAAAGAGAAAGAAAGAAAAAGAAAGAAAGAAAGAAAGAAAAAGAAAGAGAAAGAAAGCTCTGATGCATTTCAAAATGCCTCCTTTCCCTTCTCCCTGCTGGAAAAATGAGGGGAATTTTCTCAGATATTCACTGTGAGAACCTGGTAGGACTCTAGGAGGTAAAATTTTTAAAAATTGTGGCCTCCCCATTAATGAATACCCCTACAGTTTTTATCTCTCAAACTTGGCCACACTAAGCCTCCAGCATTTCATAAATTACAGTTGAGGTTTTCCTATCTGAAAACAAGAAGTCTTGCATTTAAACTTTCGAGGGGATGGCATAATGTTATATTTACCTTAACATCAACCACAATGTTTAAACTTTAGTAAGTCCTTGATAAATACATACATGAAATCATGGCTGATTTAGGAACACAGATAAGGAAAAGGTTAAGATTGCACAGAGTGGGCAGTAATACTTCAGGGAGGTAGTGAAACCTTTCAAAATTTTGTGGTCACCTCCTTGATGTAAATGAAGCATAGTTTTAACCTGAGAAATGGTTTCTCTCACAGCTCTATTTAGTTGAAGTTTTTTCATTCTCCATTACCCAATATTCAGTGGTACCCAGGAAGAGGTAGCTGGACTTTACCTAGCTTACCATGACTGTTTCCAAATCAATAGTCCATAAAATCATGGTTTGGAGTAAATGCATATTTTTTAAGGTACATACCATCTTGATTTAGCATTCTTCATCTCTCTTTGCTGCTCTCATGTTTCAATCTCTCTTTCACTTTCCTTTATTCATTAAGAACTTTAGCCCCTAGCTTGTAATATTTTTCTGACTCTTAACACCATGCTAGAAAATAACCAAATAGTGATGTCTAGTACCCTAGCTTCATAATTCCTTGACTCCATTACTCAGTATCCTCCCCTTCAGCCACCTACTCTTTTTTTTTTTTTCACATGATGGCAATTTATTTTCAGAAAGTATTTTGAGGAGTCTTGTTCACAGACGGTGACCACAGCGACCCCACTTCCTGTGGGTGCCGTCAAGAGGGGATGGGGGGTGATGTCCTCAATCTGCCTGATCTTCATACTCAAGCGGGCAAGGGCTCTGAAGGCCGACTGGCCCCAGGTCCAGGGGTCTTGGTCCTATTTCCTCCTGTGGCCCAGAGTTTGACGTGTAGGGCAGTGATACCTGGCTCCTTGCACCTCTGGGCCACATCCTGGGCAGCCAAAAAAGCAGCACATGGCGAGGATTCATCTCGGTCTGCCTTCACCTTCATCCCACCAGTCACACGGCAGATGGTTTCTTTGCCAGAAAGATCAGTGACATGGACAAAAGTGTCACTGAAGGTTGCAAAGATATGGCAGACACCAAATACATTTCTCTCCTTCAGCCACCTGAAGTGTGCCATTTCTGCATGTCGTCTCTCCATCCACTCATTTTTTTAAATCAAATTTTTATTTTTATTCAATAGTTTTAGGGGAATAGGTCATGTCTGATTGCATGGAAAAGTTCTTTAGTGGTGATTTGTGAGATTTTGGGGCACCCATCACCTGAGCAGTGTAGACTGTACCCAATGTGTAGTCTTTTATCCCTCACCCATCTCCCACCCTTCCTCCCAAGTCCCCAGAGTCCATTATATCATTCTTATGCCTTTGTGTCCTCACAGCTTAGCTCCCACTTATAAGTGAGAACATACAATATTTGGTTTTCCATTCCTGAGTTATTTTACTAAGAATAATGGTCTCCAACTCCATCCAGGTTTCTGCGAATGCCATTATTTCGTTCCTTTTTGTTTGTGACTGAGTAGTATTCCATGGGGTGTGTGTGTGTGTGTGTGTGTGTGTGTACACACACACACACCACATTTTCTTTATTCACTCATTAGTTGATAGGCATTTAGACTGGTTCCACACTTTTGCAATTGCGAATTGTGCTACTATATACGTGTGCAAGTGTCTTTTTCATATGACTTCTTTTCCTCTGGGTAGATATCCAGTAGTGGGATTGCTGGATCAAATGGCAGTTCTACTTTTAGTTCTTTAAGGAATCTCTATACTGTTTTCCATAGTGGTTGTACTAGTTTACATTCTCATCAGCAGTGTAAAAGTGTTCCCTTTTCACCACATCCATGTCACCATCTGTTATTTTTTTATTTTTAATTATGGCCATTCTTGCAGGAGTAAGGTGGTTATCTCATTGTGGTTTTGATTTGCATTTCCCTGATAATTAGTGATGCTGAGCATTTTTTTGACGTTTCTTGGCCATTTGTATATCTTCTTTTGAGAACTGTGTATTCATTTCCTTTGCTCACTTTTTGACGGGATTATCTGTTTTTTTTTTCTTGATTTGTTTGAGTTCCTGGTAGATTCTGGATATTAGTCCTTTGGCAGATGCAGTTTGTGAACATTTTTCTCCCACCCTGTGGGTTGTCTGTTTATTGATTCTGATCTCTTTTGCTGTGCAGAAGCTTTTTAGTTTTATTAGGTTCCATCTATTTATCTTTACTTTTGTTGCATTTGCTTTTGGGTTCTTGATCACGAAGTCTTTGCCTAAGTCAATGTCTAGAAGAGTTTTTCCGATGTTATCTTCTAGAATTCTTATGGTTTCAGGTCTTAGATGTAAGTCTTTGATCCATCTTGAGTTGATTTTTGTATAAGGTGAGAGATGAGGACCCAGCTTCATTCTTCAACATTTCAGCCACCCACTCTTATATCTACACACTAGATCTTATCATCATTCAGAGATCCTCCATCTCAGACATCTTAAACAGTAATATTTTTTTCTCTGATTTCCTCCCTAATCACATGTCTTTCATATATCTCTTTCTCCACATTAATCTACTCTTCAACCTAACAGAAACCTTCACTTTCTGGACCACCTCATTTTCTCCCTGTCCCTTGTTTTTTCCTGCTCTCTTTTCCTTCTCCCTAGATTCCACAGCTAATCATCTGATGCTATTCAATTACCAACACCCTCCATTTTCTTAATGATTAGCTATCCAAAATAACAATTAAAACAATATTTAAGTCAATCTTCCTGGTGCCATGACGAAGCTCTTTAGGAAGACCACATAGCTGTACCGGATGAAACCACAACAAATTCACTGTTTTCAAGCTTGGCTTGGCTTCTACTATCCCTCCATCCTGGACCAACCATGTACTGAGTCTTCCCACATTATCCTCTTCTGAGAAACAACAAAGTACATGTCATGCCCAGTTGCCCATTGCCTGCTTCTGAGCAACTGCTTACATATTCAGGTCACTATGCTTTGTGCCATGCAATCTTTCTGCCCTGGATCCATATGACTGGTCAAGGGATGGATAATTAACCCAAAGGTACCTAAAAGCAGCTAGGCATGGCCCTGGTAAGAGTTCTGCCTATAAGATATAGTATCATCTGGTAACGACTTACCATTCCAGCTGATCCCTGGTCATTCCACTTCATACTTTATCCTCCACTAACTTGAAATACCTGTAATTCTCTATATTCACCATGCATGTTTACCACTGCTCATATTCTCTTCCTTCTCCCTGGCTGAATCATCCTTTTTGATACCGCTTAGGAATGATCTCTTCTAGGGTGTCTTTTTTGACATGACCTGACCCTGCCCTAGATTACGTGCCCCTCCACTGTGCTTTATAGAGAGCTAGCCTTACATCTAGCACAGTGTATGCCCACTTATGTGTCATCCTCACTAAACCCTGCAAGCTTTGTGTTCCCAGGGCAGGTCTGATATCTGGTATTTAGTAGGGGCTCAAAAATTGCTTTCAGAACTGAAAAATCATATGCAGTGTGTCCTCAGATCATCTGAGAACTCACTCACTCACTATCATGAGAACAGCATAGGGGAAATCCTCTCCCATGATGCAATCTTCTCCAACCACCTCCCATGGCCTAAAAGTATGGCAGTTCCCCGCTTGCTCTCTCTTGCCTCCATGTGAAGAAGGTCCTTCTTCTCCTTCCGCTATAACTGTAAATTTCCTGAGGCCTCCTAGTCATGCTTCCTGTTAAGGCTGTGGAACTGTGAGTCAAACCTCTCTCTTCATAAATTACCCAGTCTCAGGTAGTTCTTTACAGTAGTGTGAAAACAGACTAATACAGAAGATATATGACTTTCCCAAGGTCACATAGATGCTAAATGGCAGAGGAGAACTTTGAGCCTAGGTAGCCTCACACCGGAACCCTTCCTTTTTAACCACTGTGCTATATGAATTCTTGACATTCTAATTCCACATCAAATACTTTAAGTACTATAACATAACTTATTTTCCCCATATGTATTATATGTAACTTCTACACATACCTTATTATAGAATTATGTATCATAAACAGCCAGAAATGTAATATGACAATTCAAAATATGAGGAAAAAAAAGAGAAGCAAAACAAAAAACAAAAAACAAAAAAAAACCAACCAAACAACAACAACAAAAAACCTAAAAAACAAAAAAACTACTATTGTGGCATTTGACTTACAAGAATTTGCCCCTAGGATTCCTAGCTATATAATTAAACTAAAGTAAAATCAAAACCTTATTGAAATGGCTTTTATATGTAACTGATTCTGTGGTCACTGAGTATAAAATAAAAAAATCCAAATATAAAATTTAAAAATAGATGGATACCAAGAGGAAAATGCTTTTTTCTCTTTCACAGTTATGATATCCATGCCTTATAAAAATGTGAAGAGTGTGAATGATGTTCCAGTCTAAATGGAAACAAAGGAAAGAAAGAATGTAAATAAACTGATTTCATCCTTCTGACACCAACCTAATCTGAAAGCATACTAATCAAACACTCAAAACAAATCCTACTCTATCCAATTTTTTCAAATGCTGTTGCTACCATTTACAAGTCTTAAAAATAGTAAAAAGCTCATTATTTTTTTAAAAAAGGTACATTGTCATAGCAATTGATACAACTAAAATAATTTAATTAGTTGGTATTCATTATTTTCTTTCAAAATAAGGCTTAAAATTAGCAACAGTCAATGAAAGAAAAAGCCAACTATTGCCTTTCTCTGGAGCTTGGTAAATGTTAAGACAATGATAACTAAAGTTGTTGGCCACCTGCAAATTGGAGTATTCCCTGAAGACTGAACTCGGCTAGCTGTGAATGAGTGGTAACTGAAATAAAACTGCTGCTATGCAACTGCTCTCAGAAGCCTCCGTGGGGGTAATAAGGGACAATGCCTTGCCAGCATCCTAGCACTGCTGCGTTCCCTTAAGACAGGGAGAAGCGGAGACAGGGAAACATGTCATCACCTTTCACATGAAAAATGTAGGGATGTGCAACAAAACCCTGCTTTAATTCTGCTTGAGACTTTTTCACATCAGTGACCACACAAGGGATTAAGGACAATGTTACAGCAATTCTAAGTGATTAACTATTTTTAAATGGCAATTTCTCAAAATGTTACCTGATTCACAGTAAGAAAATGCCACCCTGTCAACTAGAAAGGACCCAGGTGAGAATTGTTTTCATTCTTGCTTTTCAAGTTTTAGTTTATTAGTAAATTAAAATCTCTATGTATTTTACATATTTGTTTTATCATGGATTGTAAATACCTGAGAAAAAAAGCTGTGTCATCTATAAATAATTCCCTTCCTTGCTCTCAATATAACTTAGGAACTTGTAGATATTCACTAAATGTTGACTAAAACGTAATTCTAAAAAATTAACAAGGAAAAAGGAGAAGACTAACTGAAAACGTTCAAGTTTACTTTCTAGTCTTTATATTTTACTTAAGTTTATCTTCCAGTTATTTGGAAGTCCAAACAGGAAGGGAGACTGTAGATGACAAGAATAACAAAACAAGAAATAGTTGCAAAGTGCATTATAGTTTAGTTGTAGTATGGGTAGTTTATCCTCTAGTAGGTTTTTTGTTTTTGTTTTTCAAATTTAAGCATCAAAAGGAAAGAGAAAAGGTTCTGTCATAAATCACAATTGTTCTTCTAGCACAGATCTGATATATCGGAATCTTTGGGATTGGGGCACAGTGATCTACATTTTTAACAAGCATTCAATTCAATGTGATTTTTTTATTAAGCAAACTAAAACTTTCATTATGAAACTTTTAAACATACAAAGCACAGAAATTAATAAACACATATCCATTAATCAGATCTAATTGATGTTGACACATTAATGTCATTATGCTACATTATGTATAATTATTATATTAAAATATAAAATACATATTATATTACAGGTATTACATTATAACATGTTAAAACACATATTGACATGTTAAGATCTGCTAGAGGGACCAATGGAAGATATCTAGCATACTTTATTAACTAATTACATTCTTAGAGATTCATTTTCATGAATCTGTCATGTCAGATTTTTATTACCTTCTTGTTATATTATTTCAAACCTTTTATGTCCAACTTTTTATGTATTTTGTTTTAAAACATTTCTTTTAAAACAGGTTTGAGGTGTAATTTACAAAAAACAAGTCAATATTTTTCAATGTACAGCTTGACAAGTTTTGATAAATGTATGCTGTACCAATACAAGTGAGATATGGAACATTTCTATCACCCCAAAAATGTCTTCATGCCTTTCTGTAGTCAGTCAATCCCTTCCTCTCACCCTCAGCCCCTGGAAACCACTAATATGACTTGTTCCTATAGTTTTATCTTTTCCACAATGTCACATAAATGGATTTATGCAGTATGTAGTCTTTCTTCACTTAGCATAATGTTTTTGAAATTTATGCATGCTGTTGCATGTACAGTTTGCTCCTTTTTATTCCACTGTATGGGTACACCAACAATTGTTTAACCATTTGTCAACTCATGGACGTTCGAGTTATTTCCAGTTTTGGGATATTAAGAATAAAGTTGCCATAAACATTTATGAACAAGTCTTTATGTGGACATATGGTTTGGAAACCACTGAGTTAAAAGCTTGGTTGGAAATTCACAAATAACAAGACGACATGGCAACTTTTTAAGGGGATGTTAATGAGGTAGAGTGGGGAAAGGACACTGAGGAGGGAAGGAATCCTTAGTTATTTTTCCTCTAGATATGAAGTAATTTTAGATGTACAAAAAATTTGGAAAAATAGTACAGAGTTTTCCTTTGCCCAGCTTCCCCTAATGTTATTATCTTATATAACCATAGTATGATTATGAAAACTAAGAAATTAACATAGGTACTATACTCACCTAAACACAGCCCTAATTCTAAATTCACCAGTTTTCCACTGTATTAGTTTTCAACTGCCATTATAACAAATTAAAACAAATGTGGTTTAAACAGTACAAATTTATTATCTTACAGTTCTATCGATCAGAAGTCCAACACAGGTCTCATCTGGCTAAAATCAAAGTGTCAGCAGGTCTGCATTCCTTTCTGAAGGCTCTAGGGGAGAATCTGTCTTATGCCTTTTCAAGCTTCTAAAGGCCACCCACATTCCTTGGCTCATGGCCTTTCCTCCATCTTCAAAGCCAGCAATGTTGCATCTCTATGAAAGCTTTTCAGCTTTTAAAGTCTCGTGATCTGACTGGATCCATCTGGATAATTTAGGATAATCTTCCTATCTCAAGGTCCTTAGCCTTAATCCTATCTACAAAAGTCCCTTTTGCCACATAAGATAGCATATTCACAATTTCCATGTATTAGGATGTGGACATCTTGGGAGATGGGGGAGGAACCACTATTCTACTCTCTACATATAGTTTAGTCACCCTCTTATGAATGTGCATATAGGCTGTTTACAATATTTTGCAATTAAAAAACAATGCTGCATAAATAACTTTGTGCATATGTGTTTTCATAATGGTGGAAATGTATCTTCAGGTTGGATTCCTAGAAATGGGATGCTGGGTCAAAAGGTAAGTGTATATGTAATCTTGCCAAATCCCCTGTAGAAGGGTTGTACCAGTTTGCCTTCCCTTCAACAATGTATGAGAGTGTCTGTTTCCCACAACCTTGCCAACTGAATTCGTTGTCATCCTTTATAGTCTGTCAGACTGAAAGGTGAAATAATATTTCTATGTTGTTTTAAAATGTGCATTTCTCGGCTAGGTGCTGTGGCTCATCCCTGTAATCCCAGCGCTTCGAGAGGCCGAGGCAGGAGGATTGATTGATCCTAGGAGTATGAAACCAGCCTGGCCAACATGGTGAGACCTCGTCTCTACAAACAATACAGAAATTAGCTGGGTGTGGTGGCATGTACCTGCAGACCCGGCTACTCAGGAGGCTGAGGTGGGAAGATCCTTTGAACCCGGGAGGTGGAGGTTACAGTGAGCTGAGGTTGCGCCACTGTACTCCAGCCTGGGCGACAGAGCGAGACTCAAAAAAAAAAAAAAAAAAAAATTGGGGGGCCAGGTGCGGTTGCTCACGCCTGTAATCCCAGTACTTTGGGAGGCCGAGGTGGGCGGATCACGAGGTCAAGAGATTGAGACCAGCCTGGCCAACATGGTGAAACCCTGTCTCTACTAAAAATACAAAAATTATCTGGGCGTGGTGGTACGGGCTTGTAGTCCCAGCTACTCCAGAGGCTGAGGCAGGAGAATGGCTTGAATCCAGGAGGCAGAAGTTGCAGTGAGCAGAGATGGCACCACTACGCTCTAGCCTGGCGACAGAGCGAGACTCTGTCTCAAAAAACAAACACATAAACAAAAAAATTGCATTTGTCTGATTATAAGTGAATTTGAACATTGTTTTCATATGTTCAGAAACATTTTTACCTATTACCTCTTCACGTCTTTCTTTTCTTCAGTTTTCCTATTGGGTCTTAGTCACTTGTCCCTTAATTTTTTTTTTTTTTTTTTTGAGACGGGGTCTCGCACTGTAGCCTCAGCTGGAGTGCAATGGCGTGATCTCGGCTCACTGCAACCTCTGCCTCCCGGGTTCAAGCAATTCTCCTGCCTCAGCCTCCCGAGTAGCTGGGATTACAGGCGCCCACCACCATGCCCGGCTAATTTTTTGTATTTTTAGTAGAGATGGGGTTTCGGCATGTTGGACAGGCTGGTCTCGAACTCCTGACCTGGTGATCTGCCTGCTTCAGCCTCCCAAAATGATGGGGTTAGAGGCGTGAGCCACCGTGCCCGACCTTAATAGTTTCCTACATGTTGTAAATATTTTCTCTCAATTGATTCATTGGTTGTCTTTTAACTTTAATTTTTTTATTTTTTTGTCACGCAATTATTAAAAAACTTTCTTTTGTACAATCAAATTTATCAATCTATTTTTAAAAAATTGCCTCTGGCTTTTCAGTAACCATCATAGAAAGTTTTTCCCTGCATTAAGGTTAGAGAATTCATCCATGTTTCCGACTAGGTATGCTTTTTTTTCACATTTTAGATCCCTAATCCATTTGGAGTTTACTCTTGTGTAAGGTATGAGATACACATCTAATATTATCTTTTTCCACATGGTTACTCAGTTGTCCTTATATCATTTATTTCAAGTACCAATTCTTGAGGAAACCATTCCTGATTACTCTAATAGGACTTAGTCTCTCCCACTTCTGATTATCTAAACTTTTTATTTATACTACTGTTTTCCCCTACCTTGACCTATAATTAATTCTGTTCCTATTTTATATTCCCTATGAATCTTAACTCCTGAAGGCAAACAGAAAACAAACACATTGAGCTCATCTTCATATTTCTGTAATGCTTAGCATACAGTGGGCTACTTAATACGTATTTGCAGAATGCTGATAATGATTAATGTGAATTATTAAGAAAAGTTGAATTCACTCAAGAAAGTACGGAAATAACACATAGGAGGGAAAACCCCCTCAAAATTATTAAAACCAAACTAAATCTGGTGGTTAAGGAAGAAAAGTTTAGTATCTGGAAAATTCACTTCTGTAGAACACTTCAGTTCCTGTTAATGAGGCGTATACTGATTTTTTTTAAATTTTATTGTAAATTGAATGTCATACATACTCTATATAGTATGTTGATTTTCTTATGACTAACAGAGACTGTGCTAATCTCATTCAAGTTCACAAAGTATGAATATTGAGGATGATGGCTTTAAGGAATATAATAATGAGAAATGATGGGTCAAAATGAAGACCTCAAAGTGAGGTCTATTAGCCTATTGGACAGTCTCTCAGAGGTTATCATGGAAGGCCTGAAAAAGCATTAGATAATATAATGTGAAATACTATTTTTTTTCATTGTCAGGGGAGACGGACTAGATGAATTTAATTGAAGTTTTCCATCTCTCATTTCTAGGACTCTAAGAATAACAGCATCAGAGATGGAGGGGGGCTTTTGAGCCTATTAGTTATTGAAAAAGATAAAATTCTTACTGCCTCTGTTGAAACAAAATGTACCAAAAATCCACATTATGGATGGTCATGAGCAAAAGGTATAATGTGAAACAATGTAATTACTCTTTACTAACGTCTATCAGGATGGATTTGTTTTTTCCTAAGGATAAAATGAAGGGGGAAAGAAGTGGGGAAATACATTACTGAAAAGATTGTATTAGACTTATTTTATTACTTCTAGAGGCTATTTCCTAACTATACTGTTTGTAATACTGCAAACAGTTTTTCCATTGTAAATTTGGCACCAAAATATTAACAAATTGGTCCTTACTATATATAATATATATGTTGGTCCTTTTTTTTTTTTAGATGAAGTCTCGCTCTGTCGCCCAGGCTGGAGTGCAGTGGCGTTATCTCAGCTCACTGCAACCTCCACCTCCCAGGTTCAAGTGATCCTCCCGAGTAGCTGGGACTACAGGTGCCTGCCACCACACCTGGCTAATTTTTTGTATTTTTAGTAGAGACGGGCTTTCAACATGTTGGCTAGGCTGGTCTCGAACTTCTGACCTCAAGTGATCTGCCCACCTTGGCCTCCCAAAGTGCTGGGATTACAGGCGTGAGCCAACACACCCAGCCTATAGTATCTTTTTATCTGCAAACTTCCAAAGATCTTAAAATATTTGTGTAATATTTCATTACTACAGAAAAGAAATCATAGGTGTTAGAGGAAGTCAAACAATTTGCTCTTGATCATACAAGTGAGATGCTAGTTGAAGAACGGTAAAAAATACAGTTCTCTTATCATTCCTTTGCCTATTCTAGGTACAAATCCTTCAAAGTTAATAATATGAAATCTTTGTTCTGGTACTCTCACAGAGTTAAAAAGACAGGGTGACGCGGGCCCTAAATCTTATGATCAGAAAAGCTCAGGGCCTTTTTAAACTGTAACCACCTTATTTTAATGAAAAAGTTTCCGAGTAACAGTCTCACTGACTGCATAACATATAAGCCCAGGTAGCTAGGACAGATCATCAGGTTTTCACCTTCACTTCTGTTGACTGTATTGTCTTTTCTCCCCATTTACCTTTAATTTATTTATTATTAGTATTAGTATTTTTTAGAGATGGGGTCTCACTACGTTGCCCAAGCTGGAGTTCAGTGGCTATTCACAGAACAATCATCCGCACTACGGCCTGAAACTCCTGGGCTCAAGTGAACCTCTTGCCTCAGGCTCCCAAATAGCTTGGAACTACTGGCATGTACCACCAGGCCCAGCCCCATGGAACTTTTAAAGAGTTGACAGGCAGAACACATTCTTACACATTCAATTATACCTTAAATGAGAAGCAAACTAAGATACTCCCCATGAGTTTCTCTATCATTATTCTCACAGGACTTCCACAGAAATTCTTCCTACTCACTAAATTCCACCCTTCTTAATTCTATTTCACTTAATAGATTTATTGTAGACCCTTTATAAAAACCAGTACACAATGTTGATTAATTAAAAACTACCAACTAATGATGAAGAAACTATGGCATAAGAGGTCAATGTCTTTGCAACGTGCATACTTTGGGTAATCAAGAATATCACCCATATATTAAATCAGTTTTCATAAACAGATTAGGAAAAATAAAAGGTCAGTGCTGAAGTTATGAGATGAATAAGATATAGTTCTTGTCTTCTAGAAGAGTGGTTTCTAAATTATTTTGACTATTGGCTGGGTGGGGTGGCTCACGCCTGTAATTCCAGCACCTTGGGAGGCCAAGGTAGGTGGATCACCTGAGGGCAGGAGTTCAAGACCAGCCTGGCCAACATGGCAAAACTCCGTCTCTACTAAAAATAGAAAAATTAGCCAGGCGTGGTGGCATGTGCTTGTAATCCCACCTACTCGGGAAGCTGAGGCAGGAGAATCACTTGAACATGGGAGGCAGAGGTTGCAGTGAGCTGAGATTACACCACTGCATTCCAACCTGAGTGACTGAGACACCGTCTCAAAATAATTAATTAATTAATTAATTTTGACTATGAAATGAATAAAATATTGTTGAGTGTGCCTTCCTAATAAAATATACTTATAAAATATGATTTTCTGATATATGACTGTAAAATATTCAATAACATAAAACTTTTAAAGAGCAAAAATTTTTTTAAAATATCAAACATTTAATATTTTCTTTCTGCACCCCAAATGAATTGTCTGTGTATCCTCTGAAGTATACACAACCTATTCTGGAGATCACCAACTAGAATATCACAGACTAGGGAAGGCAACCCTACAATATAATAGTGTCGGTGCTATAATGGATAATGTACACTCCCGTGGAAGGACAGAGACGGCCAAGGTTAATGCTGCCTAGAAGAGGTAACGAAACACTGGAATTGAGTCTTAATGGATGAGAATACTTTTAGCAAGGATGGAAGGTAGACTTCCTGGGCAGAAATGTGTAAGGAGACCTGAGAAAACTTGTTTGGGGAACTCTCAGATTTGTTAAAGATGGAACTCAGGACTGAAGAGAGTTGGGGGTGAAAATGAGGATACTGAGCATTAGGAAATGAGTCTGGAAAGGCAGTACAAAATTAGACAATGAAAGCTCTCAGTGCCAATTTAACTTTGGTTTTATCATCCTGTAACACAAGTTCAACTCAAAAGCCTTCAGCGGGCGACTGACAGTTTTTGAAGTAAAAGGTAGTTCTGTCTGAAGACATTCAAATGAAGGGAAAGAAGAGGGGAAAGGAAGAGAGAGGAGGAAGAAACCACTGAGCAGGCCAAATAAAATGTATGAAACTAGTCTTGTTCATGGGCATGGAATCGTAGAGAGCTAAAAGACATTAAGCAAGGGAGGCCCAAGTAATGATGGAGTTTAGATTTTAGAGACCACTCTGGCAGCAGAGCGAAGGCTAAAGTTGATGAGGAGGAATTGGAGGCCGGGAGTGAGTTAAGAATCTCTACTGCACTAGACAGGACCTGCAGCATAATTAGAGGGGCTCAGTGCAAAATGAAAAGCTGGGAGTAGTACTGTTCAAAAAGCAGGAAGACAATGTCATTAAACGTACTATTATAAATTAGGAAACTTTTCCCTTTCTTCAGTAGTTTTTGTCTCCACTTGCCATGCTGCCTTTTATTTACTATTTAATGTCACACTTCCTCCAGTACCAGGAAAAATTACAGGTAAGTATAAACCTTCAGAGGTGCCAGGGGCCCCAGACTATGACTCAGCAGTGGGCGTCCACTGGCTACCAGGTTCCACCATGCCAGCCACCAAACCTGCGTGTCATGCCATGCTGGGAGGCTGATGCTTCTTCCCTTCCTGTGGCTGCCCCTACAACTCACTAGGTACCTGGCTTGGAGATAGGCAAGAGGCTTGTCCCTTCACTCCCCTGCCCCTCCCCCGCCCACCCAAACACAGTTGTGGTTTCTATCTACCTGTAAGACATCCCTGGAGATGACAGGCAGGGGCAAGGACTACCCTTACCAAGCCCTGCTCCAAGACACCATGGGTTGTGCTGTCTAATCCCTATCTTTCTCACACTTGTGCAAAGGCCCCTGCCAGGGTCAGAGAGTGACAGCTGTGGCTGGGTGAAGAGAGAGGGAGGCTGAATGAGATCAGGGAGTGGGGAAGTGGGCAACAGATAATTCATTCCAGGGAGGCAGCAGGAGGTGGTACCATGCCCAAGGTCCCCACGAATTCTCCATTGTCCCATTAAACTTCACTTAGAAAATACAAATCCAAAGATCAATCACTAAGAACTTTGAGATGGCAACAATACAGCATTGAACTTCATGCATTGAGCCTTTGTAAGTGTAGGCCCTGTGTACTGCACTGGTCTCATGCTCATGAAGCTGACCCTGGTACTAGTTCAGGGAAGGAACCACAAGTACTGATAAGCGAAGTCAGTAAATGGCAGTGGGGCTGGAAAAGGGGATGAATGAATTTGAAGAGAGGTAGACAAGATCTGGTGACAGAATTTGAGAGAAGGGGAAGAGTATATTATGACTCTTAGGGTTTTGGCCCTGGGAACTGAAGAAATGTGCAGCACTACAAAGAGAAATTCAAGGGAAAATTTTTTAAGAAAAACATAAAGTGAATACAGTTTGGGGGAAGCTGAGTTTAAATTACTATGAGACATCAGAACCAAGCCATAGTACAATACAGAGGACTGAATGAAAGAATGTTTGCCAAAACAGCATCCTTTTCTATTTCCTGATTTGTTGATATTAATTGCATTGATATACAAATATAATAAAAACACTCCTCTAATATGAAATCTCAGCATTATCCCACTAAACAAACCCACATATAGGACATCTTACAAGAATGGAGAGGCAGAGGTGGACTGTATTAAAAATACAAAAGGTCAAACAATTTAACAGGTATGAATTTATAGAAGAAACTATAACATATGCTATGCAAACATGAACAAGATATAAAAATTTGTTGATAATTTGCAAAAATTAAAAAATATTCCACATATAGGACACTACTGTAAATTAGCTTTTTTCTCTTTAAACTAAATATTATGCTTCTATTTCTACATCCTTGAGTAAAAGTAGTTAGTACTATCTCCCTTATAGTAGGCCAAATTATGGTAGTTTGTATAAAAATGCAAATATGCAAAGTATCAGAAACGATTAACTAAAAAAAACTGTAGAAAATAAGCAGCCAATATGTAATATATTACATATCTAAAATATATCTAAAACATTATTTCAATTTATAATCAATATTAAAGTATTAATATTTTCAAATTTTTTATCCTAAGTCTCCTAAGCCTGGTGTTTTACTTTTTAAAAAGTTTTACTGAGATACAATTCATATACCATAAATTCACCCTTTTAAAGTGTGCAACTCTGCTGGGCATGGTGACTCATGCCTGTAATCCCAGCACTTTAGAAGACCAAAGCAGGATGACTGCTTGAGCCCAGGAGTTTGAGACAAGCCTGGGCAACATAAGCAAGATCCCATCTCTCCAAAAGTTAAAAAAAAAAAAAAAATTAGCCAGGTACAGTGCCATGCGCTTGTGGTTCCAGCTTCACAGCTGAGGTGGGAGGTTCGTTTGAGCCTGGGTTGTTGAGGCTGCAGTGAGCCAAGATTGTGCCATTGCAGTCCAGCATGGGTGACACAGCGAGACCCTATCTAAAAAAAAAAAAGTAAGTAAAAAATAAAAGATGCAACTCAGTGATTTTTATATATCCCCAAAGCTGTGCAACCATCACCACAGTCTAATTCCTGAACATTTTCATTATGTAAAAAGAAACCCCATGCCCATTAGCAGTCACTTCCCATTTCTCCCTCACCCAACTCATGAGAAACACTAATCTCTTTTTTGGTCTGTATAGATTTGCCTATTCTGAACATCTCATATAAATGGAATCATACAACATGTGGCCTTTGGTACGGCTTCTTTCACTTAGCATAATATTTTCAAAGTTCATTCATGTTGTGGCATGTGTCAGTATCTCATTCCTTTTTCATGGCTAAATAATAAGCCATTGTATGGATAAATCATAGTTTGCATATCTATTCTTCAGTTGATAGACATTTGGGTTATGACTACTTTGTGGCTGTCATAAATAATGCTGCTATAAACATCTGTGTACATTTTATGTGGACATATATTTTCAATTTTCTTGTGTATATTCCTAAAAGTAGAATTGCTAGGTCATATAGAAACTCTACATTTAATGTTTTGAGGAGCTGTCAAAAGTGGCCACACCATTTTACATTCCAATTTCTCCACATTCTCACCAATACTTATTATTGTCTCTCTTTTTGATTGTGGTCATCCTAGTGGGCATCAAGTGGTATTTCATTGTGGTTTTGATTTTTTTCTTAATGAATAATGATATTGAGCATCTTTTCATGTGTGTATTGGCCATTTGTATATTTTCTTTGGAGAAACATCTATTCAAATTCTTCTAGAGCCTTTTTTTTTTTTTTACCAGCCACTCAACAATCTGACAAAAAATTTTGTATTGATATTATAATCAAATAATACTGTTGGAATGAAGTTTCTTTAAATTGAAATTAGTAGATGTTTAATATAAAAGAAACAAAGCATTTTAAAAATCCAGTGGAATGCTACTGGCATTGGTTATGAAATTAAAGGGCCTTATGGTAGAAAGGCACACCAAGGGTATTATTGTTTACCAGCAATTCTCATACCTTGCTGAGTATAAGTACAGCTGAGAAGACCAAAATATATATATATATTTTTTTGCATAGCTAACTCTAGCTTAATCATGAAGGTGGCAAATTTTCTTTTCTACATCTCTGGCTTCAGAACTTCTGTAAAAGAGGTTATACTTAGTAGCTAATTACATGCTCCCTTAAGTGGGCATTAGGCCTTCAAAGTGTTTATCTCTCATTGTGAAATGAGAGGTCTTGTGTTTCCCCTTGCCCATTAAAACTGAGGAGAAATATCTTTGCTTTGAGAGGAAAAGGGTTTATGGTACATCATCTATAAGAATGAGCTGTGAGTGTATCTCATCCTCTCTCTCAAACAGCCCTCTTCTCCTGGTTAGGGTAAGTTGGAATCTCCAGTAGTTAGTGCTGCTGCAAGCCCATTTCTAGGAATTACCACAGATTGAGGAGGGCTTCCCTCATTCTTTAATTCTTTCAAGTTTAGAGTCTTGGTAGTATTTCCTAACCAAGCCTGCTCCCTTTTCCTCCAGGTATTTGCCAGTTCTCACCCTGTTCCCTTAAGGAGTTGTATCTAACCTTATTCTTTTTTTTTCTCTGCTCTGAGACCTTTGGTTCTAAATTATATATTTTCTAAGATATTTATCATTAGAAGATTTTAAAATTATGCCCTTTCTGATTACAAAATGACTTAAAGATATAGTTAATATCTACAGGCTATAGTTTTCTGACATACCCATGATTGCTATATGATTTCTACCTTTGGTAATAACATTTTCATAGACATATGAATATACTCATATCTATACATTCATACACATATGAATAAATAAATATATATATATATATATATACTGTTCATTAAAAGAGGTCTCACTGGAGGGCGATCCTATTATGGATTTTAACTCCATGCAGATGGTTAGTGAAAAGAGGGAAGAAACACGGATAGAGAGTCTTTAAGCATCATGGGAAATAAGTTTTAAGTATCCTCTTGGAATACAGTAATGCTGAGAATATGAAAGTTGGAACTGTATTGTAGCTTGGATGCTATGAATTGAATTTCAATATTTCACCCTGAAATCTGAGATTCTTAGGCTGGTCAAAGGTAAAGCAAGTATTTTGTAAATTTACATTGGTCATCTGAACTGATTGTGGCAAACACAGAAGGGCAACTAACAGGCAACTCAGCAATTAGTATGTGAGTAACAAAGGCCACTGAGAAAATACTGCTTCTTAGTTTCTTATGTCAGACTTGAAGGTAGGAAAGAAAGCACTCATATTCACAGGTAACACACTGACTAAAATGAGTTCCTAATATTTTATCAATCATTTAGACAAATGGCTTACAACCCTAGCTGCATATTAGAATCATCTGGGACCTTTAAAAAAATACAGAAGACTGGGCTCTAGTCTAGAGATTTTGATTTAACTGGTCTGAGGTGGAGTCTAAGCATCAGTATATTTTTTGAAGTTCCTTAGGTGATTTTCATGTATGGCCAGAGTTGAAAACCCCTAGTTTGGACAATGGACACTTACTAGTCTTTATTAAATAGTGGACGTGAAGCTTTCTATCTCTTTGTTTAACTTGGAAAAACACTTACATAGGATCTTATAGAGGATTCAAAACAGAAACCAATAGCAACTGAGTCTGATAATCTCGATACTTAAGACACATTTCTTTTTACACAGGACTTTAACTTAGCCTATATCTTATTTCCCAGGGCTTTAGATTCTTCTAAAAACTATGTAAAGATTTGTTTTTTTGACAATGTTTTCTTTCTAGTGTATTTATTTGATTGGGAATGCTTAGGTGTCACAGTGACAAGAGCACAGGGAGAGTTACATAGGAATATTCAGCTACTGCCTTAGTTCAATTATGCTTTCTGGATGTCTTGGCATAATTTTTGGTGCCTGAATTCTTTCAGAGCCAAGCTCAAAGCAAACACAAATGAAGCAGCTGCAACTGTATTGTGTTATACTTACATGAAAGGCCAAGTTAGACCATTGTGTTATGAAAATCAGAACACTAAGCCTAGCACCTGGCCCAGAACACAAGCAGTTCCCTCTTGACCGAAGCCAAATTGATGGTATCATGTAAGTAGAAGTGATTAAACAAATCATAAATATCAATAGTCACTTTATAAATAGAGTATAAAGAAAAAAGCCTGTTCCAAAATATCAGGCACTGTGAAACAAATATACACAATTACAAGACATAATCATTTTCTCTTTCTGAATTAAACTTAAGTATGTACCTGGATAACTTTTCATTATTTATTCAATTGTTCCTCATCATCCCAGTAATTTCATTTAAATGAAAGTCTAGCACGATGTTAAAGAAAAAATGAAAAATGATCTTTAAAAGAGGAGAAAATGTCAAATGACTAAAGTTGTTTTTGAAGAACAGTCAAAACTCAGATGTGCAAAAACATTGTGAATTTATACATATGTATAACACCTAAAAGGTTCCAAGAAATAGCCACAGAAACAAATCATTAAATAATAAAGAATTCTATCTAGTTTCAGTTACCAACATAAGTAGACAAAGTATACACTATATAACTAAAACACCATAGTTCTGAATTTCAAATATTAATTAAAATCTCTCTTTAAGGAAAAAAATCCATCCATTCTGCTCTTATCCCACATGATCTCTTATTAAATGTTTATTAAATGTAATTACATATTTAATATTCCATTTGACTAGGGACATTATCAGTAATACCAAGAGAATATGTGTGAGATAAACTCGTTCGATTCTGGTCTTTGATAATTCATGCATATTTTATCTATTCAACAATTATTTGTTGAATGTTTGCTCTGTGGGAGGTACTGTGTTAGGCACTGGGGTTGTTATAAAGATGATCGGAACAGATTATCTGTTGTCTAATGAGGGACAGAACCTACAAACAAATAATTGCAATTGGAATTACGGTATGTGTGAAGAAATATGGAATGAGAGCGAAAGAAGGAAGAAACTCTCCTATAGATCAGGGGTCCTCAACCCCAGGGCCATGGACCAGTACTGGTCTGTGGCCTGTTAGGAACTGGGCGGCACAGCAGGAGGTGAGCAGCAGGTGAGCGAGTAAAACATCATCTGTGTTTACAGCTGCTCCCCATCGACTTGCAGCCTGAGCTCTGCCTCCTGTCAGATCAGCGGTGGCATTAGATTCTCATAGGAGCACATACCCTATTGTGAACTGCGCATGCGAGGGATCTAGGTTGTGTGTTCCTGATGAGAATCTACTGCGTGAGGATCTGTCACTGTCTACCATCACCCCCAGATGGGACCGTCTAGTTGCAGAAAAACAAACTCAGGGTTCCCAGTGATTCTACATTATGGTGAGTTGCATAATTATTTCATTATATATTACAACCTAATAATAACAGAAATAAAGTGCACAATAAATGTAATGCACTTCAATCATCCCCAAACCATCCCCCACAACCCAACCCTGGTCCGTGGAAAAATTGTCTTCCACAAAACTGGTCCCTGGTGCCAGAAAGGTTGGGGACCACTACTTTTTCTTATGGCTATGATTAGATAAGAGTACAAATACATTTAAATATTGCTGAAAACCAAGACATTGCCTTAACCTACAGGTTCAGTAGCCATATAAATTTCCTCTTCTTCCCACATTTTGAATGTTATTATACATGAATACCCTGCTGTACCAGTTGCCTATTTTAAGTTTTTAAAAGTATAAATTTTTGTGAATGAGGAAGGCATACAAAGGTTTTTTAGGGTTCCCTGCTTTGAGCTCACTGTTACAGTTATTCTTCTTTCTGCCTAACTTGGCATCAACCAGCAGGATATGAGTGATCCTTACCCACTGGCTTCTCCTTGATCTCCTTAAGGCTAAATATTATTCTAGAAAAATCAGTAGTATCAGCTGAAAGGCCAGGGGTGAGTGCTGGGCTGGCCTTCTATTGAATGATAGCCCCTTACCTATCACCCTGAGTTGGAATAGTGACAGCAAGAGGAAAAAAGACTCACTTAGGAGAAGAGTCAAGTAATTTACCCATATTTCACAGTATTCATGCCACTTTGTTCAGTTTTAGAGTCAAAGACAAATATTCTAATAAACACATCTTTAATGCTTCAGCAGCAAGTATAATTTAGTTAAGTTTGATGAACAAACTCAATCACAGTCTTGCCCCCACCTACCTTTCCGGCCTTCTCACCTGCGATTTTTGCCCACATACTTTTCAATTCCTGTCTCACTCAGTTCTTTCTATAATCCCTGGAAGCATCAGTCATCCCATGACTGTGTGTCTTTCCAAAATGCCATTCCCACAGCCTGGAGTACTTTCTTCCCCTGTCAATTATTTTCTTTCAGACTTTGAAACTCTGCTCAAATGCTGCTCCTTGTCAAAGCCTTAACTTACACATTGTGTTGTTAATAACTTGTGTTACCATGCTCACTTATCTCTTTATGAATCTGGTCATTTTTCTATCTCTTGCTACTAGGCTATATATAGGGTCTCAGAATGGAAAACTTTTTTATACCACGCACAGTATGCCAAGAAGGTATCAATTGATGAATCACCAATACTTTGCCCAAAGTAAGCATTCAATAAGTGTGTCATTGTAAATAATTTCATTTAGGACTTGTTAAAATCTATTTTATCTGCTCTCAGTTAGTCTGAAAATGGAGCTCGGAAGAATAAGGTCCTTTGTGAGAGTCCACTACTATAATTTTGGGGTCCAATTGATGAGTGGTAAACCTACTGCTCACCATAGCAATGACATCTGAATCCTGGAACCACTGGTACTTGTGGTAAAATATTGGTTCTGTCTCTCCACAAAGTTAACATAGAAACGATCTGAGATATTGTATAAACAACTCTAAGTTAAATATCTCAAAGTCTGACTCCTTTTTGTACTGCTATCCTAAATTCAGATATTGCATAAACAACTCTAAGTTAAATATCTCAAAGTCTGACTCCTTTTTGTACTGCTTTCCCAAATTCAAAGAGTCCACTGTGATATTAATTATAAATGTATTGTGTGTTGACCTGAAAATTAGACATTCTTCTAATCAGCAATATATTTAAGTGATGTAAATCACACTACTATTGGTATTACATGAAAATTTAAGAAAATACAATGAATTTCTACAGATATCCAAGTACTCATTTAGCCAGCATATTTTGATTTCTCTTGAAAAAATAAATTATTTATCTAGCATGACCAAGGAATGAGGTACTTCACAAACCACTTTTCTGGATAACAAGTTTTATAAACATCACATATCTTCAACATTTTAAATGTTCTCAATGGATGCATGTCACAAACATAGTTCCACTTTTTAAAAAAATAGTGAAATAAATATAATCTCACTTTTTCTTGATGATTCAGGATCATTATTATCAATGTCAATTTCTGCACTATAGACCATCCTGGAACACAATAATATCCTTAAGGTCTAATTAATCCTCCCACCTCAGCCTCCCAAAAATGCTAGGATTACAGGTGTGAACCACTAGGCCCAGCCTCTTTTGTATTTAATGCTGATTCTCAATACTGCCTGGTCAATTTAAGGAGTTAGTTTCTTTCAAGGTTTTTCTTAAGCACTTCCATGGTCATCCAAAAGATAGCTTAAGCAAAGTGCAGACCAAGTCTTAGGATTAGAATTCACAATTGTCTAATTCTCTGTGAATTTAGTCTGCAACTTTCTGAGTCTCGTCACTCTCTGCTTATGTTCCAGCTCTGAAAAATAAAAAAAACCACATCCCGTTCCTAAAAAAAAAACCTGCCACCAGATTCTTTACAGAATTGTGATAGGTTTTTGCTAGCAACTTGATAAAAAGATGTCTGCAAGGATTTGAACTCTACAGTTGAGAGGAATTTGAACTTAATGTAGTTACATATTTTGTTAAGTACCCTGTGAGTAAAAATAATATTCCCTAAAACCTAATAAATATTATACTGAAAGTAGTGGACGGCTGGGCATGGTGGCTTAAGCCTGTAATCCCAACACTTTGGGAGGCTGAGGCAGGGGGATCACTTGAGGTTAGGAGTTTGAGACCAGCCTGGCCAATGTGGTAAAACCCCGCCTCTACTAAAAATACAAAAATTAGCCAGGCATGATGGTATGCGCCTGTAATTCCAGCTACTCCGGAGGCTGAGGCAGGAGAATCGCCTAAACTCGGGAGGGGGAGGTTGCAGTGAGTGTTATCGCGCCACTGCACTCCAGCCTGGATGACAGAGTGAGACTCAGTCTCAAAAAAAGAAAGTAGTTGACAATTAACCACAGTTAATTTACACAAGTTGATGAGTCTATCCTTTAATCACAGAATTATAAAGAAATTCTTGAAGAGAAGAATGTTTGGATTCCTTAGTAGCTGCCCCTAACTCTAAGAAGAAAGGAGAAAAGGAAAAGTAAAATATTCTTATAAAGAAGATAAACACTTACTGGTACTTTGAAGGGTGAGGTATTTGCAGTGTCCATGGAGTTGGGTTTCTCTGATGTACTGGTCCCTGAGATACTCCGTCTACGAGGGGACCTTTCTGCTGGTACCTCTGGAAAAAAGGAGGAAAGTTGAAACATCATTAAGAACCCCAAATTTAGGATCTTCCACTGAACTGTAAAGTTACTGGTTTTTCACAATAAACCAGCATGCTTTAAAGGTATATTACATTCTATCTCACATAATTTATCTATCTTTGAGGTGCTTAAACTATCAAGACACTAGAGAGACTTGGTCACAGTTAAGAATCTGCTTTAGTGTGACAGTTTATATTTTCATCTGTGCACATATAAAAATAATTTCCTCTGAGCTATGTTTAATATCTTTAAGTTCACTTAATAGTTGCATCTCACAGTATATAAATCTACTTCTCTACATGTCAGCAATGTAGGAGTTAATAGAATAAAATGGAATTTCTAATATTCTTCTGAACAAAATATAGTCTAATGTTGCATATGATTTGATGGTGTTTGCACAAAGGTCAAAGTTAGTTCTGTGCAGATAAGATGATTCACCAGACTGCAACAAAAGGGCCATGAGAAGACTGAAAGCTGCTGCCAAGATAAAATAACATATATGCCTATGCAGATATAAAAATAGATCAGCTTCTCCTTGTTCTGGCAATATGACCTTACTAAGATCTTACTCTGGAATCCTAAATCTGTTCAAACTAACCTAACAAGCTTAGGATTTTGCAGATAATGTGATCTTCTCCCATTTAATTACTATATACTGTATTAAGGCTACATTTTTAAGATTTTTTCATAGAGTGATATATATATACATGTGTATATATATATGCATACACACGCACACACAGATGATAGATATATACGTATTATACCTTTATCACAACTGCTTCCCATCGCCACTTCAACTGACAGACATAAAGGAATCCAGCTTCTCAGATAACATTAGATAATCTCAACATGGACAAGGAAAAAAAAGCCACATCCTAAAAAAAGTATTCTGTGTTATCTTCCAGATCTTAGAAAACAAGGAGTAAATCGTAACTCCGGAGACTGACATTTTGATTCCTGCTGTTCTCCCTTTAAAAGACAGATGCAGTTTAAACTTCCATTTCTGGCCTCCTGGCCCCTGGGATCCGTGCTACTTCCACTTAAGAGAGAGCGTTTTTTCTCTCGCTCCCTCTCTGTGTCTTGCTCTTCCCCCTCCCTCTCCACAGCTTGCAGAGAGCAAGCAAGAAAGAAATACACAGGACTGCAGCTATTCAATCAATCGTTCTGACTGCACATCCTCATTAGTTACTTTCAGGCTATTAACAGATGCCCAACCACTGCCTTCCCTCAGTTACTGAAAATTTCACTGTCTTACACTAATCTGCAGCAAGAAAAAACATTTACTGAAATGTATATCCACCTAGTGCCAAAAGGACACCATTTTACACAGATCCAGTAATGCACACAAATCAATTCCTCCTATGAAAATCCAACTGGAAGTGCTTACCCTTTTACTATCTTTGCATGCTGGACACTGATTTTCTTTTCCATGACTAAACATATCTTCTCTGTGACATCTTGACTGGTAAGGCACAAGCCAAATTGGAACATTCCTAAAGACTGAGAGGCTGACAACATAGCATCTTGTATGCTTGCAGTACAAGAGAGTTCCATACTACTACTGTATTTTAAAATTATGACCAGTAACTGTAAGTCCCTTAACTTCTCTCTAACCATCACTAGTCAAATGAGCCTTAATGTGCAAAGCTGTTCTCAGAATTAGGCACACATGACTTCTAATGCACATCGCTGAAAAATGGCAGCATAATTAGCTCAGATTCATGGGAATGGCACAAAGCACTGAATTTAAGTAAATCAGCTTGTTGGAGCACATTGAACAGAAAGACTTCCAGACTTCAGGAATATGACTTTACAGAGTAATTATCCAAGTTAGATGACTCTATGTGGCTAGGGGCAAGGCAGGCAGGGAATGGGGCTGGTGAAGGTAGAAAAAAAATCTCACCTTTCCTCTAATAATTACCTATAAAGGTAACCTCATATCAAATTAGAAGACACTGGAGATTTAATATTACAATATAGTATGTTTTAATTTCTGAATAATTGACAGAGAAACTAAATTGGGGGAAAAATAAATTTCATTAGCTGGGATAAAATGATCTAGTAAACCATTTCCTTAATTTGCAATGTTCTGGCTAAGGAAAAAAAACTGAAATTAATTTCCTCACTTTCTTCCATACATCCAATTTTAGTTTTCAGGCATACAAACTCATTAAATGAATATGTTTCAATGCTTTTAACTATTTGAAACTATATTGACTAAAATTAGTGGCCACATTTCAAACTCCAATAAATATGGTATTGTTATACTTCTGTTTTCTTTTCTCTTTTTTCCAACAATGATAGACTGGATTAAGAAAATGTGGCACATATACACCATGGGATACTATGCAGCCATAAAAAATGATGAGTTCATGTCCTTTGTAGGGACACGGATGAAACTGGAAACCATCATTCTCAGCAAACTATCGCAAGGACAAAAAACCAAACACTGCATGTTCTCACTCATAGGTGGGAACTGAACAATGAGAACACATGGACACAGGAAGGGGAACATCACACTCCGGGGACTGTTGTGGGGTAGGGGGAGGGGGGAAGGATAACATTAGGAGATATACCTAATGCTAAATGATGAATTAATGGGTGCAGCACACCAACATGGCACATGTATACATATGTAACAAACCTGCACATGGTGCACATGTACCCTAAAACTTAAAGTATAATAATAATAAAATTAAAAAAAAAATTCTCTTTCTGTATTATGGGAAAAAATACAATGCTGATGTAGCTTATATGATGTATTATCGGGTCCAGAAAGAAGATATTAAATCATTCCTGAAGTTTGAACAATTTCCACTAAAAAGGGGAAAGAAGGGGAAGAAATAAGGTAAAGCTAAATCACCTAATGAAAAGAAGTTTACACTTTGTTGCTTTCTCAACCCCCACAATAATACCACTCACCTGCTAGTGTAGAATAGGCCTTTGGAGAATCCCAGTTCTTTAGTTCTCAGAAGATTCATAACTACTTCAAAGCATACAGAAAAATAAATACCCCAAGTACCAATGTCCACTTAGAAGCAAGGTAGCAGCATTAGCAAGAGCGGAATGAGCAACCTGCTGGATTAGTCACAGAACGAACAGCATATTAAACTTGTGCCTTTAACTTTAAATCTGTAAGCAGAAAGGAAAGCTGCTACTATGCTCTAAGAGCTACATTTCTGCTCAGTTTGAAGGAAAATCTACACTAGTTCCAGTAGACCAAAATTAGACAGCTGTATCCTCTACCCCCACTCATGCTACATACTATTGCATTATTTTCACCTGCTGTAAAATTAATGTTCTTTTCATAGTTACAATATTTAATTACAGTCATTTTAAAATATGCTCATTCTCTGAGACTGATGAGACAAGAGAGATACAGTATTGTTTCAGATAAAGGCCTGAAACTGCCTCACTTTCTCATCTCTAAACATAATATTTTTCATCTTCAGATTGAAAGGCAAAAAGAGTTATAAAAAGCCTGGTTAAGTTTTAAATGTATCTCTTCATTTCCTTTGCCATTGGATATGACCTCAGATGATGTGATGACTTAAAATGATGAGAGATAACCTCCAATACAGCTCCATATAGAATGATGTATTGAACAAAGAGAACATCTGGATGTTTTTCTTAGCAGCTCTACCAATGATATGTACGATTCTGTGTAAGCCATTTCACCTTTTCTGTCCTGGTCTTCGCCATTTAATAAACTGGGTTATCCAGACCAAACAGAGATAAAGACAAGATTAATGAGTTTATATGCTTTGAGGCAAAATTAGCTTTCTGGAAGGAAGAATCTTTTAAAATCCAAAATAGAGTACTATCATTTCCTCAACATACACATATTCCTCTATGTCAACGCACTTTCTTTGGAAAGTGTGGCAAAGAAATTGAAAATTGGATAATTATAGGGGCAAATATACTTTTGGTGGAGGATGTTCCTGTTCAACAAACAGAAGTCAATTTCTGCCTTAGAACCTAATAGTGTATACACTGCCTTTGGTTCACTTACCAGGGAGTAAATGCCAAAAATTCCTATCATGTATTTGAGAGGACCCTAAGGAGTAAGTTAGAAGGTGACAAGTGTTTTAGGGGAAATAAAAAGTAGTCAGGGAGATGAATAGGTACAGTAATTTTCAATAGGTAGTTGCACTGCAAAGGTGAGGTGTGAGTCAATACTTTAGGAGGTAAGGAAGTCAGCCTTGCAGGTTTAACAGGGAAGAAGACTACAGGTAGAGGGAAGCTAGTACAAAGCTTCTAAGGTAAACCGCAACAAAGAGGCCAGTGGGATTGGTGCCAGTGAGTGGGAACAAATAGTAGGAGGTAAAGTCTGAGAGGAACTGGGGCAGACATGTTCAGATAATACTGGCCAATATAAGGACAGTGACAGAAGAAAATGTATATGCTAAGGAAATGACACTACAATACTACTATATTTTAAAGAACCCCTTTCTTCCAAAAAGCTAATTTTGCACCAAAACATATAAACTCATTAATCTTCTCTTGTAAGGACTTTTTTTTTTTAACTCTAAAATGAAAAACCACCTGGTCAGACATGCGTCACCAAAAGGTACAAATCGTATTGAAAGTCCATAGATATACACTTACTGGTATTTCTTAATGCTTTTCTTTTTCTTTCTTTTTTTTAAGACAGTCGCCCAGGCTGGAGTGCAGTGGTATGATCTGGGCTCACTACAAACTCCACCTCCGGGGTTCAAGTGATCCTCCCACCTCAGCCTCCTGAGTAGCTGGGACTATAAGTGTGTGCCACCATGCCTGTTTCTAGAAAGGGTATTTCACCATCTTACCCAGGCTAGTCTCTAACTCCTGGGCTCAAATGATCCACTCGCCTTGGCCTCCCAAAGTGCTAGGGTTACAGGCTTGAGCCAACTCCACCAGGTCAATTTTCTTTTCAGGATTTTGAATAATGAATGTGATACAGAATAAATCTGGAATGTTATTATGTTTGGAAAGAGAGTAAAGTGAAATGTCTATCATATTAACTGAGGGTTAGGTTCCAAAAGACTCCGAAAATATCTTAAATGAGAAAGGTATCTGCTACACAATGTCATTACTATACGGTCAAATATCTATAGGCATCAATTACATTTACTTTTTGTTCAATCTCGTTTAACCGAAGGTCATATGCCATATAATATTTGCATATACTTAACTATTATAAATAACATAAATTTCTTATAATGTCTATCATTTTTAGAATTAGTTACCATAGCGTAAAAAACAAGTAAAGATAATAATTTAAATTTTTTTTCTTTTAAAAGAGTTACATTATAAAAGCTATTTAAGCACCTCTTTGTGAATAATTTGTCTAGGGAAAATAGTTTTATTATAATTTTAGCTCATATTGAGTTTTTTTTTTGTGTGTGTGTGTGTGTTTTTTTTTTTTTGAGACATGGACTCAGTCTCCCAAGCTGGAGTGCAGTGGCACAATCTCAGCTCCTTGCAGCCTATACCTCCCATGTTCAAACGATCCTCCCACCTCAGCCTCCTGATTAGCTGGGACCACAGGTGCGTGCCACCACACCCAGCGAATTTTAGCTCATGTTGAGAATTTATGTGCTAAGTACTGGGCCTAGTATCTAACTTACTTAATCTTTGCTGTAGCCCCTGAGATAGTAACAATTATTACTCTCTCTGAGGATGGTGGCAAAATTTAAAAGGGAATAAAGTAAGTTCAGAGGAGGAAATTCAGCAGGAAAGGTAAATAAAATGTAGAAAGATATTTATAGCTTTAATTTGGTGAACAATTATATAAGAAACTAAAATATCATAGTAAAATTCTCAAGTTACAATAGAACAGAAAAATATTACATGTCACAGATGCAGTTTCTTTGGCATATACAGGATTCTAAGCACTTCATATTAATGGCAACCTGAACCAATTCTTAGTAATTTTTTGCACAGAATTATAAAACATGAATAAATGTAAATACTCTTTCAATTATAATTATTCACATGCCTCTTTAATAATTTTGATATTTGTAGGTAGGAAACAAGTTTCTAATGTTTTTCTCATAAAGTGAATTCTTCAGTTTACTTCAAAAGCCTTTTTAAAAATCAACATTTCAACAAAACATGATAAAACATTGAATACAAACCAAACTGTTTGTGTACCCATTCAAGTCACTGAAATTTTGGCATATATAGTGTTGCTATGAATGAGTCCACTTCACTATAATCTATTTTCCCTTGCATTTTGTAAATAATGACAACATTAAATAGGATGTGGTATGTTGGTGGCTCTAGTTATTAATGAATGAAATAAGCAAATAACTTCTCTCTCCATGCTGTGAATTCTGAATTAGGAGGGTTCTTCTTCCATAGGATGCACAGAAGACATTTAAGGCACAGAAGACATTTAAGAAACAGAATAGGAAGGATGAAATAGTAGGAGGAAATGGGTTTGTAGCTCTTCAGTAGAGGGGCTTTAATAACAAATGGCAAATTGTGAAACAAAAAAGGCTTTCATGAAAATAAGGTTTCATATTTTTTTGCTGGAGGACTCCTAAAGGTAATAGGAACTTAAAAGACAGAGTTAGAAAAATATTATAAAGAAAAAGTGACAAGAGCAAAGAGAAGAAAAATCACATACTGCATTTATACGGCTGCTAACACTATAGCACCTGGGTGTTTTTATAAACTTCATCCACCATTTTCAGTAGGATACTTTCTGCTGTATCCCACTTTTACTGCCTTAAAGCCTATGCACTGTCAGCCACAAGCATCCAGCTGCTCTGAAATACAAATCCCCAGAGCCACTTTAATTCACCCAATTTGTATCACTCAGACTGCAGTACTTCACTCAAACAAGTAGTCCTTTCAAGTTTGCATGCCCCACACACTCCAATATGTACAAATTGGTGCTAAGTACATAAATGTGGTAAATTCTCATAAAGTAAAGCCATCCAGTCTCCCCACCACTTCCTTGCTTCAGTAAATTTATTATTATTTTTAATATTTAATATTTCTTCTTGTTAACATAATAGAAAAACAATTTTTTTCCCCAGCCAAGGAATCTGAATACCACCCACAAGTATTCCATTTCTTCAACTTAGGGCTTCACATGACAATGTTGGATGAGATGGTAGAGAATACTTTTAGTGCAAACAACACTCTCAACTGAAAAGGCCAAGAAAATAGCTCAGGGATATTTATGTGTTATCTTAAGTTTCAGATAGAAAACACGTATCTAGTTCTTAGTGATGACAAGTGGGTATCTTAATGATGATGATGAAAACATAACAACGACAAGTACAAACATCAAACTGTCATGTTTGGTGCAAAAGTAATTGTGGCTTTTGCAACTTAAAAAATGTGAAACCACAATTACTTTTGCGCCAACCTTGTATTATGCCTTATTATTTGCTACATGTTTTACATAAGTTACATCTTTAATCCTCAAAACAACTCTTTGGAGGTGGAACTATCACCCATGTATTACTCTGCCCATGTTTGCACAGCTGGTAAAAAGGGTGGGGGCAGGATTAGAATCCATGCAGTTTGGCTTTAGAGACAGCTTTAATTGCCATGCATTCTATCCTGTTCTCCATGTGTTTTGTATAATGGGCTGCAATGGAGAAAAAAAATAAGATGAATGATCACAGAGACTCTAGTTTTCTTCATATTTTAAAGAGAATTAAGTCATACTCTTGAGGTGTTTTCTGCACACAAAACCTGTAAAGAACAACTCAATCCTTGAATGCTGATGCTGATAAAAACATTCTAGTCAAGAAACACAGAGAGGTGAGGCAAAACAATAACAAGGGACAAAAGTTTACTAACTTAATGACAAAAGTTAATGGTGAAAAAATGTGAACAAAACAGGAAACAACTTATAAAGAATATCTAATACTGATCCCTTGAACAAAAAAGTGACAAGAGCCCTCCAAAATAAACCATGTCTTTCAATGCCACTAATCTTCAGTATACCTATGTGGGGAGATAAGTACTTAGATAAGTTGTATGAGATGAACAGAGATAAAAAGCATTAATATTTTAGGTTTTGCAAAGAACAATTACTAAACAACAAAGCATTGTTCAGCATAAAATGACTATTTTGAACATGTCAGTCCAATTATTTATAATGTATTAACTTCAGTTTGGTATTTATAAGGTATCAACTTCAGTTTGGTGAGTTTTATTTTGTCATCAACTATCTCTTCTAATCTACAGATAGGGCCTAACACCTTTATTTAAACCTTTTCTGTAACTGATTTAATAATATATACTCATTATTAATATGCTTCATATATAACTTTTTCTGTAACTGATTTAGTAATATATTCTCATTGTTAATATGCTTCATGTACAATTGGGGGTATAATGGTAGATTTATTCATACCATCATTTTGGTAGTCAGTGAACATTAAAAAAAAGATTTAGTCTTGATTATGCCAGAGCCTCTGTTTGGGTTTTATTTCCCAAACAAATATTAATAGAGGACATTAAAAAAAGAAAACATACAAATATGTAAACCTGTAATATAAAGATGAAAATTTAATCATTTACCAAGAACTAAATATGCACATGACACTGTACAAAAACAAAATCATTTACACTCAACATCACCCATTAGTGAAGGTAATAAAAAAGAAAGGAGCCTATGATGTTGATTTGCCCCCCTTTAGCCAACACACACTGCTAAGTATCTCTTCGAAATGGCTGTTGGCTTCATTTTGTCTTATTTCCACTACCATCCACCATCCTAATCTAGGGCTTTTTATCTTCTCATGCAGATTATGGCAGGAAGCACCTAACTGCTCTTACTGACTCCAGTCTCTCCCTGCTTAAAGCTATCCTACTCATCATTACCAGATTAATCTCCCTAAAACATTACTTTCTGGATGAAATTTCCTTCCTAGAGATCTTTAGATAGTCAGACATTAGGAAAAAAATCACCTGGCCCTACTTTGCATATTTAGTCCTTTCTGCCAACAGTTTTCTACAATTTGCCTCAGTCAGATGATCTCTAATCTCAAACTGGCCACATTCATTCTCACATGCCTGCTTTTTTCACCTACATATCTGCCAACTCTTAGATGACCTTCAATATCAACTTCAATTCATCTACTTCCATAAAACCAGGCCTAATTACTCACATTTCTTTGATTTCCAATTAATACATTTATATAAGTTCATATTCTTTGATTATATGCGTTTTAGTTTTGGGTACCAAACTAAACTATATTCCTGACTAATACTGATACTAGTGTTCCATAATGGAGGTCTTAAGTCACTGCAAGATTGGAATCATCTTGTGATTGTGTCTAAATTTTTAAACAAATTTTAACCGGTAGAATTCTCTCTGTTTTAAGTATTTCTCTCACAATGTTTTTATAAACCATTTGCACCCATTCTTGCTTGTCTGCAGGGATTATTAAGATAGAATAAAAGATAATAAATAATGGCAAATATATTTTAACAACTAAAAAATAGTTAAGCATACTTTGTCTGGACACCTGCCCCTACCCCCACTCAATAGACACATGTGCTTATAATCATGACTCTATTAGGTACAGCCCTATAGAACTGCCTTTTTTTGGTAGATTAAAATGGTAAAATACCAGCAATTTCATATAGTTCAATTTAATACAAAATAAATTAATAAATTTTCTAGTTACCTCTAACTCACACATGGAATTAAATTCAACCAACTGGTTGAGTTTAGGACCACTCTCCTTTATGTATATTAAATTGTTATTTTTTCTTCTAATTTTTTTCTTTTTCTTTTGATCTCTCTATTAGTGACATGGCTATCACAGAAAAATTGAGATTATGATAAATAAGCCTCATGGGAAATTAGGTTTAAAAGTTTTGAGGATTTTCCTTCTATGCATCATTCTATTTAAAAAGGTCACAAATTGGCGGGGCACGGTGACTCACGCCTGTAATCCCAGCACTTTGGGGGCCCGAGGCGGGTGTATCACTTGAGTTCAGGAGTTCGAGACCAGCCTGGGCAACCTGGTGAGAAACCCCATCTCTACAAAAAATACAAAAATTAGCTGGGCGTGGCGGCGTGCGACTGCACCTGTCGTCCCAGCTACTACGGGTAGGGGGCGCTGAGGCTGGGAGGCAAGGCGCTGAGGTGGAAGAGGCAGGGCTTGACTGACAAGAGTGAGACCCTGTCTCAAATTAAGTCACAAATTTCCAAATTTTATTGAGAAGCACACTTAAACATAATTACATTTAAGTCTTGATATCTTATTCATTTTCTTTAGATATCTGTTCAGCTTAATTTCCTTTAGTTTTTAAATTATACATCCCCAAAAGGAAAATTTTTGCAAGAACATCTTCTGTTCTACACTTTTTCTGTTCTAAGGAAATCCCTAAACAAAGGATGTAAGACTTAAAAACTCTAAGGGAACCATGTCCACCTGTGAGACTCAATATGGATTCAATAGCCATACTGAGGTACTTTTTGCTTTTAAATTTAGATGCCAGAATGCTAATTTATTCACTTGCTATGAAAAACTGAATTATCACTGATTGGAAATATTAACGCAAGTGTGCTTTGACATTAATTATTTTTCTGAAGTCAAGCTGTATGAGAAATTAAACCATAATCAGTGGTAGATTTTAAACTACTGATTCCATTTCTCTCTCTCTTCTCTCTTCCTTTCTTCCCTTCCTTCCCTCCCCTCCCCTCCCCTTCCTTTCTCTCTGTCTCTCTCTCTCTTTCAAGACAGGGTCTTGCTCTGTCACTCCCAGTAAAGTGGCAGAATCACAGCTCACTGCCTCAAACTTCTGGTCTCAAGTGATCCTCCCAACTCAGCCTCCCCAGTAGCTGAGACTACAGGTGTGCTCCACTGTGTCTAGCCTCTGTTTCTTTAATGGTTACAGGTCACAGGCCTAATTACAGTTTTTTATTGCTTCTACAATTTTAAGTTACATTTTTCTTAAAATGTCCACTTGTCTAAATTTCCAAATATATTATCAAAAAGGTCTTTTTTATAATAGTCTATTTTTCAATTCTCTAATTTTCTATAATTATACCCTTTTTTCATGTCAACATTGTTTATATTTTCTCTTTTTAGCAAATCTTGTCGGTTTCATCTATTTTCATTAGGCTTTTTAAAGGAACAACTCTTGGCTTTATTGATTCTGTTTATTTCTATTTTCCATTTCATCATTATCTACTCTTATTTTCATTCTTTCTTTCCCTAAACTTTCTTTGGGTTTGTTATTATCTAACTTGTTGAGTTAAACGCTTAGCTCATTGATTTGTAGCTTTTGCCCTTTTCAATGTAAAAGACTACACATTTCATTTAAGAACTATTTTAGTGATATTCCACAAGTTTTGATATACACTATTTTCAGTATTGCTTAGTATTTTATAATTTCCATTATGTTTTCCTTTTTGACTAACAAGTTATTTGCAAGTAACTTTAAAAGACTGCAAAAATAAAGGTTTTTACAGTAAATTTTTGTTACTAATTTCTAACTTAGTTCAACTGTTATTAGAGAATGCAATCCGTATAACTTTGAAATTTGTTGAGATTTGTTTTATGACCTGGTCTATTGCCAGTTTTTATAAAGATTCTGTATGTGCTTGAGAAGACTAATTGTTGGAGTCAGGATTCTATATATGTCCATTAAATCAAGCTTACTGCATTTTTGAATATTCTCTATATCCTTACTAATTTTTATAGATAGGACTGTAGAATTATCCATTTCTGTCCATTTTTGCCAAATAAAATTTGAGGTTTTGTTATTGGGTACATGTAAGATTGTTATGTCTTCCTAGTGATTTTTATATTTTATCATTATTTAGGGACCTCCTTTATTCCAGTAACTTTTTTGATAGTCTTATTCTATTTCACTGGCTACACCAGCTTTCTTTTTCCAAGCCTTTACTTTTAACTTTCCTAGGTCCCTGTGTTTTAGATCTCTCATTCATAGCATTAAAAAAAATCCAGTCTGACAATATTTATCTTTTAACATTTTCATATATAATTTATGATATAATTGGATTTTATTTTTACCATCTTACTGTATTTTCTATTTTTTTCCCCATTTTTTTCTGATTTTCTTTTTTTTAAAATCAGGTTAATCAGGTTTAAAAAATTCCATTTTCTTCTGTATTGCTTTTGAAAATATTTTTTAATATTTTCAAATATTTCAATAAAAATACTCTATTTTTACTCTTCTAGTAGTTGTCCTTAACATTTTAACACGTATACTTAAAGCCTAAAGTTAATCACGATTTCTATCCTTTTCTCGAATAATTCAACAATCTTAAAATACTTCAATTCCAATTACCCACTTCCTATCTCTGACATATTAATGTTGTCCACTATTTCAGTTTTACCTTATCACGACTGTGATTATGAATTCTCAGGATGTTTTTCCCCCTCCCACCTCACCTACCAGTCCAGGTTAAGATAATTAAGATTTGTCTATATTTGTCAATGAGAGATTTTTCTAACTTCAACTCTCACTGAAGGTGTAACTCATTCAGAGGCCCAGTCCTATGGGGAAGAATGACATAGGCCTTTCAGTTCTAATTCTTTACTTTGTTAGACCCTTGGCCCATCTCCTATATTATAGCCATTAAAACTTAACTCTAATATTCTAAAATTGGTAAATGCCCCCAGGAGAGTTTACTGTCTAGATTTCGAGTTTTGTTTTGTTTTCTTTTTCCTCTTCCTGGGGACTTCCTTTCCTTCCTGAGAGTTCAGCCATTTAGTTAAAAGTGTTTGTTACACTAATGTGAAATTTCTAATTGTCTCTATATTATTTTTGAGGTTATCTAGTCTGGCATATTACCAGAAATTAGAGTTTCAATTTTTGAATATGTTTCTCCCTTGATGTTTGGTGTAAATTTTGGGAATCAGATAATAGTTGCCAATGCCAAATAATTAACTATAGTCAACAGAGTCATTTAGAAACTTAAAATGTTTAGGATTTGTCAAAATTACATTATTCTTTCATAGAACTATTCCATCACATAAATTACTTCACTCTATGAAGTAAAATGAAATCATTTAAATTCCATTTAGAAAAGGCAAAGTGGAAAAAAGTATACGCTGAGTATTTTCCTTCTTATTCTAGAATTTGGAAAACGCAATCATTATCTACTGAATAATAATTTCAAATGCTATCAAAGTACCTGAAAAGGTTATGGGACTACAGAATAGTAGTAGAATAAGAGGGAAAAAAAGCTGGATCTGACAGAATAATTTCAATAATTTTGAAAAGTCCCGAGTCTCAAATTTTTGGGTATCTGGATATCATTCATTCATTCAAAAAGTATCTACTAAGTACCTATTCGGTGCTATTCTGGAAGATGCCAAAATATTAAGAGAAGATCCTTATCTGGCAGTAGCAGGGAAGTATTTGATGGGCACACAAATAACAACATAAATGGGTACACAAATAGCTAACTCTGCAAGACTGGGTGTGATAAATGGCATAAGATTAATACAGTAGCTGTTATCTCCCCATCTTCCCTACATTCCATTGCTAAATCTCGGCATGTATATTTGGTTCCTGTATGAGTTTTTTCTTTCTCCCTTCAAAAGGTTAATCCTATGCTTTTAATTCTACTCTCACCTCCAAACCCATAAAATGTTTTGTTTTCTTAGTCTTTATTCTTGTAGGTTCAAGATCTTGCTCTCTCCTCCACTTAAAAATATGTACAAGTCTTCTCAATCTAGTTTTTAACAGGGTACATGTTTCTGTCAGTCACAGATTTCTTCAGGCAAAAGGCTTAACCTGTGGTTTCCACTATCTCACCTCCTACTGTCATTCTCAGTATTATAAAATCTGACTTCTCCCTCTTCAACTTTACTCAAATAGCATTAACACTTTCACAGGTTATCAACAGTCTCTTACATTGTCAAGCCTAGTGGTTTTTTTCTGACTTCTCTTTGGCTTTTGTAGCCACTGACACTACTGACCACATTGTTAACCTTTTCTACCTTAGCACCTGTAATACCACACCATCCTGGCTTTCCTCCCACATTTACGGTCATTCGCTCTGTGTCTCCTCTTTGTCTCCACCCACCCCCAAATGTTGATATTCTTCAAGTTTCAGCTGCTGCCCTCTCTTTTTTCTTGACAAGCTCTTGATAGCAGATGACCTACAGATGCTTAGAATATCAACAATCTTTCTTCTCTAGATGAACAGCTCCCACCTGTGACTTCATTTCCAATTACCAAAACTGTTTTTTCTGTCTGGATGTGGATTAGTCTTCTAAAAGTGAAAATACCTAAACAGAACTCCCATCTTCCTAAAAAATTGGCTCCCTTTCTCAATTTATTTCTGTTAATAGTACCACCATTCTTCCAAGTTCAAAAATTATCTTTGATTCATTTTGTTCCCCATTCCTCTAATATGTCACCAATTCTGCTGATACATTCTTTGTAATCTCTCCATCTATTTTAATCTGTTATTCACCTGAGCTACACAAACATTCATCTGCACAAGGAGTATTCCACGTGCTGAAAAGACAGAGGATTAAGCCCTCCTTGTGGAGGCATTCACAGTCTGGTTTTAATACACAAACCAACAATTATAATACACAGGGATAAAAAAAGTAGAGGCACTTATTGCATACCTGTACTACTGCAATAGCTTTCAAACTGATTTAACTGCTTCTAGCCTCTTCCCCTTTAGTATCACTTTCAGATGTCTTTCTAAAAAACTATTTTGATCATATCTTCTTCTTGCTCAAGGGTCTTTCATTCTTCTCTATGGCTTTCAGGATAAAATTGTCACTAGTCCTACATAGTGAGCTTCCAAATACCCTTCAAATGTTATCTCTCATTACTTCTTTACATGAATTCTGCGTTCTTTTCAAGACAGTTTGCTCACCGGATGTGAAATTATTTAATGTTCCTCAGGACACTGCTTTCATACAGAAAACCCTACCATTTCCATAAAAAATCTTTTAGGATTCAGATTAAACCCTATCTCTGTAAGATAATTTTCAATGTTTTTAAATGTCTCTTCTTCAAACTCCCAAAGCAATTTTTACCTGGATAATTTTACAATTAGGAACTGCCTTATTTTCATTTTCTCCACTGTCGTCTGAATTACCATTTAATTTTTCTCATTTAACTTGTGCGTAGTTCATGTTTTCTCCCTAGCCAAACACTATGCCTCTCACAAGCAGCTTTTTCTTATACTTCTCTGTATCCAGCCACAGCATCTAGCAGTGTCTAGAACATTGCATTTATTTATAAGAAAGTTTTGAAACAAGGGCAGAGTTTTAAAAAGCTGAATTTAGAAAGCTGAGTTTGAACACTGCTGACAGAAGAAACAAGGTAGGAAAGGGCAATATTTGTTCCAAGACAGGAAGTAAATCAATTTGGTTGGAAGGGAGGCTTGGGGATTTTCTCCTCTAAAATGAATAATAGAATGTCAGGTGTGAAAGGCCAAATTAAGTTTCACAGTAAGGTGTTTTAAATTTATCTGGTAGGTGATGAAGAAACCATGGAAGGTTTTTTAACAGATTAATAACAGTGCACAGTTGTATGAAGTTTCATCAAACTAGCAGTGAGCTACGTTATTGGGAAGGCCTGAACATCAGTTAGGTGGTTACTGTACAGAAGTAAGTAGTAGATCCTAACCAGCACAAAGTACTTTTCTTGCATCCCCCCTTCTGGAGGGAAATCTGCCTTAAAATTCCTTAGGCAAAGAAAGCATAATTTGATAGCTACCAAAAGACACAGTGTTTCTTGGTTCTACTCATCCTAGATTCACCATAAAGTAGATTTAGTTTTCTTGTTTTTCTCTTGGCATCTTCATTGGGAAAAGCATGTTGTCACTAATGGTAATTACATTAGCAAATGACTCAACACAAGGGTTTTACTTAATCCTCGAACTATCACAAGCTACATCTCAGATAGTTTTGTTCCTCATTCCTGTGGAGGAGCTCAGTAAAATTCCTGTTTATCCACAGATGGAGGTGTTTGCTGCCTATGGTCAGGAGAGAGCTTCAATCCTAAAAATAAGATTTGCTGACTTTCACAGCTTAGCACTGCCACAGCAGAGCATGGGATACATTGCTGTCTATTCACTCAGCAACTAAACTTATTGTAGCCCTTGAGCAGAATCAGGACTCTAACTTACCTGTTTTTATCTATAATCTGAAGCTTCCATTGGGTGGATAATCGGGAATTGACTACCCAGAAGTCAACATCATAATTTATGGAAATTTGCGTTTTTTTCTTCTAAGCAAGTTCTAACATTCTTTGTCTTTATTACCTCCATTTATCCATCTGTGGATAAATAGGAATTTACTAACTCCCTTAATCAGAGGACAGGAGCAGGGATGGGTGGGGGCACTACTATAGCACTTTTTATTTACTCATCTTTGTTAACCAAATTCATTTCAGGTATAGTAGGATAATGCCTTCCCCACAAAAACAGGAGATAAATAAATTTATCTTTAGGCTAGATAATTAGAATTCATAAAGGTATGCCAGAGCACAGAAAATATGTTTAATGATAACTCTGCCTTCCTTTCCCATGATGTAGTAGAGTCTAAGTGATTGGTTTTACTTAGGGATATCTGTATTTGTTTCTTCACTGATGTTTCTCTATGTGTATGTATGCATGTGTCAGGGGAGGGGAATGGGAAGCAAGTAGAATGAGATAGGCTTCAGAGAAACGAAGGCTTAAGAGGTATACATATTTCTTAAAGTCATCCAAATGCCGAAGATAAATAAGGCCATGGTAAATTAAGAGTCGGGTTAGTATCTAAATATATGTACCTAGGAAGACCTGATTAGGATGACCCTTTACATCTAAACTGCAAAAAAAAAAAAAAAGGAAAGAAACAGAATGCTAAGATTGACAACAGAATTGAAAGATAAACTTATGCTAACTATAAGAAAGATTTTCAAATAATAGTAGAGATAACTTTTGGACTGGCAGAAGACTATCCATAGGTCATACATAATATTCATGAGGAATAAATTAGAAAATTAGAAGATCAACTGAATTTTGTCCATTTATAATAAAGGCATACTTATATCTAGGAAAATAGAAGATAAATCAAATTTATAAGAAAGATAAATTTGAAGGCTATAATTAATCTAGGGAAAGTATTCACAAATAGGTTTTTAAATGAGTATCAAGCTCTTCTATCACATTTAAGATATGACTGGATTTACAACCTAACTTTCCTAATAATTTGTTTATTATATCAATAACCACAAGATAAACAATTGCTTTACTTAGAAATTTATTAGAAAGCATTCAAAAATGCAAAATTAAAGCAATGGGAGGTCCATGTGTCCTATTTTATGTAGTCAGTAGAAATCATATATAAGCATTACAAATATTTCACACCTTGCATAAAAGCTACTTCTCGATTTGTACATTGGCTTTTCATGCACACAAAGCCTACTCCCACTCTCACACAGCACACCTCACCATCACTGTATTGAGAGTAAAGTAAAACAATAATATTATTTTGGTTGGCAGAAGTTGTCTAAATACCATGAACAGCTGGCCAGATGACATGGTAAGCCTTGAATGGAGCTAGCACTCTTTGTTAAGGCAAAGCAATCTCTCTCTTATTTCTCATAGCTAGTGTTGGTGGCATTATTTCTACAGACAAACAAAATTTGAAAAGCAAACGACTTAAACATATTCCCTTAATTCCTCTTCTCCTTTTAAAAATACAAAAGTGGATTTAGAGAATTTGGGGTCCTATTCCCAAAAGTAAGAAAAGTTCAGACAATAAAGGGTTAAAAGAACAAGCAAGCCCTACCGTACCCAGAAATGACAGAAGGCTCTTCTCTTCTTCGGTGCTACTATCCAACCACTCCGCCACATCACCGGGGGAAAGGAGACTCATTCTCCAGCCAGAAAACTTTTCCATACAGAGCACAATTACTGAATGATGAAGTGAGAAAAAAAGGATACAGAGACTAAATTCTTGGGGGTCCAACACTTAAATTGCTGGCTAGGCAGTAATGATGAAAGAGAAAATGTGATCCTCCCTCCACTCTGAATTCTGTCTCTGTGACATCAATCTAATACAACCAGGGGGAGGGGGAAAGAAATAGGGTTAAAAGAGGGTGGTATAAGAGAAGAGAAGGGAGATTTGTCCTTCTGTCTCTTGGTGTTATGCTTTAGTCTGAAAGAAAAAGCCAGGATAACACTGAATAATGAAGTGTGTTTAATGACAGGAAAAATCATACGAAAATAAAGAATAAAGACACTCAAAGAAAAAGAAACAGGTTCCTACACTGGAAGCAGCTTAGATAACCAGACAGCACAATAGCTAATCAGTTAAGTAAAAAATATCAAACAAAAACAAAGACAAAAGAACAAATTCAGCATTTTGTTTTGTTTTGAGGAGAAAGGTTTTCAAATTTCCTTTCAGTCCTCCGCAAGAACTGCAGCCCCCTTCCCCTTCCTGCTTTAGCTATTTCAACAGCCCCCTTTACGAAGATTTCCTGCAAGAAAAGGCAGGTTGATAAATCTGTGAATAGGAAGCTCTCATCCCTCCTTTCTTCTCCTCCTCCTCCATTCCTCCCCCCACCTCGCATGGCGACTGCACTGATCGACAATAATGGAATCTGTAACTGACTGCCAACAGCAACATTAAGGATATTACAAGTCCACTTCATAAGAATTCGAGCTGGTGGTCGGAACTTGGGGGCAATTCTGGGCTTCTAGTCAATAGCTGTCTTTCTTTGCGAGGAAAGAAAGGAAGTGTGTGTGTGTGTGTGTGTGTATTTGTGTGTGTGTGTGTGTGTGTGTGTGTGTGGGAAAGAAGGCTGAAATCTGAAAGAAGAGAAGTAAGCTTGTTGGGCTGAAGGTACAGAGATCAACATAGAGAATGACTGTTCTGCAACATCATCATGAAGGTGTCAGATCCAGATGAATTTTTTACATCGTTTACATTACATATTTTCATGGTTTGACTTAAGATTATTTCACAGGTTTATACCTTATTACCAGGCAGAGAAAAATCAAGCAGAAGAGGTATGTTCACAGAACCATAAATTATTAATATCCTTGTTCTCTGGAGATTGATTAGGCTTGTTACTAGGATAAAACAATATTCTTAATAAAAGATAGAGCTTTTTTTCCCCTGTATTAGCAAAACACTAGCTCTTTTCCTAAGAATCTGGTCTTTGCTTCTATTCTAGTAGTCTGCTTTCAGTGAGAGATTCTCATTGATTAAGAGTTACTACCTCCTTAACATATCCTGAATCTATACCCTTTTCTCCATGCTTACTTCAGTCTTATTTATTTTTAATCTAGACTCTATTTCATTATGACTGTAAGTTCCCTGAGGACATGGACCTTGTTTTATATTAATCTTTGTAATCCTAGTGGCTAGAGCAGTGCTTGGCACTTAGATGGAGCTCATCAAATATTAACTGAAGTTTTAGATGGTAGCTCTAGAAGTTTTAACAGGTTCAACACTGGCAGGAGATGCCAGGCTGAATATTTTAGGACCTCATTTAAAAATTAACCATTTTGACGATTACTTAAAAGTAGTTAAAGTGACAGTACCACACGATTGAGAAAATAAAAATTGTCGAAAAAGGTATTATGAATTCATATGTTTAAATGAGTTTCTATTACTCAAAATAACTACAAAAAATTGAGAAGTAGTACAAAAATAGGTGTAAAAGACATTTTATTAAAATCCACAGGCTATGCATGCTTAATATCTAAGCATGGATTGCTAATTCCTTTGTAATAACTTCATGACACACCAGTATCCCTGGAGCTCTGGGATTGGACATCAGTAGCCTACAGGATTACACTCAAACTTCCTGGTGTGACACGGCTTCTGCTTTTTTCTTGTCAGGGACCCCCAGACTCCTCTCGACTCAGCCATTCTGTATTATTTACCTCACTTCCACGCCTTTACATGTTCCACTGAAAGTGGCAGAAAAAAGTCATTTGTTTTGTTCATTTGTATAGAACAACTAGACAACTGTTTTGTTTTGTTCAACTGCCTAAAACATTATCTGACACACAGTAGAAGCTCAAAGATTTTTGCCGAATGACTTTGGTACCTCTTGTGTGGTATCACTCTACCATATACATCTGACAATATTGAACTGTTCCCTTGAGACTCAGCTCAAATGTCACCTCTCCAGGTCTTCCCTGACATCTTAAAGTAGAACTAATGGCTCTCACGTCCGTACTTTCATTGTTATTACTATTATGTTATTAAAATTACTTGTTTACATAATGTTTTTCTCAACAATATCTCATACCTTTAGAAAACAAAATTTCTGTTCTACTAAGTTTTTAAAAAATTTTAATGCCTAGCATATAGTAGATTTATAACTGTTTACTAGATTATTATTGAAAGTGAGATTATAATTTCATGTATTGCAGATATCTTAATACTAAAGATATCCTGATTTAAGGATTCATACCATTGGTCTTCTTATTTAACAACCAAAATAACTTGGTTAAGGAAAAATTAAATCTCTTATTTATTTTAACAAAGAAAACACTGTATAGTTAGAAAGGTCATCAAAATAATCCAGCCCTATGAATTTGCCTTCTGTATACTGACAGTTAGAAAATGAGGCACCCAGACCAGGTGCTGTGGCTCATGCCTGTAATCCCAGCATTTCGGAGGCTGAGGCAGGCAGATCACTTGAGGTCAGGAGTTCAAGACGAGCCTGGCCAACATGGTGAAACCCTGTTTCTAATAAAAATACAAAAAAACTAGCCAGGCGTGGTGGTGCACGCCTGTAATCCCAGCTACTCGGGAGACTGAGGCAGGAGAATTGCTTGAACCCGGGAGGCAGAGGTTGCAGTAAGCCGAGATCGCGCCACTGCACTCCAGCCTGGGTGCAGAGACCCCATATCTGCACCCTAGTAAGAGTGCAGACCCCACTGCACTCTTTGTATGGGGTACAAGCGAGACCCCATATCAAAAAAAGAAAAAAGAAAATGAGGCACCCAAGAAAAAGTTCTAGATTGAAATTTTGTCATAATATGATGTATAAGGCATTACACTGTTTTCCTCTTTTTATAATCCGAACAAAGCATGAACTAGTCCTTCCTTAAAAATAAAACATTGAAACTTACCTGAAAATGTAAAACTCTATAGTGGGCTGTACATTTTGCTAAAATGTGAGTCAAGAGCATCAAAATACTGTAAATAGGGCTGTCAGAAATAATGCTTGAAGGTTAGGCATGGTGGTTCATGCCTATAATCCCACCATTTTGGGAGGCTGAGGAACCCAGGAGTTTGATAACACCATGGGCAACATAGTGAGACCCCACTTCTACGAAAAATGCAAAAATTAGCCGGATGTGGTGACATGTGCCTGTAGTCTCAGCTACTTGGGAGGCTGAGGCAGGGGGATCGCTTGAGCCCAGGAGTTTGAGGCTGCAGTGAGCTATGACTGTGCCACTGTGCTGCAGTCTAGGTGACGGAGTGAGACCCTGTTTCTAAGGAGAAAAAAAAAAAAGAAAGAAAGAATGTTTGACTATAATTTTCTACATAAAAAACAAAATCCCATACATTTTGGCAGTTTACCATGTCGTCTTATGTGTAGTAAGTACTTACTAATTAACTTTATTCATTATTTACTTAAAAATATAGAAAGTGTCTGGAGAATGCTTGGTGACTTACAGAGTTCCTATTTGAGGGCATATGCATTTCCTGTGTGTATGTGCATGTCTGTATATATGCATATACACATATGCATGTGCTACTTACTGGGCTGACATTTACTGTTTACTAGGCACTTCACTAAGTGCTTTATACACATTAGCTCAGTTAAAATTCTTAAACAACAACCACGTGAGATAAGTATTCTATTCATTTTCAGATGAGAAACCGAAAATCATAGAACTTAACTTTTCCAAATCAACACAGCCAGTCCAGGAAATGAAACGTAAACTTCTGAAGGCTTGGTCATGATTCTCTATTATACTAATCCATATTCCACAGAGACCAATTTAGGCAGGGGTCAGCAAATGCACTTTTTCTGTGGAGGGCCAGATAGTAAATATTTTAAGTTTTGTGGGTCATATAATCTGCTGCAACTACTTTAACTCCACTGTTATAGCACAAAAACAACCATAGAAAATACGTAGACTAATGGGCATGGCTGTGTTCCAATACAAATTTTTTTACAAAAAAAGGCATGGGCCATACTTAAATGATCCCTGATTTATGTCAACACTGTCCATTCAGGCAACATATTTTCAGTACTTAATGTATGTCCGGATATCTACCAAGTCCTTATCATTGAAAAGTAAAGTAACTATTATCTGCCTGGGTCAAATAACGTTTTATTTCCATTTTAATAACTGAATAATTGTCTTATTATTTTGCTTTCAAGACAGAAATTACTGCTTTCCTTCTACTCCTTTAGTTTCATGGTCCCATGAGATACTTAATTTTTATTTTAATAAAGGGCATAAAATATGTAGCCCTTTCTTCAATTACTTAGTATTCCTGATTTTCATTATAGCTGCTTGTACTCATACTTTCAGATTCATTCATTCAACAATATCAGTGCTAATATGTGCCAAGCATATTTTAGACCCCCACATACAGTTGTGAACAAAAGCAACAAAATCTCTGTCCTCAGGGAGCTTATATTTTATGGGGAAGAGAAATAGTAAGATAAAAAAGTAAAATATATATTGTGTTAGATGGTAAATAATACCAAGGAGAAGAGTAAAGCAAAAAGGGGAAATAGGTAATCTGGGGGAGGTTTACAATTTCAGAGAGGGTAGCCAGGGAAAGCCTTGCTGAGAGGTTGACATTTGACTAAACTGTTAAAGGTGGTAAGTTTTAGGAAGAAGGAACTACCAATAAAAAGACTAGAGGCAAGAACAGCCAGGAGGCACTGCAGCTAGACTGGAATGAGAGGGAAAAAGTAAAAGGAGATCAGACTGTGGAGTAATAGGAAGCCAGATCATGTAATGTTAGGGGTCTTTGACTTACCTTTAATTAGACAGGAAGACTCCGAGGCAAGAGTGATGGGCAAGGTTTTACTTTTTTAAAATAAGAGCTTTATTGAAATATAATTCACATACTATAAAATTCATCCTTTTAAAGTGATTTTTAATACATTCACATTTTTGTAGCCATTACTACTATTTAATTACAGAACATTTTCATGGCCTGTAAAAGAAACTCTGTGTCCATTAGCAGTCACTCTGTATACTCCCCAGCCCCTAATCCCCTAACAAATACTCATCTAAGTTTTGACTCTATGCATTTGCCTATTCTGGACATTTTATACAACTGAAATCATATAATATGTGGTCTTTTATGCCTGGTTTCTTTTACTTAGGTTCATCCATGTTTTAGCGAGTACTTCATTCCTTTTTATGGCCGAAAATATTCCACTAATGGACATTTGGGTTGTTTCTACTTTTTAATATTATGAAGAATGCTGCCATGAACAATTTGTGTACAAGTTTTTGTGTGGAAGCCTTATACTTCAAAAGGATGTCCAAATAAGATGTTTTCTATAATCTGTGTTTTTTTTTGGCGGGGGGGGGTGGGAGGTACCAAGTAATTTTAAAATGTGACAGCGGATGAGCGTTATCTTCTAATTTTACAATCACCACATTTTCTCCCTAATTCCTCTGGGATTTCCATCCTTCTTGAAGAAACCAAAACCACTAACTCAGTCTCTTTCCTCCTGCTTTAGTATTCTTGCACATAGGAAAAGATTAATGCTAGATACTCAAGAATGAACAAAGGCAAGTAATACATGATCTTTTCCTAAACTGATAACTAAAGTTGGTGTAGATTTTTTAGTAACTTTATATAAATAGTATAAGCAACTCCTGAATATCTTTTTTCCAGATTTATCAACAGTTTACATTTTGCCAACTTTGCTGAATCACTCTATGTATATTTTTATTATATATATGCATTTTTCCTGACTCATTTGAGGAAGCTGGAGACATTATGCCCTTTACCAGCAACTGTTTCAGTGTGCATTTTCTAAAACAAAGGACATTCTCTTACTAAACCAAGAACAAAAATTAAAATCAGGAAATTTAACATTGATGTTGGTTGACATTTTAAGGATAAAATTAGGCATGCTACTCCATGAATAATCTACTATACAAATTATATTTCAATATCATAAAAAGGCATTTATTTGAAAAACAAAGTGTCTTCAAGCAATGGTGACTGAGAAATCATGGGTACTGATTGCAAGTATAATTCAAAGTAATAATCTATATAATATTAAAATATGTCTCAAATATTTGGAGGATTACTATTGAACTTACGGACATTCAATACACTATTGTGATAAAGGACTGAAAGCAAGAATAACTAGTTTTCTAAAAGGCAACTAGGTTGGCATGGTGGCTCATGCCTATAATCCCAGCACTGTGGGAGGCTGAGGTGGGTGGATCACCTGAGGTCAGGAGATCGAGACCAGCCTGGCCAACATGGTGAAAACCCATCTCTGCTAAAAACACAAAAAATTACCTGGGCATAGTGGTGCGTGCCTGTAATCCCAGCTACTTGGGAGGCTGAGGCAGGAGAATCACTTGATGCCGGGAGGCAGAGGTTGCAGTGAGCCTAGATCATGTCACTGCACTCCAGCCTGAGCGACAGTGAGACTCCATCAAAATAACATAACATAACATAACATAACATAACATAACATAACATAACATAACATAACATAACAGGCAACTAGAGGATAGATACCATGATTGCATCTCTATCTTGATACTCCTTTGTACATGTACAATACTTTTCCTCAAAGAAGCTTAAAGTAAATATCAAACTATAACTTTCCTTGTATTTTAGTGAGGAGATATAGTATTATATGATCATATAAGGTATTATAAGATTAGAGCTGATGAAACTAATGAAACTAAGATGAATTTTCATTTATCTAGATTTAGGAAGCAATACTTAGACATGCAAAGCCACAATGTAACAAGGATGTTAGCATCAGAAGTATTCCCATCATATGAATATTTAATATATACATAGAAGTTGCTTTGATTTCAGTGAAAAAGGCTATCAAGATGTAAAGTAATAAAAAAAAAAGCAAGGTAGTCAACAGTATTATAAAACATGTGCTCAACAGAAATATTCCATTCAAAGCTAAAGGCAGGTTCTGTTTAAAGACGTTAATGATTATCTAGAATTAAAGATAATCAGATTCTTTAAATACTAAAGCTATTCTTCTAAGAAAAAAAAAGTAAATACAGTGACAGCTGTTGTTAATGAACAGATAACTCCTTCTCAAAAAGACCCAGAAAGTAGCTAATGCATAACTATTCTTGAAATATTTTTTCTTTAATATAAAGTTATATTTTACATTTTACTCATAGTATATACAATTCTTGGAGCCTATCACTTTTAGCACCTAACAAAATATCAAGCAAATAGTAGCTACCTAATATTTATTGAGTAGATGCATAGATGGATATATAAACCCAATATACCTATGATTAGCACTGCTCTGTAAGTAAACTGAAAATCATTAGGGTAACATCTCCTGCAATTTGTCACTAGGCCTAGCAATAATTTGAATACTTGTAGCAACAATAATAATAGATCAAATGTATTCTGCATTTACAATGTACTAGGTAGTACGTGAGGTGCTATTAACCTCTCATTTTCTCCTCATATCAACCCTACAAGGTTGTAGTAACATTTTTCCCATTTTATAGTTAAGTAAACTAAGGTTCAGAGAAAACAAAGGTTTAGAGAAGTGATGAAGTCATATAGCCAGTATTGGAGGTTGGGTGAAGACTTAGATATTCTTATTCCAGAGCCGACACTCAGAACTACATTCCATATTGGAATTTCTTCCATAACATTTTTAGATATTTTGGGTGAGGTATGAAGGGTGAAGGTGAACAGTTATTTAATGAGAAGTAAAACTCTTTTCCTTGATCAGTGATCTGAGACACTACAACAGAGTTAAGTAAATTGTGTAGGAATCCAGAGAGTTAGTGGCCAAATAAAAAGGCCAGACCCCATAGTTTCTTCTTTTTTTTTTTTTTTGAGATGGAGTCTCGCTCTGTCACCCAGGCTGGAGTGCAGTGGCGCGATCTCGGCTCACTGCAAGCTCCACCTCCCAGGTTCACACCATTCTCCTGCCTCAGCCTCCCGAGTAGCTGGGACTACAGGTGCCTGCCACCTGGCCCCGCTAATTTTTTGTATTTTTAGTAGAGATGGGGTTTCACCGTGTTAGCCAGGATGGTCTCAATCTCCTGACCTCGTGATCCGCCCGCCTCAGCCTCCCAAAGTGCTGGGATTACAGGCGTGAGCCACCGCACCCGGCCTTTTTATAGCATATAGATGTTTTACTCTTTTCCACCAATAAATAATATTTATAGTCTGATTGTTTTTCAAAAGAATCTCTTAACAAAAGGATTTCACTGAACATTAGTCAATGCTGGGCACATAGTAAGTGCTTAATATTTGTTAAATGAGCAAAATTTTTCCATATCTGAACAGGGTATTTGACATGGTTATTTGCTCCTATGAACATTTAATGAGGCTGTTTAATGCTTCGACAAATTTACCATTGCTAATTTTACAATGAAAACTATGTTAATTTAAATCTAACTTTGGACGTGTGGTACCGGATAAAAGTTAATAGCCTTTTTTTGCACAGCAAAGGAAACAATCAACAAAATGAAAAGGAGGCCTACGCATTAGGAGAAAATATCTGCAAACCATGTATCTGATAAGGGGTTAATATCAAAAATATATAACGATGCAATGCCAAAAAATTGAATAACCTAATTAAAAAATGGGCAAAGAACCTGAATAAACATTTCTCAAAAGACATAAAAATGGCCAACAGGTATATGAAAAGATGCTCAACATCACTAATCATCAGGAAAATGAAAATCAAAACCACAATAAGATATCACCTCACCCCTTTTAGGATGGCTATTATCAAAAAAACAAGAGATAACAAGTGTTAGTAAGAGTGGGAGGAAAAGGGAACCCTTGTACACTGTTGGTGGAAATGCAGATTTGTGCAGCCCGTGTGGAAAACAGTATGGAGGTTTCTTAAGGAATTAAAAATAGAACTAGTAATATGACCCTGCAATCCCGCCTCTTCTGAGTATCTACTCAAAGGAAATGAAATCACAATCTTATTAAAAAAATCTGCATTCCCATATTCATTGCAACATTATTCACAATACAAGTTATGGAAGCAACTGAAGTGCCTGTTGACGAATAAAGAAACTATGATGTGGGTGTGTGTGTATGTAATGAAATATTCATCCTTGAAAAAGAGAGAGATCCTGCCATTTGCAAAACATTAATGAACTTAGAGGACATTATGCTAAGTGAAATACGCCAGACACACAGAGAAAAACACTGCATGATCTCACTTATATGTGGAATTAAAAAAAAAACATAATGAAAAACCAAAAAATGCAACAACAAATACACAGATAGCAACAAAGAGCAGAATACTGGTTACCTGGGGCAGAGAAAATGGGAAGAATTAGGTCAAAGGGTATAAAGTTTGCAGCTATGTAGGCTAAATCTAGAGATCTAGTGTACAACATGAGGACTATGGTTAATAATATTTTATACTGGAAATTTCCAAGGGAGTAGATTTTAGATACTCTTACTATGAAGGAAAAGAGAAGGGAAGAGAGGGAGGGAGGGAGGGAGAGAAGGAAGGAGGGAGGGAGAGAAGTATATGAGATAACAGATATGTTAATTTGCTGGACTGTAGTAATCATTTCACTATGTATATCAAAACATCATGTTATAGACCTTAAGTCATACACAGTAATCTCTCGGTATCCATGGGGGATTGGTTCCAGGACCTCCTACAGACATCAAAATCCATGGATGCTTAAATCCCTGATAAAAGAGGGCACAGTATTTGTATATAACCTATGCATAACCTTCCATGTACTTTAAATCATCTCTAGATTACTTGTAATACCTAATACAATGTAAATCCTATGTAAATAGTTATTACACTATATTACTTAGGGCAGGGGTCCCCAACCCCCAGGCCACGGAGCAGTACTGGTTTATGGCCTGGTAGGAAGTAGGCCGCACAGCAGGAGGTGAGTGGCAGATGAACAAGCATTACCGCCAGAGCGCCACCTCCTGTTAGATCAGTGGTGGCATCAGATTCTCACAGAAGCACATACCCTATTGTAAACCGTACATGCAAGGGATCTAGGTTGCGTGTTCCTTATGAGAATCTAATGCCTGATGATCTGTCACTGTCTCCCATCACCCCCAGATGAGACCATCTAGTTGCAGGGAAACGAGCTCAGGCTCCCACTGATTCTACATTATGGTGAGTTGTATAATTATTTCATTATATATTACAATGTAATAATAATAGAAATAAAATGCACAGTAAGTGTAATGTGCTTGAATCATGCCAAAACCAACCCCCACCCCCGACTCCCTCCTGTCCATGGAAAAATCTTCCATGAAACCAGACCCTGGTGCCAAAAAGGCTGGGGAGCACTAGTTTAGGGAATAGTGATGAGAACAAAAGTCTGTACATGTTCAGTACAGATGCAATTTTTTTAAGAATATTTTTGATCCATGGTTGGTTGAATCCACACATATGCAGAACCCAGAGATATGAAGGGCCAACTGTTCAATTAAAAAAAGCTAACGGGTACTAATAGCTATGGAGAATGTATACATTATTACAGAAATGTTTTGGCAACTCAAAAAAAAGTCAAGGGTTTTCATACCTTTCTTTTTTTACATTAAAAACCACAATTATAAAAAATGTTCAATACATTTATCACCTGGATTGTTACAACACTGTATCTAGATGTATCCAGAAAACACTTCTGATTGAAAAAAAAATACCACAATCAACTCATTAATTTCCTTCTGGTTAGTATTTGAATCTGTTGTAAATTCGGCTGTAGTTGGACAAAACAGTTGCATCAACAGATATGTAAAGCATGCCCTATTTGATCTTAAATGAGTTTAAATGGCAGAACTATTTTACAGAACTACATTATTATCTACCTCAGAAATTCATTAACATTACAATAAAATACATCACATTTGTGGAATATAGAGACAAATTAGAAAAAGATTTGTTCTCAAGAAGCTCATGGTCTATACTTCTTAAATATTATATCAATAGAAAATTTAACTTCATATCTCTAGTATATTTATTCATAAATGACATACATGGGCTCCAAATCTATAAAGCAAATATTAGTGAAGTACACTTTTCCTTATTTCAGATAAAAACCAAAGGGATAAAACTCTATTATTTTCTTCCCACCCATACCTACAAACCAAGGAACACCAAACATTGCCAGCAACCCACTGGAAGCGAGGTGAAAAGGCATGCAACAGATTCGTTCTCACAGCCCTCAGAAGGAAACAACCCCGTTGACACCTTCTAACTTCCAGAACTGTGAAACAATACATTTCTGTTGTCTAAGCCACCCAGTCAGTGGTTCTTTGTTATAGCAGCCCTGGTAAAATAAAACCCTGAACAAGGTGCTGCAGTGGAGCAGCCTGTAACCTTGCTGACTGGAAGAACAAGAATGCAAAGGAAAGATATAGTTGATTACTATGAGCTAAGTAGACACCAAAAAAGAGAACCAGGTCTATATCGTGGATGCTGGATCTCCAACACCAAAGAACTATTCAGTAGGGAAGCTTCCTATGGGCCCCTCTGAAGAGTTTGCACCCTTCTACCTGTAACAGAACCAGCACTGGAACACACGCAGAAGGCATTCAAATTCACGGCCAATGTTAGCTAGAGAAGCAACAATAACCAACAGGGGCTTGTAATTTCATGTCTGGCTAAGTAAAAACTGTGGCATCAGACCAGAACACCTTTTCTCCAATCCTGTCTCCCTACTCCAATGCCAGAAGGGTTAGAAGTTGAAGAGGGTAGAGCAGGGGTGGAGGAGTGAAAGAACTGGCTGGCTATCTCCTACTCCATGGTGGGGTTGGGGGTGGAGTTAAATAGGATATGAGATAAAATTTTAATCAAGTAGATTAAATTAACTTTAATTACTGAAAGTAAAGTAAACAACGATTGGCTCCCCATCATAGAGATCAGCTTTCTAGCAGTGATAGCACAATTGTGGGCAAGAACTGGGGTAAATAAAACCCCCACTCTTCACCCCTTACACCCAGAGGCAGACTCATGTGTTGTGGGACCTGAAGCTTATATAATCTGTGAGTCCATATGTTAAAAAAATCACAAAATTGCAAACACAATTTTTTTTCTTCTTCTATCATTTATTAAGGTCTCATACGCTAAAAAGATCTTAAGGTTTGGGGTCAACAGAGGCCGCTGTAAGACAGGAGAAATTAATTCAACAACAGTAACATCAAAGGTTTATCAAAGATCTACAGTCATTTATAACAAAATCAGAGTTCACCATCATCATCTGACTACAGCATAGAATAAATGGTAGTAAGTTGCTGCCTTGCTTTCCCTAATTGCATCTTCATTTTACAGCAGTAGTGTAATTAGCTGGCATGAAGAGAGACCCCAAGTTTTTCTGCACATAGTTAATAAATAATAAAAATTTAAGTATCTTGGGAAATTCCAAAATGATGTTTTGTAAAATGAAAGTAGATAAGCAGAGTAAAAAGATGAGCACAAGGTCGGTATGCTGGATGACAAAACACAAAAAATTCTAAGGCTTTAAGAATACTGCAAAGAACAAATTTGTATTTTCAATGACCTGCTATATTTAAGTTTCCTGGCTTTACTTTTGTGACTTGGGAGAAATGAATAAATATTTTAATACAACATCATTATGACACTGTATTAAGAGATTAAAAGGTAAAAACAAAATGATTATATCAGTACATGCTGAAAAGGCAACTGACAAAATCCTGTATTTGGCCTTTTATTAATGTATTTACTTTTCCAAATGAATGGTAGTATCAAGTCCCTCTGTACTCCCAGCCAAAAACAAAAAACAAAAAACGTGTTGACATTTCAGTTGGAATTACAACGAATGTATAGATTATTTGGGAGACAATTTACTTTCATACACATTTTTAAATTTTAGTCATTTTTAACTTTACATAAAGAGCATGTTTTATATATTCTTTTGAACTTTTTCCATTTAAATATTATATTACTCATATCTCTCCATATTTTTGCTGTAGTTTATTTGACTACTGTATAATTTTTACATTGTTTGAATATAACAACAAATTTAGATTAAGAGTTGCGGTTGGGGTTGGTATTCAGGTTCAGTCTCTTATTGAAGTATATTGTATTTCCTTTGTTAAGAGTTTTGCTATTGGTGTCAGTGCTGCTGTGAACATCCTTGCAAATGTCTTCTTTTATCCTTTGTAGGAATTCCTCTTTGGTATATACATAGGAATAGAATCTCTGGGCTTAGGGTATATAAATGTTCAACTTCAGCAATGCCAAACTTTTTCCCACCAGCAGGATATATGAAATCCTGAGTCATCTACATTCTGCTCAATATTAATACTTGGTATTGTCAGAATTTTTAGTGTTTCTCATGGAATGAAGATAAGATGGTTGATTTTGCATATCCTGACTACCAGTAATACCGAACATTTTTCATAAGTCTATGGGTATATATGTTATGCTTTTGTGAAAGTCTTCTTTATATCTCTTGCCCACTTTTCTATTGAGTTGGTCATGCTCAGCCTATTAATAGATAGCAGTTCTTTGTATGTCCTTGATAGTAATCCTGTGAAAAATTGTGGGTCTTGTGAATATCATTTCTCAGTTTCTAACTGGTCTTTTTACCTTCTTTACTTAAAGTCTATAGATGGACAGAAGTTTATAATTTTAATATAATGGCCAACCCCACCAGTCTTTTATAGTCAATACTTCTTGTTTGTTTCCTTTCCTTTTTTTTTTTTTTTTTTTTTTTTTTTTTAGGAGACAGAGTCTCACTCTGTCACGGAGGCTGGAGAACAGTGGCGCCTTCTCGGCTTACTGCAACCTCCGCCTCCCAGGTTCAAGCAATTCTTGTGCCTTGGTCTCCTGAGTAGCTGGAATTACAGGCACATGCCACCACGCCTGGCTAATTTTCTTATTTTTAGTAGAGACTGGGTTTTGCCACATTGGCCAGGCTGGTCTTGAACTCCTGACCTCCAGTGATCCGCCTTCCTTAGCTTCCCAAAGTGCTGGGATTACAGGTGTGAGGCACCACACCTGGCCTTGTTTTTTGTTTAAAAAATATACTTCAATAAGAGACTGAACTTGAATACCAACCCCAACCACAACTCTTAATCTAAATTTGTTGTTATATTCAAACAATGTAAAAATTATACAGTAGTCAAATAAACTATAGCAAAAATATGGAGAGATATGAGTAATATAATATTTACATGGAAAAAGTTCAAAAGAATATATAAAACATGCTCTTTATATAAAGTTAAAAATGACTAAAATTTAAAAATGTGTATGAAAGTAAATTATCTCCCAAATAATCTATACATTCATTGTAATTCCAACTGAAATGTCAACACATGTTTTTTGTTTTTTGTTTTTGGCTGAGAGTACAGAGGGACTTGATACTACCATTCATTTGGAAAAGTAAGTACATGAATAAAAGGCCAAATACCTTTTGAAAGGAAAAACTAATTAGAATTCCCTATATCAGTAAGAGAAAAACATTAAAATCTATAATCATTAAAATACTGTGACATTGATATAGAAATAGATCAGTAGAGTAGAAAAAGACATATAGACATTTAGCTGATGATAAAGGGTAGCTTTTACATCACTGTGCAAAGAACTGACCATTCGAAAAAAAAAAAAGCACTGAAACAACTAGCTATATGGCTGAAAAAAAATCTCATTTCACATAACCAAAAATAAATTCCGGATAAAGACATAAACTGAAGTTGAAAAAGGCTTTCTAAGCATGACACAAAAGCGAGAAATTACAATGGAAAAGAGAGACAGATTGAACAATAAAAAATTAAAAGCTTCAAATAGCAAAAGACAGGCTGAACAAATTTGCAAGGCTATTTAACAGCATCTATCAAAATATGAAATGCAAATTATCTTTTGATTCTATTTCTGGAAACCAATCCTACAGAAATACCAGCACAAGCAAATGAACACAGATATATGTACAAAGATGCTTAACTCAAAGTTGGCAACTGCAAAAAACAAAAACACTCCAACTATTCAAAAGGAGGGGAACAGATAAATCTACAATGGAATAAGATGCAGCCTTTAAGGATAACAAGTATAGATATGATGAAATAAAAATGTCTTCAATATATGCCTTTATTTTATTGTGAAATATGATGCCCCACAGAGAATAGCATAAAACATAAATGTAGAGTTTAATGAATTATAATACCGCCATAGCAAGAATTAGAACATTGTCTGCAACAAATGATTCCCCAAATACTCCATCCTGATCCCAATTCCTTTCACCCTATAGATAACCACTATACCTATTTCCGGGGTAAACATTCCTTGCTTTTATTTAGTTTTAGCACTGAAATGTGCATATCTCAACATGTTTTCTTTTTCCTTTTCTTGAATTTTATATAAATAGTATAAGAAGATATACTTTTTAGTTTGATTTACTAAATATTATATTTTAAAGATTTATTAATGTTGCTGTGTGTCACTGTAGTTTGTTCATTTTACTACATGATGATGTCACTTTTTTAAAACTCATTTTACTGATTTTTTTCCAGGTTGTATCCATTTTGGGGCCATTATGGATGCTTGTTTATTCTTGTACATGCATCCTCATGTACATAAGCATGTATTTATGTTGGGTTAGCATTACTTTCAATTTTATTAGATAATGCTAAAGTGTTCTCCAATGAAACTGTACAAGTTTTTACTCCCACTAGCAATGTAGGAGTTCCCATTGCTCTATATGCTTGACAACTTTAGTATCATCTGATTTTAAATCTTAGCCAATCTGGAGATTATGTGGGGGTATCTTGTGGGTTTTTTTTTTTTTTTTTTTGAGACAGAGTCTTGCTCTGTTACCCAGGCTGGAGGAGTGCAGTGGCACAATCTCGGCTCACTGCAGCCTCTGCCTCCCGGGTTCAAGCGATTCTCTGCCTCAGCCTCCCAGGTAGCTGGGATTACAGGTGCCCGCCACCATCCCGGCTAATTTTTTGTATTTTCAGTAGAGATGGGGTTTCGCCATCCTGGCCAGGCTGATCTTGAACTCCTGACCTCGTAATCCACCTGCCTCGGCCTCCCAAAGTGCTGGGATTACAGGCGTGAGCCACCGCGCCTGGCCCCATTGTTGTGGTTTTAACTTGGGATTCCTTGATAAGGCTGAGCACCTCTTTAAATGTATACAGCCATTTGGTTATATTCTTTTGTGAAGTGCCTATTAAGTCTCTGCCCATTTTTCTATTGGGCTTTGTCTTTCTCAATTTGTCGGGATGCTTGAAATATTCTGGTATAATTTCTTTGTTGGTTTATATAGCTTGACTTTTTGCACTTTCAGTAGTGTCTTTTGACAAACAGAAGTTATTAATATTAATAAACATTATCACCTTTTTCTTCTTTATAATTGGTGCTTTTTCTATTTGATTTAATAATTACTTCTTTATCCTCAGGTCATGAAGATGCTATAATATATTCTAAAAGTGGTATTATTACTATTTGGTGTTTTACACGTAGGTCTACAATTTAGATGGAATTCATTTTTATGTAAATTGTTAAGAAATAATCCACTTCCACTTTATTTTTCCATATGGATCTCCAGATGAGCCAGGATCATTTATTGAAAAGATCTTAATTTCCCCACCACTCTGCAGTGTCAATTTTATCATAAGTAAAATGTACATATATGCACAGGTCTGTTTTTGGACTCTTTATTCTGTTCCATTGGTCTATTTCTAACACTAATACCACTTTGTCTCAATTAATATAGTTTTATAAAGAGCCTTAATAGCTGACAGAGCAAGTCCTCCTAAATTAGGTTTCTAAAAGAGTTTTTGGCTATCCTAATATATACAAATATATAGATACCTAGAAAGAAAGAGAGAAAGACAGACAGACAGGGTCTTGCTCTGTCACCCAGGCTGGAGTGCAGGGGTGTGATCACAGCTCGCTGCAATCTAGAATTCCTGGCTCAAGTGATCCTCCCTGCTTCAGTCTCCCAAGTAGCTGGGACCACAGGCATGTGCCACCACGCCCAGCTAATTTTCAAATTTTTTGTAGAGATGGGGCTTATCATGTTGCCCAGGCTTCACAAGATTTTTAAAACTGGAATTACATTGAATCTATAAAGGAATTTAGGGTAAAAGTTAACACCATACAAACCAGTTTTCCAACTCCAGAAACGTAGTATATATCTACTTTAGATTATTCTTAAATTTCTCCTAATAAAGCTTTATAGTTTACTTTTTAGATGTTTTACACATCTTTTAAAAGATTTACTCCTAGGTTATTACATTTTGTTATTGTAAACAGTATCTCAAAAAATTTGCTTTCAGTTTATTGTTGATCTATGGAAATGCAATTAGGTTTTGTTTATGGATCTTGTTATCTAGCAACTTGCTAAACTCAATGCCTGTAAAGTTTTTACTGGATTTTCTAAATGATCACATCACTTGTGAAGTTTTAATTTTCTAATCCTTACATATTTTCTTGTATTGATTGAGACCTTACTGTATTGATTACTGTATTGATTGAGACCTCCAATACAATGTGGAATAGCAAGGATAATAATGGACATCCCAGCCTTGGTCCTCATCTAAAAGGGAAAGCTTTTCACCATTACATATATTTGTCGATGGGTTTTTGTAGATATCACTAATCAGAGTAAAGAAATTCTTTTCTATTGTTGTTTTGCTAAGAGTTCTTATGAATAGTTGTTAAATTTTATTAAATGTCATTTTTGCTCAATCGAGATGATTTTAAGATTTTTCTCCTTTAGTTCATTAATGGTAAACTATTCTAACTTTCTAATATTAAATCTACTTTGCATTTTGTGTTATAAACCCAACTTTAGTCATAATGTATTATTCCATTTGCTAATATTTTTTTTAGGATTTCTGGAACTATAATAATGAGTAAAACTCCCTGTAATTGTCCTTTCATGATGTGTCATTGCTAGGTGGTATAAAAGTAGCTGATGTGTGTAGTCTCTTTTACTGAAAAAAATTTGTAATTTGAAAATGTATCTTCCTTCTTCTTTTTTTTTTGGACAGGGTTTCATTTTTGTCACCCAAGCTGGAGTGCAGTGGCACAATCTTGGCTCACCCTGTAGCCTTGACCTCCTGGGCTCCAGTGATCCACCCACCTCAGCCTCCTGAGCAGCTGGGACTACAGGCATGAGCCACCACACCCTTGTATAATTCTCTACCCTCAGGGGCCTGGAATCTGTAATATGATGGGATAGCCACTCCACTGATTAGGTTACATTACATGGCCAAGGTGACGTATAGTCACTATCATGATTACAGTTGTGTTATACTGGATTACATCATAGCCAAAAAATTAGTACTGAAGAGTTGGGCACTGCTATAAAGATACCTTAAAATATGTAAGAAGCTTTGGAATTTGGTAACTGGTAGAAGCTGGAAGAGTGTGGAGGGTTGAGAAGAAGACAGGAAGATGAGGGAAAATTTGGAACTCCCTAGAGACTGGTTAAATGGTTGTGACCAAAATACTGATAGTGATATAAACAGTGAAGTCCAGGCTGAAGAGGTCTCAGATGGAGATGAGGAACTTATTGGGTACTGGAGCAAAGGTCACTTTTGTTATGCATTAGCAAAGAACCTGGTGGCCTTCTGCCCCTGTCCTAGGGATCTACGGAATTTTGAACTTGAGCGTGATGATTTAGTATATCTGGCAGAAGAAATCTCTAAGCATCAAAGTAATCAAGATGTAGCCTGGCTGCTTCTAACAACCTATGCTCATACGCATGAGCAAAGACATGACGTAAAACTGGAACTTATATTTAAAGGGGAAATGGACAGTAAAAGCTTGAAAAATTTGCAGCCTGGCCATGTGGTAGAAGAGAAGAGCCCATTTTCAGGGGAGGAATTCAAGCAGGTTGCAGAAATTTGCATAAGTAAAAAGGTGCCAAGTACTGATAGCCAAGACACTAGGGAAAAGGCCTTGCAGGCATTTCTGAGACCTTGGCAGCAGCCCCTCCCATCACAGGCCTGTAAGCCCAAGAAAACAAAATGGTTCTGTGGGCCAGGCCCAGGGTCTGCTGCCCCATGCAGCCTCAGGACACTGCTCTCTGTGTCCCAGCTGTCTAACTCCAGCCATGGCTCAAAGGGACCCAGGTACAGCTTAGGCTGCTGCTTCAGACAGTACAAGCTGAAAGCCTTAAATACATGGTGTTAAGCCTGTGGGTACACAGAGTGCAAGAGCTGAGGCTTGGGAGCCTCTGCCTAGATTTCAGAGAATGTACGGAAAAGCCTGGATGTCCAGACAGAAGCCTAATGCAGGGCCAGAGCCCTCATGGAGAACCTCTACTAGGGCAATGCAGAGGACAAATGTGGGGTTGGAGCCACCACAAATAATCCCCACTGGGGCACTACCTAGTGGAGCTGTAAGAAGAGGGCCACCATCCTACAGACTCTAGAATGGTAGAGCCACCAAGAGCTTGCACCCTGCACCTGGAAAAACTGCCAGCACTCAATAACAGCCCAAGAGAACAGCACATGGGCTGACCTCTGAAAGGCCCACAGGAATGGATTGCCCAAGGCCTTGGGAGCCCACCTCTCACATCAGTGTGTCCTGGATGTAGGAAATGGAGTCAAAGGAGATTATTTTGGAGCCTTAAGATTTAATTCTTCTCCTGTTTGCCCCAAGAATACTTGCTGGCAAAGCTTGCAGTTTCAGCATTTACCCCAAGATAACTTTGCCACAAAACATCTCATTTTTATTATTATTTTCACACTGCTCTAGTATATCAACTTTGAAAACAAAAGACATCATTCTATTTATAGCATTCTGTTTTTAGTAGTGGTATTTCCACTTACAAAATATAGTAATTCTCGATTGCTAAAAATGTCAAATCCTAGAAAACATAGCATTCCTATGTGTGATGTTAACATCATTCTGGAACAGTTGTTGGCCAAAGATTCCTTTGATGAATTCAATTTTTCTGAAATAGACAATTCTGATGATTCAGATGATTCTGATGTTAGTTCTATTTAGAAATAACTCCAAGAACAGTTTTTATATTTTGTTTTCACACTGAAAATCAGTCAGATTTGCTTCAGCCTCAAAGAGTATGTTTATGTAAAATTAAATGAGCACTGGCAGCGAGCTGCACTTTTTGTTTTCTAAATGGGAAAAGGGCTAATGGCTGCTCTGCTGGGTTTCAGACTTGTATGGGGCCTGTAGCCGCTTTCTTTTGGCCAATTTCTCCCTTTTGGAATGGGAGTATTTACCCAATGCCTACACTTTTTTTTTTTTTTTTTCCTTGAGATAGAGTCTCGCTCTGTCATCCAGGCTGGAGTGCAGTGGCACAATCTTGGCTCACTGCAAGCTCTGCCTCACGGGTTCACGCCACTCTTCTGCCTCAGCCTCCCAAGTAGCTGGGACTACAGCCGCGCCACCACACCTGGCTAATTTTTTGTATTTTTAGTAGAGACGGGGTTTCACTGTGTTAGCCAGGATGGTCTTGATCTCCTGACCTCGTGATCCGCCCACCTTGGCCTCCCAAAGTGCTGGGATTACAGCCCAATGCCTATACTTTCATTGTATCTTGGAAGTAACTAACTTGTGTTTGACTTTACAGGCTCATAGGCAAAAGGGACTAGCCTTCTCTAAGATGATACTTTGGGTTTTGGACTTTTGAGTTAATACTGGAATGAGTCAAGACTTCAAGGACTGTTGGGAAGGCATGACTGTATTTTGAAATGTGAGAAGAACATGAGATTTGGAAGGGGCCAAGGGTGGAATGATATGGTTTGGATCTGTATCCCTGCCCAAATCTCATGTCAAATTATAATCCCTAATGCGGGAAATGGAGCCTGGTGGGAGGTGACTGGATCATGGGGGCAGTTTCTCATGGTTTAACACCATGCAACCTTGGTCCTGTCATCAGGATAGTGAGTTCTCATGAGATCTGGTTGTTTAAAAGTGTGTAGCATCTCCCCCACCCAAGTCCTGCTCCTGCCTGCATGTAAGAAGCCTGATCTCGTTTTGCCTTCTGTCATGAATAAAAGCTCTCTGAGACTTCCCCAGAAGCAGATGATGCCATGCTTCCTGTACAGCCTGCAGAACTATGAGCCAATTAAACCTCTTTTCTTTATAAATTACCCAGTCTCAGGTATTTCTTTGTAGCAATGCAAGAATGAACTAATACATCCAACCAGAGTAAGATTCTCTCACTGGCTTTGAAAAAGTAAGCGCCAAGTAGTAAGGGGGCCATGGAAATGGGACATAACAGTGGCCTCTAGAAGCTAGGAGTGACTCCTTGCCAACAGCAAGCCAAAAAACAGGGATCTCAGTCCTACCACTGCAAGAAACTGAATCCTGCTGACAACCTGAACAAGTTTGAAAGAGGACTCTGAGCTCCAGATACGAGTGTGGTCTGGCTGATATGTTTGTTTTGGCCCTGAGCAGAGAACCAGCTGCACTCTCCCTAGACTTCTGATGTATAGAAATTGAAATAGGCTGGGAGTGGTGGCTCACACCTGTAATCCCAGCACTTTGGGAGGTCAAGGCAGGCGGACTGCCTGAACTCAGGAGTTTGAGACCAAGATGAGCATCATGGCGAAACCCTGTCTCTACAAAAACAAAACAAAACAAAACAAAAAATTAGCCAGGTGTGGTGACACGCAGTTGTAGTTCCAGCTACTCGGGGGGCTGAGGCGAGAGGATCGCTTGAACCCAGGAGGTTGAGGCTGCAGTGAGCCATGATCATGCCACTGCACACTCCAGCCTGGGTGACAAAGTGAGACCCTGTCTCAACAGAGAAAGAGAGAGAGAAGGCTGGGGGACAGGGTAAATGAATGCTGTTTTCACTTGCCAAGTTTGTGGTAACTTTTTACACAGCAACAAATAAATAATATGCTAACATTAAAACATCAAGTTTGAGTAAAACAAGTGATATGAAAGAACTAGTGAAGAAGATTGCTCTAGAAGAATCCAGAAATAAAACTAAACACATGTGTTTTAATGGTTCAGAACAGGAAGAACAGCACAGGTGGCAGAGCTTAATCTGAGAAGATAAGACGGGCATGTTCAAGAGTATGTCATGTTTGTAGTTTTGTAAAGACAAAGAAGGATATTAACATTTATTAGGCGTCTTCCATTTGTTGTATTGGATATTTTCACATTTCACAATGATGAAAAAGCTGTTATTTTTCGTCCAATATAACAAGGAATTACACATCCTTTAAAAGTCCAAATACATATTTTTAAAGCAAAATTATATTAAAGCCAAAGTATGGAAAATTCTTATTAAATTTGTATCATCAACTCTTTAGTAACTATATGTAAAAGTTAATGTGTTAAGTACGAGTACATATATATCTTTTTATATATATTACTATTATAAAATATTTTCAATTAAGGTATGACTAGATTAGTGTTTTTATACAGTAAGCTCAGAGCTTTAGAAAGCCTAGAAATTCTATTATTTACATGATGAAATTTTGTTTTGAGGATACATCCACAAGCCTAGTTTCCCAAATGCTTTCCTCATCTAACCTATTCAATGACCCCAAATGTAAAGTCCTTGATGGCACACATAGACTGGTGAACTTTCTTTATTTTATTTGGAGACCAAGTCTCACTCTGTCGCCAGGCTGGAGTGCAGTGGCACAATCTCAGCTCACTTCAACCTCTGCCTCCGGGTTCAAGTGATTCCCCTGCCTCAGCCTCCCGAGTAGCTGGGACTACAGGCGCGCGCCACCATGCCTGGCTTTTTTTTTTTTTTTTTTTTAAAGTAGAGACAGGGTTTCACCATGTTGGCCAGGACGGTCTCGATCTCCTGACCTGGTGATCTGCCCGCCTCAGCCTCCCAAAATGCTGGAATTACAGGCGTGAGCCACGGCGTCCGGCCAGACTGGAGAACTTTCAACATGAAAATAAACCTGGTGTCGGGCCGGGCGCGGTGGCTCAGGCCTGTAATCCCAGCACTTTGGGAGGCCGAGGCAGGTGGATCACGAGGTCAGGAGATCAAGATCATCCTGGCTAACACGTTGAAAGCCCGTCTCCACTAAAAATACAAAAAATTAGCCAGGCATGGTGGCAGGCACCTGTAGTCCCAGCTACTTGGGAGGCTGAGGCAGGAGAATGGCATGAACCCAGGAGGCGGAGCTTGCAGTGAGCCGAGATCGCGCCACTGCACTCCAGCCTGGGCGAGAGCGAGACTCCATCTCAAAAAAAAAAAAAACCAAAAAGAAAAGAAAGAAACCTGGTGTCCTGCTCACATTCTCCATAAACAAAAAAGGACTTTTACAGAACATCACTTCCATCAACTTGGAAGTTGCCTAGAGTTTTTTGTTTTTGTTTTGTTTGTTTGCAAACTGGAGCGCTTATAATAGGAATATTTTCCTTGAACTTTTTACTGAAGTATAACATACATGTAGAAAAGTGTACAGGCTGGGCGTGGTAGCTCATGCCTGTAATCCCAGCCCTTTGGGAGGCCAAGATGGGAGGGCTGCTTGAGGCCAGGAGTTTAAGACCAGTTTGGGCAAGATAGCAAGACCCCATCTTTACAAAAAAATAATTTTAAAAATTAGCCAGGTGTAGTCGTGTGCACCTATAGTCCCAGCTACTCAGAAGGCTGAGAGGTGGGAGAATCACTTGAGCCAAGGGGTTTGAGGTTACAATGAGCTATGATTAGTTGGGCCATTGCACTCCACCCTGGTTGACAGAGAAAGACCTTGTCTCAAGAAAAAAAGAAAAAGAAAAAAGAGCAGTGTACAAATAACATATGTACAGGTCAATAAGTTTTCACAAATGTAATTCATGCTAGTAACCAGCATCTGAATCAGAAAACAACACCACCACAGAACATCACCAGCAGCCAGAGGCCTCTCTTATGTATCCTTGGCAGTTATTACCCCCATAAGGATAATCACTATCCTGATTTCCATCACCCTAGATCAGTCTGAACTCTATATAAATGGAATCACTCAGTGAGTATTCTTTTGAGACTTTTCATGCTCAACATACATTTGTGAGGTTCATGCATTCTGTCACATGAAGCAGTGGTTTGTTCTTTTTCATTGCTGTATAGAATTCCATTTTATAAGCAAACCACAATTTATTCATTCTACTGCTGATGAGCATTTGGGTAGTTTCAAATTTTTAGCTGTTATAAATAGTGCTGTTAAAAGCATTTTTGTACAGGTCTTCTGATGAACCTAGGTATACATTGCTATTGGGTACATAAATAGGAGTGTAATTGCTGGGTCACTGAGCATTGTTCAGCTTTAGGAGATATTGTCAAATAGCTGTTCAAAGTAACTGTACAAGTTTACACTCTCGTCAATATGGTATGAAAACTATTTTTGTTCCAGATACTTATCAACATTTGGTATTTTCTTTTTTCTCATTTTAGACGTTTTGATGGGTATGTAATCCTATTTTGGTTTAAATTTGCATTTCCCTGATGACTAACAATAGCTGCACACCTTGTTATATACTAAATGGTCATCTGGATTACCTCTTTTGTAAAATGAGCATTCCAGTCTTGCTTTTTTCTCACTGATGTGTAGGAGCCTGTTATATATTATGATCAAACGTTAAAATTTAAAAATTTATTTTTTCAGACTATCAGAGAAAATGTAACATAAGCAACATCTGAACTAAATCTGAAGAGCCTTAAAACAGTTTCTATTCTCCCGTCACACAGGTCTGATAGGGGGAAAGAGAAACAAAAATTCTACCTTTAAATATTTAATTCAAGAACAAAGTAAAATGAAAATGGGTTTATAATTTCTGACACTGGGAGAATTTCTACTGGGAAGCTGTCATAAATCACAGCACTTTATGGCAATAGTCACACCCTTCAAGCTCACTATTTCTTGATAATTAAAATTTCACCGTCAAATACATTTTGCAATTTGTTCACAGTAAGATAGCTTCTGAGAAAAACAGGTAAATCATTGTTTGGATATTCCTTTTAAAAAAGACCAGATGAAAGCCTGGCTTCTGGTTTTAAATACCCTTCCATTAAAAAAACCAAACAAAACCAAAATAAAGCAGTGTCATCAAGTGTTGACCTAAACAGTTCTACTGAGGCACTGGGGACAAACAGCTATACTTCCACTAGACTTCTACCTTTTATATTACAATAAATTTCCTCTGCCTAGTACATTTTGATCTTGCATAAGCTAAAAAATGTTTACAAGGGAGACTAGTTTTCATTCCTTGTAATGATAGCAGTTAACTCCTAGGGTTTCTTCTTTATACTATATTTTTGGTTAATAAAAATGGTCTATACCATTTCTCAGAGATGAGAAGAGAATGGTAAGGTGTTTAATTGATTTTAAAAAGCTACTTTAAAAAATTATCTTTAAAAGTTGATCACCAATCATTTTCCAAGTGCTGTTTTTTATAGGGGAAGGAAATAAATAAAACTTAACATACTAAAAGCATATTTCAAAATTTCAGCAATTATACCCCAGCAAGTAAATGATGCTACTCATATAATAGCGTATTTATTGTTTCAGGAAACTACAGTGACATTTCACTGGACTTCAGGTGGAGGAAAAATGCTTCAAGGAAAATATCAGGATGTATATAGCGATTTCTTTTCTTTTCTTTCTTTCTTTCTTTTTTTTTTTTAAAGATACAAGGTTTTGCTCTGTCACCCAGGCGGGAGTACAGTGATGTGACCATAGCTCACTGCAGTCTTGATTCCTGGGCTCAAGCAATCCTCTTACCTCAGCCTTCTGAGTAGCTGGGACTAGAGGTGCATGCCACGATGCCTGGCTGATTTTTAAATTTTCTGTAGAGGGGAGGTCTCACTATGTTGCCAGGCCTGGCCTCAAGCAATCCTCCTGATTCAGCCTCCCAAAGTGTTGAGATTACAAGTATGAGCCACTGAACCTGGCTGATGTGGCAAACTATATGAAAGATAAAATATTTCAATTAATAAAAAAACTCCTTAAATTTCAGCTGTACAATAGAGATTCATAAATAAAGCAGGCCAAATACTGTGTGATGCAATTCCTCTACCACATGTTGAAAGCATTGAAATAATCTATTTCCCTTTGTTTGAGGGATTAGTTTCCCATACTTTGAGAAAATACTGATAAGAAATATTCTATAATCATACTGGACACACTCTTCGAAATGAGCTCTTGGTACACAGGAGATGATTATCCTTCCCTGTTAATAGACTTATCACATCTTCCCTTGTCCTTTGACTGAACAAACTCAATTCTATGTACTCACACAAGCTAGATTTTTGGTGGCTCTTCTTGCACTCATTTTGACAAATCACTTCTCTTTGTTATTTCACTTCACTTATTTACCTGAAACTTCATATTCCAGGTATTCCTGGAAAGAAGAGTGATTGAAGTAGGGACCCAGACATCTTACCTTCTCTGATCTGACTCGAGAGGCACACACAACCCACTTGAAGTATTTTAGCAAAAAAGTTACAAACCAGAATCTTAAAAATGGAAAGAATACCCATTTTACTAATCTTCATATAAACTAAAGGTAGTATTTACGAATAGTTACACAACAGTGCTGTTACAACATTTTTCAAAGGTACTCCGTAATCTTTGGAATTGGATTCAGGACATCAGTTAGCAACTTGTCTAACAGGCTAGCTATCCTAGGCAACACTTGATCCTGAACGACACCTGCTTTATTCCAGCAGCTCAAGTTGCTTATTTTCCAAGATCTGACATTAGAAAGAGCAAGCAGAACCAGGTATCTTTTCTTCTTCAAAGAATAGGGCTGCACAAACCTAAACTACTTTTTCAAGGTGTTTTTCAGCAACTCATTTACTCAAAAAATATTGCAAACCTGAGAATGACAGAAATGTGGAGTTCTATAGAGTCGTATTATTAACAGGATCTCCTCAATGGTTCCCTCTTCATGTGCTTGAGTTAACAGTATTTCCAATTCAGCTTAATGACACGGTTTGAGTAGGGGCAAGGAGGGTACCAGAGAGGACAAAGGCCTTCATCTGAATTTTAATCACTGACTCAGTAAGTCTCTCTTACTTGTCAAGTATGTACAAAGAAAGTATTCTGAGTGGCATTGCTTAAGGCTTCCAAACACAAGCTGAGATCATACCCACAATTAAATGTGGAATTTTGATAGATGGAATTCCCATCAGCAGTTAAAAATAACCCCGGCTAAAAGAGAATTCATATCGCTGAGTCATGACTCATTTTCTTGAATCATTGTCCACTAGGAACAACAGGACAAAAATTTTTGCTTCTGATTCTGCATATAAGAATCAGTTATTTTAAGAAAGTTTATGCAACTCAAATATAAGAATCCGGTGAACCTTATTTCACAATACAATAGTCACCTCCTTCTCCTTCTCACTACAACTGATATACAGGGAACTGAAAACAAGAATGACCATGAACAACCACTAGGGAGCGTGAAACAACAGAAGAGAACAAAAAGAGTCTGTAACAAACACTTTTCCTCTTTAGAGACTGCTGAAGGTCAAGACTGGAGCAGAAGGGCAAACACAATCGTGTTGTCTACATAAAAGGACTCTTGGAGTCTTGGGTGGATAACTGGGTAACTTTCATGAGTAAAGAATTAATTTGACATCTCAGAACAATTTATATGTCCAGCTTCAAGTCCCTGCTCCTGGCCCCTATCTTTTGCCTTCATTTTTCTTTGAAGATATTTCATTCTTGGGGATTTAACTGGGACACATAACATAGAATTATGCCCAAGAGGTAGAAAGAAATTGCAACAGCAAAGAAAGCAGTTCCTTTCAATGAGTCAAAAGTTTTGATCAACTATAGCCAAATCTTTTTCAGAAAATGTTGTCATTACATAGCAGAGCTCTTTACCTTCTTTGAAAATTTAATATATAAACAATATTTATATATAGATTGTTCATGGGAAAAAATTTTAAAACAGTATCAAGGAGAAAATCATGAATAGTGAAAATAGGTCTGCCTTCAAGAAAACACTGGTCAAAAGAAAATTATTTCACATACATATGAGAGTTTCTTTTTTATGCCACTCATTTCACTATACCCATTCTATTCCCATTTAAAATTTGTCTCCTTTTCAGGTGATGGGTATCCCAAGTATACTGATTTGATCTTTCCAAATTGTGTAAACATATTAAATTATCAAATGAATCCCACAACTATCTACATGTATTATACACCAATAAAAACTTGTTTAAAAATAAAATTTATCTTTAGCCACAAAGTGGGCACCTTTTTATTGTTTTTTTTTTCTAACACGGAAGGTATGAACCTGCATAATCTGACATTTGTTTTCAGAATTAAAAAAGAAGTGTGTTTCCTTTGAGTATTTTTCTCTTTGTAGTGCATGGTAGTGAGTTTTATCATGATTAGCTTGGTTAATAAAATAGTTTCTTTTAACTTAGGTCAGTAAAATACCAGCAATAGATTAATGACTTCTGATCATTTCTGGCATCAGAAAATATACTCAGGCCAAAGGCCCATTTTACTCTCTATTCTATCATATAATATACACACACAACATAATATACATAGATATATCATGGCAGTCCTTTCACATATTAAAAGCAGGATAAAAGCTCAGAGAAGAATCTAAGCTTTGTGTAATACAACATGAATACTGTTAAGTTGGATAGAGCATTAATGTCCTCATTCTCACAGCCATCAGTCCTCTTAAAAACAGTGCTTAAATAATGGATTCTCCAGTAAGACAGACAGTCTCTTCTTTCCTACTGGGTGGAGAATTCACTTGGTAATTTGGTTTCCGATATAGCCGAGAGGAGTAATGAAACTATTCCTTATAACTTGCTGCCCATTCCACACAGACTTGTAAGTCAGTACTACACTTACACAGACCCAGCCAAAAACTGGAAAGAGCAGGTCAGGCTTTAATACAAAAGGACAACATCCCTTTACTGTGCTTATAGCCAAATCAAGCTAACTTGTTCCCAGGAGTTGTAAAGAGCCATGACAGATTCTGTTGACAGTGGCTATCTTTACTATTTAGCTCACTAGAATAGTGTGGCCTCTCATCCCCACAATGGTCTCCAGAAAAATGGAAAGGGCAGCAACCTTTTTTAGGCACTAAATGAAAATGTATGAAGACAGATGTTCACTGTCTGTTGCGGCTCTCAAGATCCTTCACTTAAATTATCTGCTAACACATAATTCATGAGGTGAAGTAACAGACGATCCTTATAAGCAGGGAGAAACAGAAATGGACCTTGGATAAGGAAGCAACTGGTCAAAATAGCTGGATAATTTAAAATATTATCTTATATTTTTGAATAAACATAACAAAGGCAGTGAATACGATTTGCTTTCAGTAAAACAGATACATTACAAAAATAGATATTTGCATACAGAAAAAAGTTTACTAACATATTTATACAGAAAATTGATGTCCTAAAGTCTTTTAAAAAATTAAAAGCAGCGTACAAACTAATTTTCCTTCACTGAAAGCCATTTTTTCCTCTTGATAAATATTTTGTTACATGTTTTTGGTTTTGGTCAAGAGCATGTATCAATAGTGATTTGATGACATCCATTTCTCAATACCTCCTCTCCATAAGATTTCAATCTAGGTTTATGATGTACTTGGTCTATTTAGGCAATAATTCATTGTAATTGGGGCTAGCAGATGTAGTATAGAGAAAATATAAGCCTATATATAATTGGTTCTATGAAAAACACGTTAAACTGACAATAAGGAGATCTGGGTTTTCATTTCAATTCTGTTCCTAATTCTGACCTTGGGCAAGTACCTTAGACCACAAAATTTTCATTGAAAATGGAGAGAATAGACTATAGATAATCTCCAAGTCTCTTTCAGATTTAACTTTCAATAAGTCAATAAACTTTCTTACCTGTCATCTTGGCAGAGGATATTAAAAGCCTACCTTGGGCAAAAATAACAAGCAAAGTTCTCATTTGAATGCTCTTACTGCTGTCTATGGATCAAACCTGTTAAACTTTTGAATGACACAGATTATGTGTTACTGAGATTCAAGCAAGGCTGTTAATATCTTGTTGATGGTCAATATATTCTGTCTCACTCAGAGAGAAATGAGCTTTACCTGTTCCCAGGTATCTTTATATTTCATAAAGAATTTTAAGAAAGATCCAGAATAAGGACCCATTTCATATTATTAACAGAACAAGTACATGCTGCAGTGTTAATATTTTGCTATGGTCATTATTCTTTTAATTTATCTGAGTTTCTTAGATGGCTATTCTTGTGCTGGATTTTGTACTGGAATGCTAACAGACAGCTTCCACACAGTATTTCTGTGAACTCACAGCAATAAAAACCAACCTATTTTTTTAAAGCCAATAATCATAAAGGTAAATAGTCACTGCATTTGTGTAATTTTTAAAAAGCCACATTCCCCTTAAATACGTGACTTTTCATTTCGGTCTCAGACTCTACAAACTCTTACCTGGGGTCTGCATCGTGTGAAGTTTCTGGGTGTGCTAACATGATCTTTCCGGCACGCCAGTCAGAAACTCAAAACACTTTGTATACTGTACTCGCCTGTGCTCGCTTTCCTGCTCTCTCCCTTTTTGCTCTCATTTCGTGCCTCAGACAGTTTGGAATGCAGAAAAGCCAGAGCCAATGCCAGTTAAACTCAATCCTCGCCCCAACCCCGCCCCCAATCCCATTCTTTTGCTAGAGAGCACTAAACAATAGCCACCCTTCCTTACTCACTCACTGGGCTTTCTTTCACAGCACTGGGTGAAGGCAGTCTACTTCAGGAGAAGCAATGTGATTTACCAAGCTAAGTATTTCATTTTTTCTATCACAAAGGATGGGAGGGTGGATGTGTGAATCTGTGCACTTTAAGAAGTGATTTTTTCAAAAGCAGTCTAAAATAAAACTAAGTTCAGAGATTCTTATTTTGAATGTTTTATTATGTTGAATTTAAATATAAACTCTTCAGAGTATAAAAACCAGGTAAATCTTACAGCTGACGCAGAGATAGAAGCCTGTTAACACATATACATTACTATCTTAAACTACCTTCTTAAACCGATCAGTTTAACTTACCATAACGGAAATATCTAAAATTTAGAAAAGGAACAAAGTTTTTATTTCCCTAAAGCCCTTAATTCAGGTCTTAGGCTAGAACTTCATTTTTTAAAAGTTATTTTTAAAAAATATTTAATACTTTATTCATACAGAAATGCCCTGTATTGTATGGACTCTGTATTATATAGTCTGTAGCTGTGCTGAGGACAGTGTTGACTACTAAAGGCAAAGTCTTAAAATGAAAAGTTCATCTACTGTTAGGCAAGTCCCATTAAGTTAGGAAGTTATTAGACCCCTGGAAGCTGATGCCTGATTTCCTCCTCAAAATTTTTTTAACTTATTGACAGATAAAAATCTGCTCTGCTGTAATCAAGAGATTTCCTGTTGAGATTAAAACTGAGAACTTCATTTTTTAAATAAAGAATAATCAAAACAATTTTATAAACTGAGTGGCTTTCCAAAGCTAATTTTCTACTAGATGCAATGAAATTATAGATAGTATTACTGTTCTCAATCATCATTTTAGTTTGTTTTAAAATCAGTCATATTTCTAGGGTTTTTTTCTATATTCCCCCAATAAAAAGGCAAGTCAACTATGTAATCTTCATTATTAATATGATGACCTAACATATTATGCAGGTGCTCAGTTGCTGAGGTTAGCATGTCAGAATTGATCAATGAAAAAATTCATAGTTTGAATCACAGTGGACTCCACCTGCCACATTAAAGCAGTAGAACAGAAGAGACATGAAAATGACACAGTATTAATCTATCATCTACCTTTTAACAGCTGATGGAAACACATACACTGTATCTATCATCTATCTACCCATTTATATTTATGTATATATGTATTATATATCTTACACATTAGATATGTATTATACACATTAAAATGAGGAGCACATAGTCATCTAGTATAAAAATAGCTAAATCACTGTGATAAGTTCCAAGAAAGACAAGAACAGGGTGCCAGGTTTGTGTACAATATGAGCACCATGGTTTCATAAGTTGGTAGCTAAGTATTGAAACTGACTGATGATGTTATTTATGTTTGAATTATAAGGTCATGAAATCCCAGAACCGGAAGAGATCTTTAAAATCATCTAGTCCAACCAGTCATTCACTGCTTGAATTTTTCTTATTATTCACTTGACCATTGCTGATATTTGACTATTTTTTGACTTACAAACACAGCATTTTTATACAGTTCAACCTAATACAAACATTTATTAAGTTTGGTGCTGGGCCAGGACCACATAAGATGGATTAGTCAAGACAACCCTACCCAACTCTTTATACAGGGGAGAAATGTGAAACCAAATAATTATAACATAGTGACTATTTGTAGAAATAAAATGGCTAAAGTGGCCTCACCTATCCAAAATGAACAGGCTTGGTGCTGAGTTGAGTGGTCAAATTGTGTGATCTAATGCAACAGTTCAAAACTCCATCAAACTCTATGAGGCTATTCGTAACCAATGAGGGATTCACTACAGAGACATGAATTTCGGCCACTTTCTAGCTTGAGCTCATGGCTAAATAGTGAAGCATTTACTCGTGCTTCTCCAGCTTCTTGGAGAACTCACTCATGCTGCAGGAAAAGATTACAATTTTACCAGTCACTTCAGTCTCTATCCCAAAAGCTGTGTTTCCCATAGCACATGGCTATGGGTTCATAGACATTGAAGGTTAAGTAGAAATTACTCTTAGAAGCAACTTCTATTGACCACGATCCCACCTGTTAGAAATAGGTCCTAACTGTGTAAATGATGAAAGGACTATCTTTCCTTGGTATTTAATTCTATTGGCTTCAGTTAGTCACTTGAAACTGCACAAGATGGAGATGAATTCCTTAATGTTCTTATTTCAGCACATAACATACACAGTGCTAGGCTGGCATCAGAAAATAGATATGCTATGGCCCCTGTCCTCAAGTTATGCTAAAGTCCTCTTAAGTCTAAATACTTTAAAAAGGTTTGATGAGTGTAATATATTCATCCATCCATCCATCATTTATGAAGCACTGACTAACGTCAGGCATTTTCCTGAACTCTGGGATAAGTGGGAAATAAGACAAAGTCCCTGCTGCCACCCCACCCTTACCATGTATATATTTATTGGAACAATATACTGAATTTTCAAAAGGACATTCCACTTATGTGCTTTTTTCATTTGTTTCAGCAACCGGAGAAAACTGTATCACTCAGAATCTGAGTGGTGGCAGAGACTATAACTGCCTTGTTCGCTGCTATATCTGCAACGCTAAAAGTATACTGTCTGCCACATAGTAAGTGCTTACTAAGTATCTGTTGAATAAATAAATGGTTTGAAAACAGAGAAAAGTAAACTCCCGGAGGCTACATCTATGATAGTTTCAAAGTTCAATATCAACAAATATAGTGTTTCTAAAAGGCTGTGAGATTTTTTTTCTTAGTTATGAATCAACCAAATAGTATACTTGCTGAATTTTGAAGAATGTAGATAATGTATTTTCCCTCCATCCCATATAAAAGTAATATTATGGGATTCTGACTTTGGTTCAGGTATACAATTCAATATGCTAGCCATTAAGAAATTCTGAAACCAGGCCCGGCACGGTGGCTCACGCCTGTAATCCCAGCACTTTGGGAGGCTGAGGTTGGTGGATTGCTTGAGGTTAGGAGTTCGAGACTAGCCTGACCAACATGGTAAAACCCCATCTCTATTAAAAATACAAAAATTAGCCAGGCGTGGTGGCACATGCCTGTAATCCCATCTACTTGGGAGGCTGAGGCAAGAGAATCGCTTGAACCCAGGAGGCAAATGTTGCAGTGAGCCGAGATCATGCCACTGCACTCCAGCCTGGGTAACACAGCAAGACTCTGTCTCAAAAATAAATAAATAAATAAATAATAAAAAAAAATTCTGAAACCATAAATGCATGATCTTTTTGAAAATCAGTGAGCACAAAAATAATAAGCTAGCTGTATATAATTAAAAATCACAGCTGGGCACAGTGGCTCACGCCTGTAATCCCAGTACTTTGGGAGGCCGAGGTGGGTGGATCACCTGAGGTGAGGAGTTCAAGAACAGCCTGGCCAACATGGTGAAACCCTGTCTCTACTGAAAATACAAAAATTAGCCAGGCGTGGTGGCAGGCGCCTATAATCTCGGCTACTCGGGAGGTTGAGGCAGGAGAATCGCTTGAACCCGGGAGAAGGAGATTGCAGTGAGCTGAGATTGCGCCACTGCACTCCAGCCTGGGCAATAAGAGCAAAACTCCGTCTCAAAAAAAAAAAATTACTTGCATATCAATTTTATTGCTTATCAAATAAATTAATGAACAACAAGCCACCCTCTGGATACCTATGTTCTCCTCTTCCAAGCAGAAAACACATCTCAAAGCAAACCAACTGAGGTTATACCAGGCTGTAAGTGTGCTGGCTCTTGAGCTTACATGTGCTTCCTCTTTTGAACAGCAGATGATCATATACTCAGCTTCTTCTAACCATAAACACAGTGTCTTTTCATGTTTACCCATAAAAAAGATTGGCATTCTGATATGTGGGTCTTCCCACTGCATTCTTTTGAGAGTTCATATTTAAAAAGAAAACCATTGTTTATCATTTGAATGACAAACACCAAAGTCACCCACTTATTCAGAAATACCATTAAAACTTTATTTAATTTCATTTTTGTATGATGGGATGCCAGCACAATACACAGATACACATACATACATACTTCTGCTCTCTGATAAAGGGAGGCATTATGAAGATCAGAAGACTTGTTAATTCATATGGTTAGCAAAGTACTTACAAGTGTTTAGAAAGGGCCATGTCAAACAAGTAACAATTATGATAGTCACAAAATATTTTTAGAACTTCTGGCTAAGCATTAGAGCTTTACCTTGCTCTTCCCACTAAGATGACTTAGTAGACTGCATTTTTTTTTTCTGGAATGGCAATTGGCTAGGAGGAAGTATTATAGGGAGTAGGCAAAATCAAATATCAGTCCCCTGATATTGAGTTGAGAAACTAAGGCTTTCATGTGAACAAGACCACAGTTCAAAAAAATAATAATAATAAGCAAAATCTAAATGGGAAAATACAAGGAAATCTTTCCTACTTTTATTTCATCATATGAGTAAGATTATACTAAAAGAACAAAACCAACACTTTTATTTCTACAAAAAAATTCATGAATAAACAATGAAAAGCAACTAAAAGTATTTTCGGATAGTGTTGGATATTACTGGGTACTATCTCTGAATATGCTCAGAGAGCCAAGGACGTGCCTGTAATATTGGACCTCCTCATTTAAAAAGGGAGTTTAAACAAATTCATTTTCTTTAGTGGATTTAAAAATATATTTATATATTTATTTAGTTATACATACATACATATATTTTTATATATACACATACATAATTATACATATACATACACACACATAATTATGTTAGGCTTACAGATTTCCTATTAAGCTAATGTGCTGTCACAACTAAAGCATTAGTCCATTTTTCTCATATAATGCAGATAACACTCAGTTTCAGTAGAAATAACGATCATTAGGCATTTGGTTTTGCCTTCGTTTTAAAGAATATTTGCAACTATGGGCTACTGTTTCTATAAAATCTATTTAGAAAAAGCATAGATCTTATGGTACAATCAGTCTTTGGCTTACCACTGATACAAAGACATACATATGTATTATATAATTCAAAATACTACTGCAGGCAGTTAACTTCATCCAATTTCCAATTTCCATTATTTCCTTACAACTAACTGAAGCACACCAAAATCCAGTAGAACTCTAAAGACTGTTATCAAGCATTAAAAAAAAAAAGGAAGAAAAAGGAAAATTACAACAGCGATTTCCTAGGAAAACAGACTTCTAAAATATAAAAACCTACGAAGTAAATTATACTATTT